>NC_000002.12:10316755-10623511 GCF_000001405.40 Homo sapiens
GAAGTTGCCTTTGCTACTCACTCAGTGGCTGCTTGCTGTTTCTTGGATTAGATATTGAAAGAATCCCATCTTTATAGTCTACTGTTCATATTTATGGTCTGGAGAAGAAAATGTAATTTTCAGCAAAATTCTATCACGTCTGGTAAATAATTTCAGGATCTTTACCTATGATACCACATTAAAAAAAATTCGTATGGCTTCAGCATTCAGAAATTGTTCTTTTCAAACTCTGGGCCCTCGGGTTATTACAAGATTTAACACCGAGGCAGGAAGCCTGCTCGCCTATCACTGGAGACAGGTAGGTTGCTATGGAGACCAGGTGTGTGTCCCTGCGGTTTCCTGGGTATCCCAGTTGTCCTGGAAAAGAAATCAGCTCACTTTATGTGATATTTCTGCAATAGTGTGTGTGAATTAAGTTTTTCTAAACACAGATCAGATGTTTTTGTTGACTTACAGTGTGATTTCTGACATAATTTTGTCCTCGGTTTTGTTTTGCTTAATTATGAATCCTACATAACCCTACCTTTTCCTATCAGAAGCACTTCCATGCATCAAGACCCCCTATCCAAAACAGCCACAACAACTTCACCAACAAAATCTCTTAAAGCTAGAGATGCCTGCTTTGGTGTGAATGATGATTACCCCTTAAAATAATTCAACAATTTTTTTTTTTTTTTTTTGAGACAGGGTCTCAGTCTGCCTCTCAGGCTGGAGTGCAGTGGCGTGATCTCGGTTCACTGCATCCTGTGCCTCCTGGGTTCGAGCAATTCTCCTGCCTCAACCTCCTGAGTATCTGGGAGTACCGGGATGCACCACCATGCCTGGCTAATTTTTGTATTTTTAGCAGAGACGGGGTTTCACCAGGTTGGCTAGGCTAGTCTCAAACTCCTGACCTCAGGTGATCCACCCACCTTGGCTTCCCAAAGTGCTGGGATTACAGGTGTAAACCACCATGCTCGGCCTCAACAATTATTATATATGGTTTGCCAGATCCTGGCCTGGGCACTGGGGATGCAAGATAGAGCAAGACCATTGGAGGCCCTGCCCTGGCGGAGCTTGTATTAGGGTTGTGATCCTAGACCACATGAAGCCCACAAGGGGGCCCTGGGCTCACCCGTTCCTGGCTCACATTCACTGTCAGCCACAGCTAAACCTCGGGGCCTGGAACCTCTCTTGTTGTCCCCATGGGACGAGTGGGCACATGCCTTGTTGGATGGACAATAACATCATCTGTTTTTGTTTGATGTGTTATTATTCAGAGGCATTTTTCAGAATGGAGAACAGTGCCTTATCAGTCTGCTTCTGATAATTTTATACATGAAAAAAATCCTATTTGTGCATATTCTTGGGTCTCTCCCCATTTCTAAAGGCAGTCAACTTGGTGGTTGGCTGTAAAAAGCTCTTTACACTTCCTAGGACTTGTCAAATATTGACAAGTCTTTCTCCTTTCATCCAGTTCAGCACCAGCATCCTCAAACTCACTGAAACAGAGCATCCCACAGTGGCAGCCACTGTAGGCCCCAGGTGGGTATCCTACTCCTCCACCCCCGCCCCAGACTCCCCCAACCCCAGCTCGCACCTGCAGAAGTTACGTCTTTGCAGTTATTTCAGGAGAAAAAGGCGGCCACTCTTTCTCTCCCTTCTTTGGGTTTGTGTTCAGCAAGGGTCTACTGCAGTCCCGGTGCCGGACAGCCTGTTTTGCCCATGCTTGTTAACTGATGGGGTCCTCAAGTGGCCTTGTGACAGGCCTGATAAGGCCGCACGTGGGTGTGGTTAGAGTTGATGACCGCTCCGGACATTGGCGATGTGAGGAAAGTGACAGACTCCAGCCTCCATGTGCAGCCGGTGATTGGCCGGGTGGGCTCGGTTTTCTAGTGGCAAAGGATGCTGTGATCTGAATAAGAAAACAAACCTCAGGCCCCAAGTGCCACGGGCTTAGAGACTTGAGAGGAGGTGCTTGCAACTCCATCTGGGAGGCTAAGGGCAGCCAAGAGCTGCTGTCTTGAGGCTGACCCACTCCCTTGCAGTGTAATGGGTAGTGAACAGGCCATCCTTTTTAAAGGAAAATAAGTGCCTCCCTATGGACTCTGTTCCTATCCTGCTACCCTCCCTGAAGCTTGAATAGCACCCACCCGTGCCTTCTCCATGCCAGCCCTTGGGTCTGCCGGGACCACTGCCATGCTTTTGATGGACACGGCCTTGTAGCGTCTATATCCTCATCTGTGAAATGGGAATTCCACAGCCTCCCTTTCGCAGGCTGCTTGTAATAGTTGCCATTAAACCTCTTCTGAACTCTAAAGTGCTGTATCAATGTAAGGACCATCATCAACATCATTGTCGTCCTCATCGTGAGTCTTTCCAAATTCACCTCCTGCTGCCCCAGCACGGGAGTGTCTGAGACTGCAGGTTTCCTTGATGGGTTCCTGGGGCTTCCCTTGTGGAAATTTGAGTTCTGAGCCTTCTGCACTTTTCCATCCCCCAGTCTGGAGTCAACCTGTATTTTTCATTTTCCCTCTGCAAGATGTCAGCCCATAGGAGAGGCCTGGAGGCTTGCAGGGGAAATGGGACGATGTTTGAAGGAAGCCCCCGTGCCTGTGGGAGCATGCAGCCTCCTCCGTCTTTTTGTCTGCCAGGCAGGGGAGTAATTTGCCGTTATGTACTGGGCAGTCTGGGAGCTGGACTCTCAGATGAAAAATGCTTGTTCAAGCACAGACAGCCAGGCATGGCTCAAATCAGAGCATCGATTTAGCAAGCAGCTCTGCTCAAACAGCCAGCTGTGTGATCACCTTTTCAGGGGATGATAGGCTGACGGGCAGGTGGGGTGGGGTGGGGTGGGGTGGGGTGGGCAGACTAATACAGGGACCCTGTGTTTGGGAGCCTCTGTTTAAGCAGAGACCGGGCCTGGAGAGAGTATCCCTGGGTAGGGAAAGGTGCTCTCACATTAGTGGGTTCCACCTGGCCCCTTGGTGGAGCTCCCATTCATTCATTCACTCATTCACTCATTCATTCACATCGTGTCTACTATGTGCCAGTCTCTGTGCTAAGAGAGTGATCCAAGCAGAAGGTCTGAAATCCTCAGGGATTCGTTTCCCAGCCGACTTATGCCTTACTAAGTGGAGCAGGTTCTGGGCTGCAGGGGACTGACTTGCTGCTGCAGGTCTGGGTCTTGAACTAAGGGAGAAAGACAATGCCCATCTTCTTCTTGGCGCAGTCATTTGAGGAGAGGAGCATTTGCTTCTTGCCAACCTGCCTGCCTGGGAGGCCCTCTTGCTCCTGCAGCCCCCCGAGTCCCCTTTGCAGCTCCCAGTCTTGCTTGGGGTTGCCTCCTCCAAGAAGCCTCCTGGGCTAGCTCAGGCATCCTGTGGAGGCACTGCTGGGCCACTGATGCCTGAGCTCCTGTGGCCTGGCTGTCTGCAGGGCTTCAGTCCTGGCCTTTCACTTCCCAGACATGAGTCTTATCTTTCCACTTGGTTAGGGCCTCCCCACGGACATGGACGGATATGGTTTGGATTTGTGTCCCCACCCAAATCTCGTGTTGAATTGTAATCTCCAGTGTTGGAGGAGGAGCCTGGTGGGGGGTGATTGGATCATGGGAGCAGAGTTCCTCTTGCTGTTCTCATGATAGTGAGTGAGTTCTCACGAGATCTGGTTGTTTGAAAGTGTGAAGCACCTCCCCCTGCTCTCCCTTCTGCTCCAGCCATGTAGGACGTGCCTGCTGTCCCTTCTGACGTGATTGTAGGTTTCCCGAGGCCTCCCCAGCCATGCTTCCTGTGCAGTATGTGGAACCGTGAGCCAATTAAACCTCTTTTCTTTATAAATTACCCAGTCTCAGGTAGTTCTTTATAGCAGTGCGAGAACTGACAGGGACCGTGTGTTTGGGAGCCTCTGTTTAAGCAGAGACCGGGCCTGGAGAGAGAATCCCTGGGGAGGGAAAGCTGCTCTCACATCAGTGGGCTCCACCTGGCACCTTGGTGGGGCTCCCATTCATTCATTCATTCACTCACTCATTCATTCACATAGTACCTAGTATATGTGCCAGTCTCTGTGCTAAGAGAATGATCTAGGCAGAAGACCTGCCCGCTCAGGGCTTCTGTTTCTAGCTGGGAGCAACAACAGTAAACTAAATAAGCAGATTATATTGTATAATATAGTAATACTTAGAAGGTGATGAGACTGTGGAAAACAATACATTAGTGAAGAGGGTGAGGGTATTGGATGGAAGAGCGTGAGTGTATTAGGCCGTTCCACATTGTTATAAAGAAATACCTGAGACACGGTCATTAATAAAGAAAAGAGATTTAATTGTCTCACGGTTCTTCAGGCTGTACAGGAAGCATGGTGCTGGCATCTGCTCAACTTCTAAGGTGGCCTTGAGAAGCTACAATCATGGCGGAAGGTGACGGGGGAGCAGGCACGTCACATGGAGAAAGCAGAAGCAAGAGAGAGAAAAATGCAAGGTGCCACACACTTTTAAACAACCAGATCTTGTGAGAACTCACTATCTCGAGGACAGAACCAAGGGGATGGTGAGAAACCATTCATGAGAAATCCACCCACATGATCCAGTCGTCTCCCACCAGGCCTCATCCCCAACTCTGGGGATTACAATTCAACATGAGATTTGGTTGAGACATCCAAGCCGTATCAGTGAGAGATGCAGTTTTTTTTTTTCAGGGGAAAGTGTTGTTGTTGTTGTTGTTTTAATAAGATATAATTTACATACCATATACCATGAAAGTCGCCATTTAAAAATGTACAATTCAGTTGCTTTTAGTATACTGGCAAAGTTGAGCACCAGTAGCTACTAATTTCAGAACATTTTCATCACCCCAGAAAAAAATCTCATAGCCATTAGCAGTCACTCCTCAATCTCCTCGTGCCCTAGGCCCTGGAAACCAATAATTTACTTTAGGTGTCTCTGGATTTGCCACTTCTGGACATTTTATATCAAGGAAATCATGCAATATGAGGCCTTTTGCATCTGGCTTCCTTTACCAAGCACAGTGTTTTCATGCACCGCCAATGCTGCGTGTGTATCTGTACTGCATGCCTGTAGATGGCGGAATAATATTCCAATGTATGGATAGACCACATTTTGTTTATCCATTCATCTGTTGATGAACATTTGGGCTGTTTTCACTTTTGGCTATTCTGAACAATGCTGCGAGGAACAAGTTTTTTTTGTACAAGCGTGCAAGTTTTTTGTGGATGTATGTTTTCATTTCTCTTAGGCAAATAGAGAGACACAATTTTACTTTTTATTTATTTTATTTTTTATTTTTTTAGAGACAAGGTCTTGCTCTGTTGCCCAGGCTGAAGTGCAGTGGCGCCATCATAGCTCACTGTAGCCTGCAACTCTATGGATTACATGTTCCTCCTGCCTCAGCCTCTTGAGTTGCTGGGACTACAGGCATACCCCATCATTCCTGGATAATTTTTAAATGTTTAGTAGAGATGAGTTCTCACTAGATTGCCCAAATTCGTCTTGAACTCCTGGGCTTAAGTGATCCTCCCAAGTTAGCCTTATAAAGTGCTGGGATTAGAGGCATGAACCACTGCACCCAGCCACAGTTTTAAATAGGGTGGTCAGAGAAGGTCTCATGAGAAGGTGACATCTGAGCAAAGACTTGAAGAAAATAAGGGCAGAAGCCACACGAAAACCCCAGCAGGACAGCAGGTGCAAGGGAACAGCAAGTGCAAGGATGCTTCCACCAAGGGGCTGGAAAATGAAAGGCTTGACTTCACCAGCTGCCTCCCAACCAGGGGGCCCAGTGAGTTTAGGCCTCACTGGCCCTTTCTGGCTGAGGGGCAGCCTGCTGCGAGGGGTTTCCCTTTCTGAATAAAGAGTCAAAGTCCCAAGACAGATGATTTTTGACCCATGCATCTTCTTCCTGCCTGGAAAGCAGATGTGATTCCTGGAGATGGGGCAGCTGTTCTGTGGCCATGAGGTTGAAATCCATGTGCTAAAGACAGTAGAGCAGAAGAAGACTGGGACCTTGATGGCATTCTTGAGCTACCGCCTGAACCTTGGATCTCCTGCACCTGAACTTTGCTCTGTGACACAAAGAAGACCCTTTCTTATCTAAGCCACTCTTATCTAAGCCACCGCTTGTCACGTTTTATGTTGTTTGCAGCCAAATGCATTCCTCATTGATGGAATGTCCAACATTGTCCCCAAGTCCCCCAGATAGATCCCTGGGGGCTCTTGACAGACAGACAGCAGGCAAGCCTGGGACACACGCTGCCCCCTTCTGCTTTCCTGTCCCTCCATCGTGTTAAGCTGGTCTCTCAGGTGGGCATCAGGATTCAGCTATCCCAGGCTGACCCTGAGGTCCACCATGACTGTGCTGCAGCCACCACCACTGGCCGCTTCATGGCATGTTTCCAGCACAACTCTCTGACCTGGCTCCCCCGGTTCCCCAGACGCGTTCCCCACGGAGTCCCAGCGTGTATGCATGGGGTCACGGTGCTCCACGCTCTCAACCGTTGGTTGCAGGTTCCCGTCCAGCCTCTCAAGCTGGCTGCTCCCCTTTCTCAGTTGTCCCCTGTGCCTCTTGTACCCTAACTTCAGTGTTAGAGCACCTTTCAGGGGGAATGGCGTAAAAAAGCCTTCCTTTCCAGTAGACAGAGTGCCCTGGCCAGCAGAGGCCAAACACATTCCCATTCAGCTTTGTTTCATGCTGGATCTGGCCCCAGGCCTGCACCTGGCCCTGGCAGTGGGCGCACGTTAGGTGGGATTGCTGAAGACAATGGGTGACTGAGGCAGTTACAGGTGTCAGCCCCAGATGAGGCTCCCCAACCTGTACCCTTTACCCTGGAGCTGGCCCCATCTCTCACAGCCCAGTGGTGTACTACCTTAGGTAAGCACCAGTTGCGCCTCACTCTAATGAAAATAATAAAAGCTCAAATGACCAGCACTGTCCTACTGCTTTATACGCATGACCTCAGGTAATGAGAATTAGCCCACATCCATTCATTCCACAAATATTTATGGAGTGCCTACTGTATGCCAGGGATTCTTCCAGGCACTGGGGAGACATTTAAAAAACAATAACAACAACAACAAAAATCTGCGTCTTGTCGGAACTTCCATATACACTTCCACTGGCTACTTCATGGAAACATCTGGAACATCTGATTTTTCTAGTCTTCCCATTACTAAATGTGGCACAAGAACGTAGTCTAAAGGATGTACTTCACCATGCAAAAGCTCTTGTCATTTCAGAAAAGGAAGGAGAATTAAGTAAAATGTACTTCAAGAAAGTCAGTTAAGAATTTTTCCAGTTAATGAAAATTTAAAATGATTGGCTTTCATCTTGCTGTTTTCCAGGGTCCCACTATTAAGAACTCACTCATCCTGTTGTTATTAAGGGTGAAACCCAGACATTTCCTTATGTAAAAGCCAATTAAAATAAATTAAATGCAAATACTGTTTCATTGTCATGTCAGTTTTGAGAACCGGATCAATCAGAGGTTGTGGAAATGCCAAAGTTGTTAAGGCTGTGGTTACCATGACAACAGCTCTATTGTGTAAGTGGTCTGTTATTTGGGAATTCTTCCTTAGGTCAGGCTAACAGTGATGTCATTTCTCAGGGAAGGGGACGGAGTTCTCTGGAGTCAGGTCTGGGGCCAGGAGACCTGGTGAGCAAAAACTGGGGTTCAGCCAGAACTACCAGTTTTGTGACCATGGGAGACAGTCCCTTCCCCTTTTGCCTCAGTTTCCTCGCTTTGGGGATAGCCATTGCACAGCTGTGAGTATATTGTGGCCATTCAGCACTTCTCAAAAGTTGCTGCTCTGCTAAAAAATTTTGGGGATTCCTGATTTGCCGGCTGGTTTTCAGCCTATGTTTTGGGGAAATGCAAATGATAGGAAACCACCCCTGGTCCTGCCTTACCGGTTCTAGCAGACCTTTGGTGAAACTGGGAGTTCTTGGGTCCTCTTGGCTAGTGGCTAGTGAATACCTGCTGGGGGAGGGGGTGTTTGCTTTGCTTTGTGTTGGGGGTGGGGTTGTTATTGGTTTTTACATTTTGTTTGCAATATTGGGTTTGCTGGTTTTTGTGTTTTTTTTTTTTTTTTTTTTTTTTGAGACAGAGTCTCGCTCTGTCACCCAGGCTGGAGTGCAGTGGCATGATCTTGGCTCACTGCAATCTCCACCTCCCAGGTTCAAGTGATTCTCCTGCCTCAGCCTCCCGAGTAGCTGGGATTGCAGGCCTGCACCACCACGCCCAGCAATTTTTTTTTTTTTTTTGTATTTTTAGTAGAGACAGGGTTTCTCCATGTTGGCCAGGCTGGTGTTGAACTCCTGACCTCAAGTGATCCACCCACCTTGGCCTCCCAAACTGTTGGGATTACAGGCGTGAGCCACTGTGCCCAGCCGGGTTGCTGTTTTAGTTGGTTTTTGATTTTAGAGAGAGGGTCTCGCTCTGTGGCCCAGGCTGGAGCACACTGGTGCCGTCGGAGCACACTGGTGCCGTCATAGCTCACTGCAGCCTTGGCCCCCTGGGCTCAGGCGATCCTCCCGACATCGTAATTACATTTTTGCAGGGTTTTCAGTTCACAGGTGTGCTCTCCCACATCCCCATTTAAGTTTACTTATTTTTCAGCCCCAGCCTCTGAGGCTATCATTATTTTACAGACGAGAACACCGGGACTCAGAGGGTGATTTGTCCCTAGTCTCAGGGCTCCAAGGCGGCAGTGCCAGCGTTGGTGGGGGTCCCCAGTGCCAGGCCAGGGTGGCACTGTTCTCCCTGTGCCTCTCTGCTTGTCCCCACTGCCTGCTTCTGCAGAGGCCTGCTCAGAGCAGGTTTCCAGCAACCTTCCTCGCCAGCATCCTGCTAAGCAGGCCCTGGAGGGCGGTTTCCCTGCTTCCCCACACCGGGCCAGAGCTGCCTTGATATTTATTTCAGGGCATCCCTGCAGAGGGAACTGCTAATGCAGTCATGGCTTTAAGACGTCACAAGCCACAGCTGCAGGTGCTTCATCTTAAACATCTGCCTTCCTGGCTGGGAGAAGCCCGGGAGCACCTGCTGCAGGTGTCTTTGCACCTCGGTCCTGCTGGTCCCAGGCCCAGCTGCGGCCAATTAGCACCTCTGTTGGGCACCATGGCCATTTCCTTGCTGCATGGGAGCCGCTGGCCTTTTTCCACTGTGTTGGGGGAAAGTTGTTGGGAAATGAGGAAGCAGTTGGGGATTTAAAAACTCTATGCAGGAAATAGGCTGTTGGGTTAACATTTAAGCCACTGAACAGTCATGGAGTGTTTGCTTGGAAGTGAGGCCCACGAGGCTGCAGAGGGCCATGAGATTCAAGGATGGTGTTCGTCAGGCCTGTCCGTCATCCTCTCTGGGTTCGACACCATCTCAGGGTACTCATGCCTGTTAGGTGCTTGGTGAACAAAGGCATCCCAGACAGAATCAACCCAGAAGGAAGAGGGGTGGGTGGTAAACGTTCGTTAACTTAGCCATGTTCTCTTAGGGTTTCTTCTCAAAATAAGGGCAGATGGGAGATCTCCCTGCCTCAAGGGGTCCCTGGCCAAGGGGCTACAGGCAGATATTGCCCAGTCAGCCCCAGTGAGGTGACAGAAGGCGGGAGGTGGCTTCAGTGTGTTTGAAGGAGGCTGGCATCACAGGTTCTAAAGCAGATGGCAGGAGCCCTGTGGCTGGGCCTGCTTCAGAACCTTGGCTGGCTGCTCCTTGGAGGTGAGGTGGGGGCAGGCAGTGTTGGCTGGAGACTTGTGGGGGGAATTGGCCGCCTGGGGTGCGTGCTGGCCTGCCTGCCTTCCGCTTCCGTGCCATGAGCCCCTTGTTCTCAGCTGTGAAGGTAGGTGAGGCTGCCCTGCACCAGCCAGCAGACTGGGTTAAGGTGGGAATCAAAGGAGAGGAGGTGTTCAGCTGGCTGGAGACCTGCTGAGCCCCTTGCATGAGGAGGGATTTCTGTCCAGCGCCCCTGGTCCTCAAGCTCCTCCTCAGCAGCGTTCATGAGCACAGGGTGTGGGTGTGACTGGTCCCTTTGGGCAGAATCTGAGAGTGCCCCCTTCTCCCTCCCTGTGCATTTGAAAGTTGGCTGGTGCTCGCTGACAGATGCCGAGGCTCCCGTTTGGCAGCTGGCCATGGCAGCCGCTTGTCCTCCACTCTCCCTAGATTTGGCTGAGCTGGGCCCCTGCTGTGCCCCACATGCCCCGGCTCTTTGTCTCGGTTGTCCCTTTGGCTCAGCTCTGGGTGTCGGCTCCTCGGAAGCCCTTCGTCACCCAACCAGAGTGAACTCCTTCTCCCAGGTGGCCAGAGCATGTTGAAGTGACCCTGACTTTCTTCTGTGGGTCCTACATTTTAGCGGGGAGTACAAGTGCCTCTTCACTGCAGCATCTCCTAAGGAAGTGAGCCTGTGGGGAGGTCTCTGATGCTACTGGGAATCCAGCTTCACCTTCCCCCAACTCCTGGGATTTGCAGCCACAGCTAAGAGTGGGAGAACTTTGCCTTGTTTGCATTGCTCCAGATCGTGTTAAACAGAATTTCAAAACATGCATTTTGTAGGTAGTAGTTCTGTCATCCAGAATGTGTAAAGTAACTCTCTAGGTAGCTGTTATGGATGGCCTGCAGGAAGGATCATACCAGTGACTTCTTTTGAGCCCCCTGCCGAGTGGCTAGCGTCAGGTGGGGGATTAGACTCTGGTTCTTTGCTTCCTGGCCCTGTGAGCCCCAGGCAAGTCAGTTAACTTCTTGGAGCCTCAGTTTCCTGACATGCAAATCATACTGACCTGGTAAGGCTATTGTCAGGATTATATGAGCTATTATATCCTAAAGTATATTATATCATACTTTATAGAGCGTAGTATATATTCAACTAACTGCATTTGTGTTAGTTCCTTTATTTTGTTAACATGGGGATCAATGGCTTTTTTTTTCTGATTTGGTATTTATTTTAAGACTAGGTTGGGAACCAATTTTCCATAGTCATCTGTGGGTATAAGTACTCTTACCTTCAGCCAGGACTTAATTTTGGCCAAGAGCCTTGGCTTATTCCAGCAGAGAGTGGAGTTATTTAGAGCCAAACTGTAGGGGACTGAATTCTCTGTGTAGCACTTTCTGCAGACAGTGGTAACATTAATGACTTACTGCATATACATTCATAAGTGGGTGATTTATGGTTAGCCCCGGATCCATAACTTTCATTTCCTGACTGATATATCAGAAGCTTCATGTATAAAGGCGCATTAGATTTAGTAAGTGTAAAAGACTTAAGTTGAGGTCATTTCTGTCCACAAGCTGTTCATGGTGTAGCTGTTCATGTAGCTCAGCTGTGGGAATGGCCTGGCCCTATGTGATGCGGAAAGACAGCCAAGGGGGACAGTGGCACATGCCTGTGGCACTTGGTTCTGTGTGTGGTCTCCTTTGTATCCCCAGGAACTCTCTGCAATAGGAAGGTGATGGCCAGGATCTCATTTTACAGAGGAGGACACTGAGGCCCAGAGAGGTTAAGTGACTTGTCTGAGGGTTAACAGCTCCTGGGTGGCAGGATTTACATTGGCGCTCAGATGCATCTGAACCCCAACCTGGAGTGGTGCCAGCACAGAGCAGGTGTTCAGTAATGTTTGCTGACCTATGTGATGGTTAATATCATGCGTCAGCCTGACTGAGCCAAGGGATGCCCAGGTAGCTGGTAAAGCATAATTTCAAGTTGTGTCTGGGAGGGAGTTTCTGGAAGAGACTGGCACACTGAGTAAGGATCTGCCCTCACCAGTGTGGGTGGATATCATCCAATCATTGAGAACCCAGCTAGAACAAAAATGTAGAGAAAGAGTGAATGTGCTCTCTCTGCTTGAGCTGGGACACCCACCTTCTGCTGCTCTTGGACATGGAGCTCCCGGTTCTCAGGCCTCTGGGCTTGAGCTGGAGTGACTCCACCGGCTCTCCTGAGTCTCCAGCTTGCAGACAGTAGGTCTTGCGACTCTTCAGCCTCCATAATAACATGAACCAATTCCTCATAATACATTTCTGTCTGTTTATTTCTATATATTTATTGGCTCTGTTTCTCTGAAGAACCCTGACTAATACTTCCCCATCTGAACTTTCTCTGCCCCTTTTGTTCGACATGTGGGGGGTTGCTGGGGAAGCTAATTAGAATACAGGTTCCTGCTGACACCCCACCCCCACTCCCTTCCTTCATCAAGATCACTAGTGGTGAGCCTTTAAATGCCTGTAAGCTGTCCGAGGGGTTCTTCCTAAATTAAATTAAATTTTTAATTTTAATTACTTAATTTTTTTGAGATGGGATCTTGCCGTGTTGCCCAGGCTAGTCTCCAACTCCTGGGTTCAAGTGTCCTCCTGCCTCGGCCTCCCAAAGTGCTAGGATTACAGATGTGAGCCGCCACTGTTGGTCTCTAGGGGTTCTTATGCACCTAGAATTTAGAGACTCATTGCTCCAAGCTTCATTGAATCTTTCCTGAACAGTCTTGTGATAGGCGGGATAACTCCCACCCCTCAGATGCTCACATCCGAATCCCTGGGACCTGCGGATATGTTGCCTTATACGGTAAAGGGCTTTGCTATGTGATGAAGATTGAGGACCTTGAGGTGGGGACAGTATCCTGGATTACCAGGGTGTAGTCACTGTATTCATGTAAGTCCATAAAAGTAAGGAACCTGTCCCAGCTGCAGTGAGCCCGAGGGAGGTGTGACTCTGGAAGAAGACGCAGAGATGAAACACTGCTGGCTCTGCTGACAGGAATGGCTTTGAGCCAGAGTGTGGTGGCCTACAGAGGCTGGAAAAGGCAAGGGAACAGATCCACCCTTAGGTCCCCCAGAGGAACCAGCCCTACTGACACAGTCTCCGTGGGACCTGTGTCCACAGACAGAACTGTATGAAAACACGATTGTGGTGTGTAAGCCACTAGGTTGATTTGTTACAGCAGTGACACCGGGCTTTGTCTCTGCTTTTGACTTTTCCTCCAGTGTGATCCCTTCCCCTGCTTCTGACCCGTGGAT
This sequence comes from Homo sapiens, assembly GCF_000001405.40. Classification (NCBI taxonomy): domain Eukaryota; kingdom Metazoa; phylum Chordata; class Mammalia; order Primates; family Hominidae; genus Homo; species Homo sapiens. The sequence continues at coordinate 10,329,734 of NC_000002.12, forward strand.
CCCAGCCCTGCCCAGGCCCAGATCCTGGGCTCCAGGTGGGCCTGGGTTGGGGCTCCCAGCTGCAGGAATGCAAAGTTCATGGTTCTACAAAGTGCTTTGAGGTGACGTTGGTCACATCAGCTCGGCCTCAGATTTGCTGCTTTTTTTCTAAAGAAGAGACAGCTCCAGGCCCTGCCTGACTGACCTAGTTGGGGATGCAGGCCGAGGCCATATCGAGCAGGGTAAGTTTCCAAGAATCTGGCTTTAGGATTAGTCGGGCCACACGGAAGGAGTTCCTGGTCTCGTGACACCTGCACAAATGGTCTTCAACCCTCAAAACACTTCCTGTTATTTAAATCTTGGTCCTTTGATTTTTTTTTTTTTTCCTTTTAGAGACTATGCACAATTTATGTGGCAAGCTAGAGATGCTTTCTTTTTCAGAGCGGCCTTTATGCTGTGTTCGGGGCTGTCTGTCGGCGCCACAGGGAATGGGGGCTGGTGAGTCGTGCTCAGAAGGTCCCAGTCTAGATGCTTCTGACATGGACAAAAGGAGAATTCCTGACTTTTTGGTGGATGTTTGCAATTCCCAGAATGCTTATTCTTATTTAGTCCTCATAGGAGAGTGGCGAAGGGCAGCAGCTTTGGAGCAAGGGCCACCCTGCCCCTCCCCACCAAGCCCTGAGTCGTCTAACCTTCCCGGTGTATTAGTCAGCTCTGGCTGCTGGAAACGGGGTCATAGTCTGGGTGCCTTAAACAACAGGAATTCTTTTTTTTTTACAGTATTGGAGGCTGATGTCTGAGACAGGGTGGCGGCAGGGTTGGTGTCACCCGAGGCCTCTCTCCTCGGCTCCGTGTAGCCCTTTCTCCCTCTGTTCTCACACGGCCATCCCTCCGAGTGTGTCTGAGTCCCAGTCTCCTTGTGAGGACACCAGCCCTAGATCAGGAGCCACGCAGTGACCTCATTTTACCTTCATGACCTCTTCAAAGTCCCTGTGTCCAAATACAGTCACATCTGGAGGTAGTAAGGATTGGGGCTTCCACATAGGGGTTTTGTGGGGGACACACTCAGTCCACGTTAACTCACTTCCTGCCCACGGCAGGGGCTCTCTGTCAGTGTGTCTCCGACTGCGGACCCCGATCATCTTTGTGAGAATGCAGGTTCCCAGGCCCACACCGTGCTGGTTGAGTCAGAGCTTCTGGGTGCAGCCTGGGGGTGCAGCAAGCCCACCCCTGCATTCGGAGAGCCTTAGCGGGAAGCCTGTTGCTTGTGCCTCCTTTGCAGCCCCGGCCTCTCCAGTTCTCTGTGTCTTGCCATCTTGGCTTCTTCCTCATCCCGCCTCTCGCTCCATCTCGTGGCCTCCCATCTGCTCTCCCGGCTGCAGGAGCGGTTTCTCTAAGCCTTGCAAGTGACCGCACCCTCTTACTGCATGCGGGCCTTGCCAAGAGCCTGCAGAGGGCGGGGCGGGCTCTGGGGACAGCCTGGACTCTCCTGCCTGCCCCCAGGTGCCCCCGGCCCAGCCACAGGGTGCTGGCTGCCTGTTACTCAGCACGTCCGCCTCTCCTGCCTCCTGAGCCCACAGGCGCCCTTCCTGTCACCCGAGCGCCCTCTCCTTCCTCACCTCGCCACCTACGCATCGTCACCCCTCCTCCTGCGTTTCCTCCTGTCTCCCCGGGGAGCTCGGAGTTCTGCAGGCACGGGGCTGGCTCCTTTCTTCATGTCCCTTGTCCCACAGGACACCGTTTCTGAACCCAGGAGACACTCAGGAAACCTTGCTGGTGGAACGGATGCAGCAGCGAGGTTTTCCGGGGCAGGAACACCCTCCCAGGAGCTTTTCCACGGCCAAGCGCTGGCTGGTGGTGGAGCTGCGCTGAAGTCAGTGTGTGCTTTGGGCCCAGCTGCACTGTGCCCGGGGTCCAGGGATGGGTGTGAGGCTGTCTGCCCCCCACTGCACGCCCGGCTGTCAGAGGCATCTGTCTCTTCCCCCGCATGCATCTTTCTCCCCGTCTGGCATGGTGTTTCTAGTCTTTTGTGGATGGGGACATAAACAAGCCGCCATCAACTGCTTGGTGACATTGGCCAATCCTGTGGTGGCCCCAGCTGGGCTTGCTGCCTGTGTGTGGTGAGGGTGCCCTTCTTGTCACCCGTTGTCATTTACGAGACAGCCCTGTGTCACCTGTTGATTCAGAGGGAGCTCTCCTCATCACCTGTTGTCATTTATGAGCCCCGTGTCACCTGTTGTTGCTTCACAGGGAGCACTCCTTGTCACCTATTGTCATTTATGAGCCCCGTGTCACCTGTTGTTGCTTCACAGGGAGCACTCCTTGTCACCCATTGTCATTTATGAGCCCTGTGTCACTTGTTGCTTCAGAGGGAGCGCTCCTTGTCACCCGTTGTCAGGTGTACTCACTTTGCTTCTCCCTTCCTGCTTTTGGGGACGATCACAGGACAGTGGCTTCAGAGGGGAAGTACCTCGACCTGGCTGAGGTCATGCCCAGAGCCTGACTGCTCTCTCCACCCACCCATGATCCCGTCAGCTTCTTCCCCCTCCTTCTCCATCTGATCTGAGCATTTACCATTTCCTTCCATTTAAGCTTCATTTGAGTTGCATCATGATGTTCTCCTTTTTTCAAAGTTCCATCTGCCCACAGGTTTCCATTTTCTCTAGAACCCTCCTCCTTCCTCTCTAGCCCCTGGCCCGCCCCTCTGCGGTTCTCAGGAAGCCCCTCGGTGCCCCCTGCCCCTTATCTAGAACAGCTTCTGCCTAGGGTGGGCAAGGCAGGGTGGGAGGTGGGGGGTAGCCGTGCAGGGAAGGGGTGAAGCGGGCCCCTGTACTCCCTAGCTGGGCTGCAGGCTTGGAGGAAAATAAGAGTCAGACGCTTGTTAAAACAGTGAGGACAGCTTTATTCGAGGAAAATGCAGTCGGGGTTGACCTTATCAGCAGGGGAGAGATCAGCCCAACTCCTAATACAGCAAGGAAGGGACAGAGCTGGGAAGTGGAGTGGGCTGGGTGAGTGGAAAGTAGCTGCGAGAAGACATCACAGGTAGGGGGATTCTTGCCAAAGGCAGGGGGGGACTTTGATGTCAAAGGTGGGGATGAGGACTGATTGGATCTCAAGGGTGGTCAGATGTGAAGGGCGTGAGAGGCTCACTAAACTGACTAAGCAGGATTCTTGCTGAGACTGGGCCAGGCAGGCTGAAGACAGGAGGCAGAAAGAGGGCTCAGAGGAGCCTGAGTGAAGTTTGATCTTGGGGTGAGGGGTGCAGGGGGGAGGGGCAGGGTGGGTCTTTGTTGGGGCTCTGTGGGAGATTTCAGGGCTCACTGGATGTGTGGGGCACAGTGGGCCCTGCCTGAGCCCCATGACGCCTGGACGCTGCCACCAGGGGCCTGACCTGCTGACGATCTCTGCACTGGGTCTTTAATCAGCCTCTTGGGCATTGTAAATGCTAGACAAAGATTCTTCTCTTTTTAAAGTTTACTAATTTCCCTACGATAAAACTAATGCATTTTCACAGGAGAGACTCGGGAAATTACCAAGGAGCGTGAATCAGGTGGTCACAGTGAATTGTGGATGTTTGTGTCTGTCTTGGGGAACTGGTGTAACGTTTCTCCATCTGACCCCTGCTGTCTGTTGGAGGTCAAGGAGCCAGCCTGGCCTCACAACTTCCTCCTTTCAGCAAAGTCAGGAGGCCATTCCCTCCAGGGATGGGTGGGCTGCAGCCTCTTGGCACCTCTCGGGATCCTGCTGGCAGATGTATCACCGTAGCCCAAGCCAGCCTAAGCCAGCCTCCTGTGGCCCAGCACCTTCTCTTCCCACGTGGGCAGCTGTGTTCCCAGGCAAACCTTCCTGGAATTGCTCTGTGCTCTCAGAGCTGGTGTGCTTTGGTGTTCAGCTGTGGCCATTTTGGCTTTGAGTTTGATTTGATTTTTGAAGAAAGTTTTTATTTCTTTACCCAAATATTCTATGTCTCTTTGGTAAGACTGGAAAACACAGAAAAACAGAGAAAAAAATTCCCCCATAACTACCCTGCCCACCTCCATATAACTTTTATTAGCATTCTGAGCTATACCCCTCCAGACTCATTTCTGCCTCTCCAGAAGTGTGCATAAAGTCTAGAAACATAGGTGAAGAGACCTAATGCCATCAAGAACATCAACCTGTAAAGGAATAAAATAATGTCATCTGTGTCCAGATTTTACAGATGCTTTGTAGATATGTGTAACAGAAATGTGGGTATGTTTTAGCAAAAATAAGACCATATTTTTGTTTTATTTTGATTGATTGTACTATAAATTCCAGTAGAGCATTACAGAGCCAGCCCAAGCCCATCTCTCCTCTTCTCTACTCTTTTCTTTCCCCAGTGACCAATAGCCACTCTGCGGAGGGAAGTAGGGATCATATTTGTGCGCGTTTTACGCTCTTGCTACACATGTGCGTAACCTTAAACAAAACATTAGTTTTTATGTGTTAGAAATACTCATAAATGGTGGCCCAGGCATGGTGGCTCACGCCTGTAATCCCAGCTCTTCGGGAGGCTGAGGCAGGAGGAGGCTTGAGGCCTGGAATTCAAGACCAGCCTGGGCAACATAGCAAGACCCTGTTTTGTTTTGTTTTGTTTTTTAAACAAACAAAAAAACCAACAACAGTTAGGTGGGTGCAGCATCATGTACCTGTAGTCCCAGCTCTTCAGGAGGCTGAGGTGGGAGGCTCTCCTGAGCCCAGGAGTTTGGGGTGATAGTGAGCTGTGGTCACACCACTGTACTCCAGCCTGGATGATGGAGTGGAGTGAGACCTTGTCTTTAAAAAAAAAGAAAAGAAAACAGAAAGAAATACTCATAAATGGTATATATATATATCACTTTGTAATTTGTTCTTGACTACTTTGTCAACAATTTTTAAGCTGTATCCATGTTGATACATAGATGTGGTTCATGGTCTTCTTTTTTCTCCTTTTTGTTAACTGCTGTATACAATTCCATTGACTTTTTTTTGAGGCAGGGTCTCGCTCTGTTACCCAGGCTGGAGTGCAGTGGCACGATCTCGGCTCATTGCAACTTCCACCTCCCAGGCTCAAGCAATCTTCCCACCTCAGCCTCCCAAGTAGCTAGGACTACAGGTACATGCCTGGCTAATTTTTGTATTTTTTATAGAGTCAGGGTTTTGCCAAGTTGCCCAGCCTGGTCTTGAACTCCTGAGCGCAAGTGAGCCACCTGCCTTGGCCTCCCAAATTGCTGGGATTACAGGCGTGAGCCACTGTGCCAGCCCCCATTGTCTAAATAAGCCATCGTTTCTCTAGTCATATACAGTTAGGTCACTTCCATTTTTTCATTAGTATAAAGAGTGCCATATGAATATTGATCCTCCTTGAGTGCTGTGGAAGGAAGCCTCTAAGATGCCGCCACTGGTCCCCACATCCTGGTCTTCACACCCTTGTGTAATCCCTTCCCTCGGGTGTTGGCTGGACTTAACTGACTTGATTCTAACAAATAGAACACAGCAGGAGGAATGGGACATCACTTCTGACATCAGGTTATAAAAAGACTGCAGCTGCCAGCTTGGGTGTTCTCTGTTGCCCTCTTGGATTGCCAGCCCTGGAGGGAGCCAGATGCCATGTCTCAAGGCAGTCCTGTGGAGAGGCAGGCCTAGGTGACAAGGGACCAAGGCCTGCCAACAGCCATGTGAGTGAGCTTGGAAGCAGATCTCCATCCGCTCCCCACTCCCAGCTGAGCCTTCGGATGAGACTGCTGCCCTGAAAACAGCAAAGGGGAACCTCATGAGAGACCTTGAGCCAGATTCCCAGCCCAGAGAAATTGTGAGATAATGTTTGTTGTTTTCGGCTGCTGACTTTTGGAGGGTCATTTGTTACACGGTAACAGATAACCAATACGAGCACACCCTGAGAATTCCTTAGAGGTCTAGAATATTTAGCAGTGGAATTGCCAGGTGCTATGGTATTCTCACGCTCAACAGTACTGTTTATTACTAAATTCATCTCCAAGGCATTTGTGGCAGTTTCACTCCCCTCTACAAGGGTCAGTGAGCTCCTTTTCCTCATACCTCTCCGGCACTTGTGTTGTCAGACTTTAACATCTGAACACTCTGATGGGTGTAAAATAGTATCTCATGATTATTTGAATTTGTACTTCCCTAAGTTCTAGTGAAGTTGGACATATTTTCGATACATTATTGTCCTTTCTGCTTTCCTCTGCTGTAAATTAATTGCATGTTCGTATCCTCTGCTGTAAATTAATTGCATGTTCATATCCTCTGCTGTAAATTAATTGCATGTTCGTATCCTCTGGTGTAAATTAATTGCATGTTCATATCCTCTGCTGTAAATTAATTGCATGTGCGTATCCTCTGCTGTAAATTAATTGCATGTGCGTATCTTCTGCTGTAAATTAATTGCATGTTCGTATCCTCTGCTGTAAATTAATTGCATGTTCGTATCCTCTGCTGTAAATTAATTGCATGTGCGTATCCTCTGCTGTAAATTAATTGCATGTGCGTATCCTCTGCTGTAAATTAATTGCATGTTCATATCCTTTGTCCAGTCTCCTTTTGGGTGGATTATCTTTTTCTTAGTGATTTGTAGATTTTCTTTTTTTCACTCTAGAGACTAATCCTTTGTCAGTTCATGCTATTTTATACTCTGCTTTTTTCAGTTAGCAGCGTATTGAGAATGTTCTTCTATGCCAATGTATACATCATTTTATTGACATTCCATTGTGGAGATGGGTCATTTATTTATTTAGGTGGACGTGTAGGTTGTTTGCACTTTTGCATTAGTAGGAACATGACTGTGTGTCGGTCAGCTGGGCTATGCTCTGGTACTAATGACCCTCCAAATCTTAGTGGTTTGCAGCAATGAAGAATTCTTTGTCCCTCAAGTGACATGACCATCACCTGTTGGTTGTGGCTCTGCTCTATGACGTTGTCCCTCAGGGAGCCAGGCTTTCAGAGCAGCCCCATCTGAGACATTGCTGGTCTCATGGCAGAGGGAAAAAAGATGGTGGAACAACATAATTCTATTTCTGTTTTTCCTCTTTAGAGACAGGATATTGCTGTGGCACCCAGGCTGCAGTGCTCTGGTGCTATCATAGCTCACTGCAGCCCCGGAATCATGGGCACAAGTGGTCCTCCTGCCTCAGCTTCCCAAGTAGCTGAGACTATAGGTATGCACCACCACACCTGGGTAATTTTTACTTTTTATATTTTTCGTAGAGATGGGGGCCTTGTTATGTTGCCCAGGCTGGTCTTGAACTCCTGGCCTCAAGTGTTCTTCCCACCGCAGCCTCCCAAAGTGCTGGGATTACAGGTGTGAGCCACTGGACCCGGCAGGAACAATATACCTCTTAAAGCTTCTGCTCAGACGTGGGAATGGCTATGTGGTGCGTGTCAGTTCCCCTCACATTGCATTGGCTGAAGCAAACCCTGGGGCCCAACCAGTGTTGGCGGGGTTAGAAGTAGACCCCTCCCATAGGGAGGCCAGGGAGGGAGGATTTTGAGCCAAGACCACTCACCACGTGCTGTGATGAGCAGTTGCCTCCCCCTCCTTTCGTGTCTTCGTGCCTCCTCACGTATTCTTACAAGTAGAATTGCTACATTAGGAATATGCATATTTGTAAAGTATTTACTATTTATTATGTCAGCTAGGTTTTAACTGTCACTGCATTTGCTGTGAATTATAGGTAATTATTCATCCTGATGACCATTTAAAAAAGAAGAACAATATTATTAGGTAGAAATAGTCCCTGGCTCCCCGGTTGCCCACCGTGACTATAACAGCATATCTAGCTTGGTAGTTTTCAAATTATTTCCACGTTTTATTTACTTCTCACAGCCTCCCTGTGGGGTTGCAGGTGCTTCTCCACTCCTCCACTGACAAGGTGCCTGAGGCTCAGAGAGGCTGAGAAATGTGCTCTGGGCTGCACAGCTGGGGATGAGGCGTAGACCCTGGCCCTGCTCTGTTCTGGGCTCTTTCTCCTCCACTCTGGCCTTTGGAGGCTGTGGCTAAGATCTTCCCCCAGCCCCTTCCTTCCCACCTTCCCTTCCTGCTCTTGTGCCCCGTTTTTCACAGTCCTCAGTGGCTGGTTTCTCAGTCCCCCAGGAGGTGCAGGCTGGTTCTTAGGAATGGTCTCTGTCAATGTTCCCGGCAGTACCTCCGAGCCTGCCCTCTGAGGATGGGTCGGCCATGGCTGCGCCGGCTTAGTCTGTATTTAGGTATCACTGACTATCACTGGACTTGGGGAGGGGATTTACTATTTTTAGAGAAAGTCAGGGGAGCTCCATAAATCCTGTTAGTCAACAGAACTGCAGAGAGGTGGCTGTTTATGAAGGAGAGTGACTTTTTTAGAAGTGGCGCATTTAGAAGACCACATATTCTATCATTCTGTGTACATGAGCGGTGCAGAATAGGCAATTCTAAAGAGACAGAAAATAGATTCGTGATTGCAGGGAGTGGGGAGGAGGGATGGGAAGCGACTCCTAAGGGGCACGGGGTTTCTTCTGGGGGTAATGAAAAGCGTTCTGGAATTAGATAGTGGTGGTGGCTGTAGGACCTGGTGAATAATAAACTGAAAATCACTGAATCGTACCCCTTAAAAACACACAAAGCAAATTGACAAATTATTGGGAGGCAACATAAGAGAATGGGGTGTGAACTTTGGATCAGTGCGGCCTGGATATCAGCTGTGTGGTGTTCAAATAGATTGCATAACCTCGTTGAGTCTCAGTCTTCCCATCTGTGAAGTAGGGATCATTCCTACTTCGTAGGGTTGGCATGAGACTCCGTGAGATGAAGTTGGTGGGTCACTTGGCTGGGGCAGGTGTCACGGAGCGGGACCTGTGATTGTTCAGCCACCTACTCTGTGCCCAGTGCTGTGTTGGTGACCAGGTATGTATGAAGTCAGTAAGCCACAGTCCTGAGTTATGGTGCAGACCCCACATGCACCCAGAGTCAGCTTGGCAAGACCCCTTGACACCACGTGCGTGGAGGGTGCAGGTCGGAGAGCTCACCTCCATGGATTCCGTAGAGCTTTGAGGCGTATCCACAAAGTGTCCAGGAGAGGTGGCGTCGCCTCCACTTGATAGAGGAAAAAGCAGAGATGGAGGCAGCCAGAAGCATGGTGCAGTGGTGGGGTTTGGTCATTAATTTGATAATCACATGGAATACAAGCTAATGTTTATTGAGTACTTACTGCCTGCCTGCTACTGTAACTAAGTGCTTTACTCCTGTTATCTCATTTAATTCTCAAAGCAGCCCTGTGGCACTGAGGTGGCTGGAGATGGAGGGATGTGTGGCTGCCATGTGTTTGCCAGGAAGCAGCAGGATGGGAGTGAGGGCACAGACAGACACACATGCCAGGACTTGTTTGCACGAAGCTGAGGAATGGGTGCCCATCATTCATTATACTCATCTCTCTGTTTTATGTATATTTGAAAAAAAAATTTTTTTTGAGATAGGGTCTCGCTGTGTCACCCAGACTGGAGGGCAGTGGCATGATCTCGGCTCACTGCAACCTCCACCTCCCGGGTTCAAGTGATTCTCCTGCCTCAGCCTCTGGAGTAGCTGGGATTACAGGTGGGCGCCACCATGCCCACCTAATTTTTTTTTTTTTTTGAGACCTGTCACCCAGGCTGGAGTGCAGTGGTGCGATCTCGGCTCACTGCAACCTCCGCCTCCCGGGTTTAAGCAATTCTCTGCCTCAGCCTCCCCAGTAGCTGGGATTACAGGCACATGCCACCATGCCCGGCTAATTTTTGTATTTTTAGTAGAGACGGGATTTCATGCCTGATTAATTTTTTTGTATTTTTAGTAGAGACAGAGTTTCACTATGTTGGCCAGGCTGGTCTTCAACTCCTGACCTCAAGTCATCTGCCTGCCTTGGCCTCCCAAAGTGTTGGGATTACAGGCGTGAGCCACCGCGCCCAGCCATATTTGAACTCTTTTACAGTAAAAAGTTTAAAAAACAACAATCCTATGAGGTAGGTCCTCTTATTTGTGCTTTACAGATGGGGAAATTGAGGCTCAGAGCATGTAAGATTACACAGCAAGATTCGGAGATAGCTCGCCATGTTCATGCCCGGCAGGACGTAGCAACAGGGCTGGCGAAACGGAGGCCCCAGGCTTGTGGGCCTCCTGGGGTTCCTGTGCGTTGAGGCCTGAGCCCCTGCGTGCGCCCAGCGGAGCCAGCACTCTCCCTGTGGTCCTACTGGGCATCACAGGTGTGTATGTGAGGGGTATGGGGAGGGGATTCTTGGTTAGTCTGGGCTTCATGACATTGGGATGAGTTCTTTCACTTGGTTTTGTTGATCTGGTAAAATCTGTGGTCCTGTGATATCACCTTGCTTCTCATAGTATGAGCCTTCAACATTTGGCCTCAGTGGTGGGGTGTGCCTGCACCGCCTTCCCCCATCCCTGCCTCGGCTCCTCCCCACAACAAAGCGGAAGGAAGACATAGACCCAAGGGTGCACTTCAGCCCCTCAACCAGCTGTGTGGCTTTGGAGAAGCGGCTTAACATCTCTGATCCCAGTTACCTTTCTTGAACGGGAAAGATATCAATGCTTCCTTCACTGATTACTGGAGCTTCTTGGTGTGCAGTGTCTAGGCTGCTTTCTAACCATGTAAGGTGTAGCCACAGTATTGTAGGACCTGTTGCTAAGAACTGTGCCACTATCTTGATAAACATGTTTTCCAGGGACTGGTGGTGGAATGTTCTAGTTATTAATGTGCCTTTAACGTTGGATGACTCAGAATATCCCTCAGATAGTAGGAATAGGTAGCTTTGAGAGGTCATCTGTAGGAGGGCGCAGGAACATCCCAGGAGGGGGTGTCATACCTGTTGGCACCATGGGGATGCAGGCTCAGAGGGGACTGAACTTTCCAGGGCCACGCAGTCTGTAAGCGGCAGAGCTGGGACGCAACCCCAAGCTTGCTGCTCTCAAAGCTTTGCTTTCAAACTCTCACTTCAGACATCAGGGCTTCCTTTCAGACTGAGTCTTATCCCTAAGCACTGTTGGAGAAGAAAGTCTCCAGGCTGCAGGGCCCCGCAGTTCCCCCATATCCCTGCCCTTCCAGCCAGCCCACGCCTGGGGCCTGTCCTCCCCTGTTCCTGAATCCCTGTCCTGTTACTGCCCTCCGGGTAAGACAGCACTCTTATAATCATGCTTCATGCCGAGTTCATGAAATTAACTCTCAAACTCCTCTTCTCTGGGTTAAATTATTTCACTTTTTTCCCTTCCTCATAGAATATCATTATAAATTCTAGATACTATATTGGATATGTAATAAAATCAGAATAAATTACATGTGATGGCCACTGAACTAACCTCCCTTCATGTGTCTGGAGGCAGGTTTTCTGTGGAGTTATGCTTTAAATTGGCTGTCCTTCGCGATTTTTCTTAAAGCCTAGGTTGACTACTCAAGGGTCTAGATTTATGATAGAAACTGTGGGCTGGGGTGCAGTGCTGGGGTGCTGGGGTGCCTGTAATCCTAGCACTTTGGGAGGCTGAGGTGGGCGGATCATTTGAGCCCAGGAGTACAAAACCATCCTGGGCAACACGGTGAAACCCCATCTCTACAAAAAAATACAAAAATTAGCCAGACACGGTGGTGCATGCCTGTACTCGGGAGACTGAAGCGGGAGGATCACCTGAGCCCAGGAAGTCGAGGCTGCAGTGAGTCATGATTGCGCCACTGCACTCCAGCCTGGGCAACAGAGCAAGACCTTATCTTAAAAGCAACAACAACAACAACAAATTGTGGCACAAATGTATGCATGGAGGTACTGAGGGCCTTCTTTATAGTAGGCTCAGGAATGACCAATGGGTGGGGGCTTTGGGGGAAGAGACGGGGGTCTTTAAGCAGAAACTCTCCCCTCAACACAAGAAAGCTGCTGAAGGACTTCAGAAACCTAAACACGAGCCGTGGGCCTTTCTAAAGTGGGGAGGGATTCCCTCCTGCCTAGGTTATGTTGCAAGGCTGCCCGAGAGAGGGTGGAAGGGGGCAGGAGAGTGGGCATTGGCTGGGTCCAACGCTTCCCAAGAGATGTGACTGTCTTAAAAGCAATACCTTCCTGATTACCACGGGAAAAATTCAAATGTTTTGAAAAGATCTACAAGTTTGGGGTTGAAGAAGTCCTTTATTTCAAAGTTTCTCTGGGCTGGGCGTGCTGGCTCACACGTGTAATCCCAGCACTTTAGGAGGCTAAAGTGGGAGGATCACTTGAGGATTGCTTTGAGGCCAGCCTGGGCAACATAGTGAGACTCTGTCTCTAGATAAAGTTTTTTTTTTTTTTTTAAATTAGCCAGATGTGGTGGTGGTGTGCTCCTGTAGTCCCAGCTACTTGGGAGGCTAAGTTGGAAGGATGACTTGAGCCCAGGAGGTTGAGGCTACAGTGAGCTCTGATTGTGCCGCTGTGCTCCAGCCTGGTGACAGAGTGGACCTTGTCTGTAAAAATAATAATAATAATAATAAAGCTTTGCTCCCCGTTTCATTTAGATGGAGCGTTTGTGGGATTTAAGACAGATTTTTCCTTGCTGAGTGGTTATCATTAACCTGTTGAATAAGCAACAGGCCGAGGTGGGGACCCTGCCTCGCCCGCCTCCAGGGGCACACTGCATTCTTTGTGGAAGTGTCCCTGGAATGCCACAGCCCTGCTTCTGTGCGAGGCCAGTCAGTCTGGGTCCTGGGATATAGCCACATGTGCAGTCCGTGCCTCCAGCGCGCAGCCTGAAAGGGAGGCGTGCAGAAACAACGTAGCTCCAAGGAGGACTGATCAGCCCAGCCTGGGGGAGGGTGGGAGGGGACTCCCAGGGAGCGGGGCTTGTGCTGGACTTTGCAGGATGCCAGACTTTTGGCAGGGGAGGAAATTGAGGTGAAAGCATTCCAGGCCTAGGGAACAGCATGTGCAGAGGTGCTGGCTGGAGGAACCCCGTGTGTTTGCACTGTGCTCTGAGCTCCCTCTCATGACTCTCATTCTTTCTCGTTGAGTTTTGTTTTGTCACCCAGCCGGACTCCTGGGCAAAGAGAGGCACAATCTGTTCCCGGTTGGGCCAGCTGCCCTCCAGTAGCTACGCAGGATGCTCTGGCCGGCCTCTGAGGATTCTCTTCTTCTGTCCATCTCATGGCTGAAGACCAAGGCTATGGCCTGTGGGTGGCAGTTGGTACCTCTCCCCGCTGCCTTCCCCCGGCCCCTTTTTGGACAGGATGTTGCTCCCTGGGGCCTGGCTTTGGAGATGGCCAGTGCTGGTTTGAAGCTTCTGTCTTCTGTGTGGGATATCAGTGCCCTGCCAGCTGTTGCAAGTTTTAAACTCAATGTGCCTCTGGATGTGTGTGTAGAGTAGGGGTCCTTCCCCAGCTCCAGGCCCTGTGTGTTTCCAAGTGGGCCCGCAGCTCTGATGTGCAGTGGGTATGCACTGGCAAGCCGTGCACTGTCACAATATTAAAATAACTTCCATGGTAGTTGGTAAATAGCCCCATCACCCCTCTCCTGGGACCCTGGACCTCTAGCACACCATGGAGGCCTGCCCCGTCCCCATAAAACACACCACATTCAAATTACTTATCTCCTCTTCCCCTGCCACTCTGCTGAGAAGGCTGATCTCAATCCTCGGAGTAATGACTCTCTTCTAGGAGCAAGATGATGCTAATTCTCACTAGCATGTGAAGGACTGATAGCACCATATCTCCCTCCAGGACTCCCGGGTGGGAGGTGGGTGTTTGCATAGGCAGGCAGGTGAGCCAGCCTAGTTTGTCCACAGACTTCCATGCAAGTGATTCCTGCTGTTCCCTGGGTCTTCCTTTCTTTTGCTTCTGAACTTGGAGGTTTCTTGAAGTCTGGAGGATTTTTAGGGTGGGCATGGCTTTAGGTGGGACCTCCACTATATGGGTTTGCAAGCTGCCACTGCTTTGACTGCAGACACTGGATTGACCGTGGCCAATGCCAAGTCCAAGAGATCAGGCTGAAACCAGGCTAAATTTTAAGAGCAGAAACAAAACTCATCCTTGCGAAGGGACTTTTAGATCAGTGGCAGATGGCATAGAAAGTCTTTCTGCTGTTCTCTTGTGCTGGGCGTGGCTCAGGGCTGAGGGGAGAGAGGAGAGATGAGGGCAGAAAGAGAAGAGGGGGCAGGCCTCAGGGATGAACACATGGCCCATGGCTGTGCGCTTCCCAAGCAAGCAGTTCTGGAGTGAGGCTTGGGCCTCCATGCCTCCTGGGAGGCTGCACCTCTTGGGATATAGAGAACGCTGGCTTCAGACCCGGCAGGAGTACCGGCGGCTGTGTGGTGCATCCTGCACAGAGCTGTTGCTTTCTAACTGGGTTACTGAGCTGTCGAAGGAGCAGGGATGAAGACTCCCTTATTAAAAACTAAACAAAACACAACACGAAAAAGCCAGAACAAAACAAGCAGACGGTTGAGGACTGCAGTGAACTCATTAACCCTACAGCTTTGATCTCGAAGTCTCGGCCGCTCCTGGCTCAGAGGACCCTGGGGACGTGGTCTTTGATGCTTGCTTTCCCCATAGGCATCACTTCGACCAGCGTCTGTGTGGGGTGTGCAGCAGCCCTGAGCCAAGGATTAATTACGTAACAAGCCCAGATCCCATCCCTGCCTGAGCAGGCCATGTGCCAGCAAGGGGGGCCCCGAAGTGCCGCTAGGTGCCTCACGATTAGCATAAGGCCCGTTTATCCAGGAAGCCAGAACCAGTGCACATCTGTTAAGCGCATGCACCAAGCGGCGATTCCATAGTTGTATAGTGATTGTCTTTATGGAACTCCAGAATAGCTTCTTAGATATCACTCTTCAGGCCCTGAAATGGAGCCCTGTGCAAAGAAATGAAGAAAAGCTATCGGGGCATCTGCAGCCACTATTATACCATCTGGCAGCTCAGAAATATTTTATAATCAAATGAGTAAGACGGGCGTCCCACACTCCACAGTACTCTGCTCCCCCTTCCCTTCCTCCCAGGACTTGCTCTGTCTCTGTCTCTTTCTCTGTGTCTGTCTGTCTGTCTCTATGTGTCTGTTTCTCTCTCCCTCTTTCTGTGTGTGTCTCTCTCTGTGCCTGACTTTCTGTCTCTTTCTGCTTCTCTCTCTGTGTCTGTCTCTGTCTCTCTCTTTCTGTGTGTGTCTCTCTCTGTGCCTTTCAGTCTCTTTCTGCCTCTCTCTATGTGTCCGTTTCTCTTTCTCTCTGTGTGTCTCTCTCTCTGTGCCTTTCAGTCTCTTTCTGCCTCTCTCTATGTGTCCATCTCTCTCTCTTTTTCTGTGTGTCTCTCTCTCTGTGCCTTTCAGTCTCTTTCTGCCTCTCTCTATGTGTCTGTTTCTCTCTCTCTCTCTTTCTGTCTCTCTCTGTGCCTGTCTTGCAGTCTCTTTCTGCCTCTCTCTGTGTGTCTGTCTCTGTCTCTGTATGTGTCTGTCTCTGTTTCTGTCTGTCTTGCTCTCTCTGTTTCAATCTCTCTATCTCTGTGCCTGCCTGTCTGTCTGTCTCTTTCTTTCTGTCTCTCTGTGTGTGTCTCTCTCTCCGTCTTTGGGACAGACTAGAGGAACCTTTTTCCCAGGAGTGATAATACTGTACTCTGCGTTTTTGCCACTTGCTAGCTGGGTGACCTTGGGCGGCTTTCAAGTTCCCTTATCCTGGGTTTCTTCATTTGTAAAATGGAAGCACTACTTCACAGTGCTGTTGTGTGGGTCAAGATGAGATGAATGTGACCTACTGTGGTACTATTTATTATTTGTCCTAGAAAAACTTTTTTTTTTTTTTGAGACAGGGTCTTGCTGTCACCCAGGCTGGAGTGGTGGCACAATCTTGGCCTACTGCAACCTTGACTTCCCAGGCCCAAGCGATTCTCCCACCTCAGCCTCCCAAGAAGCTGGGACTACAGGTGTGAGCCACCACACCCAGCTAATTTTTGTATTTTTTGTAGAGACAGGGTCTTGCTATGCTGCCTGGGCTGGTCTCGAACTCTTGGGCTTAAGCGATCCTCTCACTTCAGCCTCCCAAAGTGCTAGGATTATAGGCATAAGCCACTGCACCCATCCAGAAAAACTTTTAAAAATTTTGTGTTTTAACTTTTTCTGAATATAAAAGTGATACATGCATGTTCACTGTAAAATAGAAAATATAAAGAAACTAGAAAACTATTTATGACGCCCCTCCCCCACCACAAAAGGGGCAAGGACTGCGAACTTTTGCCGTATTTTGGAAGATTTCCTAAGTCACACAAGCACACAGATGGTCTGTTGATCCAAACCAGGAAGAACAATTGTGGGAATAAGTGGAAGTGTGAGTGTGTGGGTGTGTCTGAGTGTGTGCCCTGGGGGTGTGTGTGTCTGTGTATGTGTGAGAGAGCCAGGCTGTGTGTGTGTGTGTATGCATGCAAACACTTATGTGCAATGCCTTGGGGTCCTCAGACCCCCCTTGGTCCATCAGGGGCTGGTGGCCTCCCAGTAGGACACTAGCACAGCTGCACTCATGTCCTTCTTTGAGGGGGGGTGACGGGGAGAAAGTTGGGGAGCAGCAGTGACTGCTGATGTTGTGGGGGCCATGGGGAGCCTCCTGGTATTCTGTCTCGAGGCTCTGGGGATATGGTGGGAGAAGCCCTCATGCCAGAATTGGGAGGGGATGGAATGGGACTGACCCCATCACAGCCCACGTGCCTCATTCAGGGCTTGGCTGTGGAGTCTTGGGGGAGGTGCTCCCTCATCCTCAAATGTTAACTTTGTCTGCCTGGCCCCAGTCCCCTCTGTGGCTTTTTTCCTCTTTCAATTGGGAGGCAGTTCTGTCTTAAAGAGATGTTTAACCCTCTAGGTCTCCGTGCAGGCATTTTTGTTGTGAGCCAGTCAGGCTATAAATGGTCCATTAAAAGCACTGTCCAGTTGACATAACCGGTCTACCAGGCTGAGACCCACAGACCCGGGACTGGCATTTATTTATGGATATGATGTGCAAGGAGAGTGTTTTCCAGTAGCAGGCGTTGGCATCATCAAACAGAATGAAGTGTACTGTGTTTTCACCATGATAGTACAAAAACGAGACTGTGAGAGCTTCTCACTTCTCTCCCCTTCCTCCCCTTCCTTCTCCATGTCTTTGTGCTCCTCCACTGCTCCCTCCCCAGCACAGACAGGCCCTGGCTCCCTCCCCCCACCCTCTTCCTTCTCTCTCCTTCTAACTGGGGTCAGGACCACCCTGGAGGATGTTAGATTTTAAACATTTGTTCCTCTTGTCATCCCCACCACCCCACCCACCCACCCAGATTAGTTTCTAAGGGATTTATATTTGTTTGCAGAGTGGTGCGAACTGTTTTCATCCTCAGAGGAGCAGAGTGCTCATAGATGAGTTTGACATTACTGGGATTCACTTTCAGAAGTCTCTAGAGAGCCCCGCACCGCCCCCGCCCCCCGCAGGTGCTGGAGTTCAGCCTGACACACAGGCCGGCCTCAGTGAGAGGGAGTGTCTGCCTCCCTGGCATCCGTGACCCATACGGTGGGCGCCTGTTCTTTAGAACAACTTGCTCCTTCCGTCGTTGGCTTGGTCACCCAGCCCCCGGCCCACCCTTTTCTGAGCCTGTCATCCACACCAGGCAGAGCCCTGTCTCAGAGTCTCATGGGGAGCAGGGCCTTCAGGGAAGGCCCATGTGCTGGGACTGACTTGGCTCACAGGAATTTCCTGATGGTATAAAATGTGCCCCCCAGCGCCTGATAATGGTCACTTCGCCTAAGTTCCAGCCCCAGATGTGGACCACGGTGGGGCAAAGGTGGGCGTGGGGAGGAGGAAAGAGGTTTAAAATGGCCACACCCACTACTTCTCCTTTGGAAGTGCCTCCTGCCACCCTGGGGTCCCAGGAGCTGATCTGTGGGTGTCTGTCCTCAGCACCCACCCTGCTTTTCCTTCAGGCCCCGCTCTGGCTGTCTGGGCCTTTCTGGTGCTGTTCCTCACAGGTTTAAACACTCCAGCAGCAGCCTTTCCCATGGCACTGTGTCTGCGGGGCGGGGTTGGGCATTTTCTGAGGCTTCCTGTGTTTCACGGGGATCCAGTATGAAGCCTGGCACGGAGTATGGGCCAAATCGGTTTAATGTTTAGCTCCCCAAACCCTTCACTTCTGTGTCCTCATTAATTCAGACAAGGTTGGGTTTAGCAAACTGTGTCTCAAACATAAGAAAATGCAGCGTGGGAATGGGGGAGGGGAGGAGTGCTGTAGAAGGACCATTTCAGAAGCCCTGGTTTACAGGAGAAAGATTGGTATCTTCATAAGTCACTCTTAAGCTTGCATTTGTTCATGCTTTAACACAGTGATTAGATACCTACTGTAAGCCTAGCATGGTGGGGATATAAAAGCAAGATCAAGTTCAAGGGGGCAGGGATTTAGGGTCAGTGAGACGGACCTCTTAATCACTTATTTTGTACACATCAGAGCAGTGACATTGTGTTTCTTTAAAAATACTAGGGGCCAGCCCGGGCACAGTGGCTCATGCCTGTAATCCCAGCACTTTGGGAGGCCAAGGTGGGCAGTTCACCTAAGATCAGGAGTTCAAGACCAGCCTGCCAACATGGTGAAACCTCATCTCTACTAAAAATACAAAAATTAGCTGGGCATGGTGGTACACACCTGTAATCCCAGCTACTCGGGAGGCTGAGGCAGGAGAATCACTTGAACTCAAGAGGCGGAGGTTGCAGTGAGCCGAGATCGCTCCACTGCACTCCAGCCTGCACGACAGAGCAAGACTCCATCTCAAAAAACAAAAAACAACAACAGAAAAAACTCTGGGCCAGCTGTGGTGGTTCACACCTGTAATCCCAGTGCTTTGGGAGACCAAGGTGGGGGGATCGCTTGAGCCCAGGAGTATTTGCCCAGCCTGGGTAGCATAGCAAGATCCTGTCTCTACAAAAAAAAAAAAATATATATATATATAAATTAGCCAGGCAGGGTGATGTGCATCTACAGTCCCAGCTACTTGGGAGGCTGAGGTGGGAAGATCACTTGAGCCCAGGAGTCTGAGGCTGCAATGGGCTCTGATCCCACCACTGCACTCCAGCCTGAGCGACAGAGTGAGACTCTGTCTCAAGAAACAAAACAAAACTCTGGATTCTGGCCTTCTCCTGGGAAATCCAGATTTGTCTGGTATGATGTTCGTTGAACCCATTTAGTCCAGCAGCCTGGCTTTCCAAAAGTATGTCTGCCTCTCACGGTGCCCAGTAGCTTTAACCAAAGAGCTCAGGAAAGGGCCTGTCTGAATTCAATCACATTCAGCATCTATTTCAGCGTTTTACTAGCTTTCAATTAAAGTAGCCACGCATTTGAGCCTGATGGTCTTATTGTTTTATGTTGTTCCTTTTGCACATTTCCTGCTTGTTTATCTTTGTGGCACAGGGGCATGTTCTTGGCTGCAGTTAACAATGCTGGCCACGGCAGTGCAGCGTTTCCAAATTTCTTCCCTTTATTAACAGGCGGTAATGGAATCTGAATCTTCAAAAATAAATTTTACATACTTGTTCTCTACCATAAAAGTCATCCATACTTATTAGAACGTCTCAAACATACTAAGAGGTAAGAAGGAGACAAAAAATAATATTTTGTCACCCCTGCCCAGGTAGCCACTCTTCTATTTGAGTGCTTGTAAGAAGCCTGCTTTTCCAGTATTATCTGACCTGGCAGGGAGTTGGGTAATTGAAAAAGATTATTAAAGAGGGGATCATAAAAATGATATAGACGCCGGGCACGGTGGCTCACACCTGTAATCGCAGCACTTTGGGAGGCTGAGGCGGGTGGATCATGAGGTCAGGAGAGACCATCCTGGCTAACACGGTGAAACCCTGTCTCTACTAAATATACAAAAAATTAGCTGGGCGTGGTGGCGGGCACCTGTAGTCCCAGCTACTCAGGAGGCTGAGGCAGGAGAATGGCGTGAACCTGGGAGGCGGAGCTTGCAGTGATCCGAGATCATGCCACTGCACTCCAGCCTGGGTGACAGAGCAAGACTCTGTCTCAAAAAAAAAAAAAAAAAAAAAAAAAAAAAAAAAAAAAGATATAGACATATTGAGCATTTCGTTTTGACATAAAACGTTTCATTTTCATATAAAAATGCATTTATTCCCCATCTCTTGATACAGGGCCAAGACCTCTCTTGGATTATGGGTCCACTGGCTTCTGTCCTGATATGTCTTTTTTGCACTATCCACACTGTTAATGCATTTTCTGAGATTCTCAGTTTCTGTTTCTGTCAAGTAATGTAGGAACTAGCACCAAATCCTTGCCGATTTCATATACCACTGATATTATACAGTTATTTTGTTCATGCCTAATTGAACAGCCATCTTCCCCCAAACATTCAACTCTGTTTCATAAAACCAACTCCTTTTAATTCCTCTTCTGAGGGTTTGCATAAAATTTAATTAACTTTGGTAATTACATAAGTACTACTGGTATAAGCAGGTTTGGAAACAAACGTAACTGAGTCTTGGTGGGCTCAGAGTGCACCTGCCCGAAGGTTCCCACATGCTCTATGCACCCAGAAGGGGACAGAGCATGCCCCATAGTCCAGGGGCAATTAGGGGAAGCAGCTAATGAAGTCTGCTTTCTTCTGGCCTTTTAAAAATCTATGTCCTTTTTTTTTTTTTTTTTTGAGGCAGGGTCTTGCTCTGTTGCCCAGGCTGGAGTGCAGTGGCATGATCATGGCTTACTGCTTCTTGGGCTCAAGCAATCCCCCCACCTCAGCCTCCTGAGTAGGTGGGACTATTAGGTGCATGCCACCATGCCTGGCTAATTTTTGTATTTTTTGTAGAGACAGGATCTCACCATATTGCCTTGGCTGGTCTCGAACTCCTGGGCTCAAGCGATCCATCTGCCTCAGCCTCCCAAGTGCTAGTAAGCCACCACACCCAGCCAAAATTTAAAACACCTGTGCCTCAAAGAATACCGTCAAGAAAGTGAAGAGACAGCTCACAGAATAGGAGAAAATATTTGCGAATTGTATAGATTCTAGACTTGCATCTAGAATATATAAAGAACTCTTACAACTCAATAATACAAGACAACCCAGTTAAAAAATGGGCAAGGGACTTGAATAGACGTTTCTCCAAAGATATACAAGTGGCCAAGAAGCACATGACAAGATGCTCAACATCATTAGTCACGAGGGAAATGCACATGAAAACAACAGCGATATATCCAGTAAGACTGCTAGAATCAAAAAGTCCTATAAACTCCAGCGGAGATGAGGAAATGGAGAAGGTGGAACCCTCATACGCTGTTGGTAGGATGAAAATGGTGCAGCCTCTTCAGAAAACAGCCTGGCAGTTCCTCAAAAGCTTAAATCTAGAGTTACCATATGACCTAGCAGTTGTACTCCTAGGCATATAAGAATGAAAGAGAAATGAAAACTTACACATAAATGTTTACAGCAGCATTATTCACAGCAGCCAGAAAGTGAAAATGACCAAAATGTCCATCAACTGATGAATGGATAAACAAAATGTAGTCTATCCATACAATGGAATATCACTGAGCAGTAAAAGGAATGAAGTTGAGATTCATGCTACAACATGGACCAACCTTGAAAAGATATGCTAAGTGAATGAAGCCAGTCACAAAAGACCACATATAATACGATTCCATCTATGTGAAATGTCCAGAATAGGCAAATCTGTAGAGACAGAAAGCAGATTAGTTGTTGCCTGGGGCTGGGACTGGGAGGCTGAGGGGAAATGGGGAGTGGCAGTGAATGGGTACATGGTTTCTTTTGGGGAAGATAAAAATGTTCTGGTCAGGTGCCATGGCTCATGCCAATAATCATTGCACTTTGGGAGGCTGAGTCAGGAGGACTGCTTGAGCTCAGGAGTTCCAGATCAGCCTGGGCAACATGGCGAGACCTCTGTCTCTACTAAAAAGAAAAAAATTAGCCAGGTGTGGTGGTGTGTGCCTGTGGTCCCAGCTACTTGGGAGGCTGAGGTGGGAAGATTGTTTGAGCCCAGGAGGTTGAGGTTGCAGTGAGCCATGATCGTGCCACTGCACTCCAGCCTGGGTGACAGAGCAACACCCTGTCTCAAATATAAAACAAACAAACAAATAAAGGGCAAAATTCTCCCTGTCTGAAAAAGGGGGCAGTGATTCTTTACAAAATTGATCATGGTGATAAGCGATGGTTGCACAGTTGTGTCACCATTGAGTTCCTTCCTTCCTTCCTTCTTTCTTTCTTTCTTTTTTTTTTTTTGACGGAGTCTCACTCTTGCCCAGGCTGGAGTGCAGTGGCGCGATCTCAGCTCACTGCAACCTCCACCTCCTGGGTTCAAGAGATTCTCATGCCTCAACCTCCCAAGTAGCTGGGATTACAGGTGCGTACCACCACACCTGGCTAATTTTTGTATTTTTAGTAGAGAAGGAGTTTTGCCTTATTGGCCAGGCTGGTCGCAAACTCCTGACCTCAAGTGATCCATCTGCCTCAGTCTCCCAAAGTGCTGGGATTACACAGCCAACCATTGAATTTAAATATGTGAATTGTATGGTGTGTGAACCGCAAGTGTTCTGCCTATCCATATACCTCCCACTCACCTTCCCTCTCCCCATCTCACTGTTCTGGTGAGGGAGGTTCTTGCTTTCCTTTCGCCTGTTTGGGACCTCACTTCCTTTTTCCCTTCCCCATCCCTTTGTAGCCCCTTCTCAAGAGAGAGAAGACACCTTGATTCCCACCTACGCTCTGCTAAAACTTTTCCGTTCTAGTCTTAAATCTCTCTCTCTTAAGAACTGATTTCCCAGTAGGGTTTATGTTTGGAGCTAAATTAGTCCTCCTGGAAGCAGTTGACTTCATCCTCCAGCAGCTGTGCCATCAGCAGAGGCCATGCATGCTGGGGCAAGATCCAGGCCTATCTCTTCCTCTGCAGTCCCCTGGGGACGTCTGGGATCTGGTTCCTTGGTTGGGCCACGCTTAGCTCTCCTTCGCATGGGTGTCTCAATGCCAGGGTGTCAGGAGAGCTACAGTAGCCAGCTCAGGCCCCCCCAGGGAGAGCTGGGGAGGGAGCTGAGGGCCTGGTGCCCCCCATCAGGAGGGACCTTTGGAGTCTTTCTTGGCTCTGCCCAGGCCTTCTGAGCACACAGAGATCACTCCAGCCCTCTGCCCTCTCTGTAGCCAAATGAAAAGACTCTTCTAGTCTTTCTGGCCAACTAGTAAGCTCTTTGAAGGTGGGTACCATTCTTGACATTAGAAAAAACTCAGAGCCGTTTGGATACTGAATATTTTTGACATGCTCTGGTCACTGAACGAGAAGACTCTTCATGAAAATGATGCTTTGTCAGCTCTGTAGAGAAAGGCGATTGGAATTTTGGTTGACCAGGTTAGGGTAAGGGAAGAATGAATCCCCAGTGTCCTAAGCTGGCAGGCAGTCGTGCCGATGCAGTTCTCATTTCTGCTGTCAATTTGCCAGGAGACTCAGAAAAAGGCCGCTATGCCTTTCTGCACCTCAGTTTCCTCATCTGTCAAATGGGCAGTGTTTTGGGCGTGCTGGGCACAGGTTTGTCTGAGAACCAGCTGAGGCCTGTGTTGCGCATGGGACCTACTATTATTCTTTATAATATTAATACCAAGGACATTTAACACCTGCAACAACAAGAACAAGCACAGTCTCAGAAGGAAAGCCCGTCCTCTAAAAGAGTGTCTGTAGAGCAGAGAAGCCCCCAGTGCCATCCTTCTCTTTCTGCCAAGCTCCTGTGCCAGTGCTGTCGTGGGGGGCCCTGCCTGCAGGTGTGGGGATACTGGTTCAGGGCCAGTGGCCCCTGGCAACTGGTTTGTCTTTTAGAGAAGGCAGGACTGAAATGATCAGCTTTCCATGTAGGGCCAGACTCTGGGCAGGTTTCTTTTTAAATTTTTTAAATTTTTTTGAGACAGGATCTTGCTCTCTCACCCAGGCTGGAGTGCAGTGACATGATCAGGGCTCACTGCAGCCTTGACTTCCCAGGCTCAAGCAATCCTCCTGCCTCAGCCTCCCCAGGTAGCTGGGATTATAGGCGTGTGCCGCTATGCCCGGCTAATTTTTTTGAGTTTTAGTAGACGAGGTCTCACTATGTTGCCCAGATTGGTCTTGAACTCTTGGACAATCTTCCCACCTCAGCCTCCCAAAGTTCTGGGATTACAGGCGTGAGCCACCACACCTGGTCTCAAATAAAATTTTATTGGAACAGCTACACTCATTTGCTTTATGTCATTGTGTCCGGCTGCCCTCATGCAGCAGGCAGAGATCTGCTGACCCCTGGTCTAGAATGTGGAATGCTGGATCCCTGGGTTGAGGGACTATTTTAATGGTAAGTACCCATATTTAGATCTTTTTTACTGTGGTTTTGTGATGTGATCTGTCATCTCCTCTGGGCTTGCATTTCTCCAGTGACAAGGCGCTCACTCCTCCCACGGCGATGCATTCCAGCCGTCGAATTATGTAGTTCTACTGCTTAATCCTTCCTTAACTTGCTCTTCCTGAAGCCTCAACTCACTCATCTTCTTTCTCAACCCCTCAGGCCCAGCAGAAGTCCTCTCTGTCTTCTCCAGGCGCAGCCCTTCAGCCATGCAATCCTGCGTGTCCTCGTTCTTCATTCCACAAATACGTTCTAAGGGCCTCCTGCATTTCAGGCACTTCAGAGGACCTTCTGGAAGCTTCCCAGGGCCTGCTATCTTCCCTGTACTGTAAGGGGACACTTTGCTCAACTGTTCACTTGAACAGAGTCTTCAATGTCTTCTAGTGAATTCTGGGCTGAAACCAATGTCGACTTGGCCAAATTAAGGCCACGGTCTTGGTCAGCCACCTTCCAGGTTGACTTGCCAGGGTGTCCTGGGTTGGTTTGTTTTACAGAAGCAGAGCTCCCAGGGCTCATCGCACAGCCATGGCCGAGGTGTCGGGACTCAAATTCCGGGCCCTTGGCTGTGCTTCTCACATTCTTTCCATTGTCCGACGCACTGAGGCAGAGACAGGAATTTTAACTACTCAAAAACTACTGTTTACGTATTTTACTTTGACTTCTTTCTGGGTTCTTGCATAGGCTTCAAGGAGGGAGGATATGGATGTGAGCTTATTGTACAAATGCCCTGGGTTTTCCAAACGTGTCTGATCTTAAATACACAGCCCTGCGTGCTGACCTTGTGTTAGAACTTAATGATGCGACGTTTGCTTTGCAAACTGTGGTCCCCTCCTCATAGATCCTTCAATTCAACAATTGAATTCAACAAGCCCCTGGGCACCCACCGTGCACCAGGCACTGTGTTAGGTGCTGCAGAGATGAAGATGAGGAGGATGATGGCCTGTGCCCAGGCAGGTAACAGACTAGCAGAAGGACAGGAAGCAAAGTGGGCATGTGTACCATGTGTTTAAAGCCTGAGGGAACAGCTGGTAGGATCCTCCTGGGGCTAGGTGGTGGCAGCAGCAAAGAGAGGGGACATTTGAATTGGGCTTTGAAGGGTGCATAAGAGTTTAACGGGGCCGGGCGCGGTGGCTCACGCCTGTAATCCCAGCACTTTGGGAGGCCGAGGCGGGCGGATCACGAGGTCAGGAGATCGAGACCATCCTGGCTAAAACGGGGAAACCCCGTCTCTACTAAAAATACAAAAAATTAGCCGGGCGTAGTGGCGGGCGCCTGTAGTCCCAGCTACTTGGGAGGCTGAGGCAGGAGAATGGCGTGAACCCGGGAGGCGGAGCTTGCAGTGAGCCGAGATCCCGCCACTGCACTCCAGCCTGGGCGACAGAGCGAGACTCCGTCTCAAAAAAAAAAAAAAAAAAAAAAAAAAAAAAAAGAGTTTAACGGGACAGCCACACCACTGATCACTCAGAAGTAGGTGGGTTGTGAATCTTCAGCATTCTGGAAAATGTAAAAAGTTGTTCAGTGGGCAGCAGTAAAGAGGGTTTCGTTTTCCTGGAGACACTGTTGCTACTTTGCTGGCTTATACAGGGACACCCAGAGAGCGGCTGGGAAAATCAAGAACTGTGTCACCTCCTCCGTTCTTGCCCACTGTCCAGGGCTCAAGGAGATTGGGGAGCAGTTTGCAAAGGCATTTGAAGATTAGGCTCCACAGAGATGGACACTTTTTTTTTTTCCTAAATAGATACAGAGTAGCCTTGTGAAGGTTTCTTTTGGGTCTGAGTAGGGGACGCACAGGGCATGGCTATGAGGGTCTCAGAAACTGGTACCTACTTTCCTCTTATTTGGCACCGGGAGCCCCTGCCGGAGGACATGTTCTAGTGACAGCCCTGGGCTCAGGCTTGGAGAGTGCATTCTCTTCCCCAGGAACGCTAGTCACAGCTCAGTAATTCACCCCAGGGACCGCACAGAGCAGGTGGGATGGTATTGATTTGTGGGCCTTTTGGCAAAACATACTCATTCCTAACTGGCGAGGGAACCGCCAGTTCATTTATTCATTTACTCTTCTGAGTCCAGCAACAACCTTAAGAGGCAGGTGTTACCTCTGGTTTCTGTTTAAACTGATGGCCAGCAAGGTAGGGCAATTTGCCTAAGGACACGCAGCTCCTAAGCTACTAAACCTCCCGCTCGCCTGGAAGAGAAGACAGGACGGGCCTATAGTGAATCATGAGTGCAGCATGAGAGTGTTAAAGGTCACAGGACGCCTCTTAGTGCCAAGGGAGTTCATAGTGGAGACCCCTTTTGCCTGAGGGACTGGGGAGGTGGTAGTTTTGAACTGGGACTTGAAGGACAGACTGGGGTAAAAGCAAGAGGAGAAGCTTGAGGGAGGACGGTGTGTGCCAGGACGGTGGGACTCAGAGGGTGGTGGGGGGCACATCCACTGTCCCCTTCCATCCTGCAGCCACTCCCTGAGGTGGCATTTCCTTGAATGACAGGAGAGGAGCCTGAGGCACGGGAAGATTAAGTAACCGGTCCTACGTATAAGGTGGCATTTGAACCCAGGTCTACCTGGCTCCATAGCCAGGCCCCGTGCCCCACACACCACACCACCTGGCGCTTGGCCAACAGGAAATCACGTCCCCCAGTGTGTAAGTCAGGGAGGCAGAGGTGCTGAGATGCTCTCACCTGTGGGCTCCCGGGCCCAGCCATGCTCTTGGTGTTCCCTCAGGCCCTGGCTTCCCCCCTCCCTCCAGGTGGACCCATGCTTGTGCCCCTGTGCATTCTCCCACAGACTCCTCCCTGCGGGGCCACCCATCTCCAAATCCCAGCTGCATATCCACAACTGTAGAGTGTTTTAAAATAGTGATGGTAGCCTAGGCAACATAGCAAGACCCCATTACCCCCAAAAATACAAAATTAGCTAGGCGTGGTGGCACATGCCTGTAGTCCCAGCTACTTGGGAGGCTGAGGTGGGAG
Source organism: Homo sapiens (assembly GCF_000001405.40). NCBI lineage: Eukaryota > Metazoa > Chordata > Mammalia > Primates > Hominidae > Homo > Homo sapiens. The sequence continues at coordinate 10,357,024 of NC_000002.12, forward strand.
GATACCTTGAGCCCAGGAGGTTGAGGCTGCAGTGAGCTATGATTGCACCACTGCACTCCAGCCTGGGTGACACAGCGAGACTCTGTGTCTAAAAAAAAAGATGGTGATGCTGTCCAGGCTTGACGTAGGAGCCTTCCGTTCCTCCTCAGGGCCTGTGCTCTCCTTTTGAGGAACAGCCTCCTTTTAGTAAATGTGAGGGTGGCTGAGGTGGGACATGAGAGGCTTGCAGTACCCACCAAGCCAGGCCAGCCACATGGCCTTCTCAACTCCTGGCCCAGCCCAGGTTGTCAGCTCTCTCAGGTTTTGCTCTTTCTCCTGCGTGCTTTCCCCGTGTTCTTCTGCACTGTTATCTTTCCTCTTCATCTGAGGCCATGTCTTTACCTTATGTGGTGCTGATGTGGGCCAGGGAAGCTGTGGCAGGGGCCCGGGAACCACCCCAGGGGGATGCAGAGGGAGTGGACCCTGTGGGGCTCGGCCATGGCAGAATTCTGCTCTGATTGGCTTTAGATCGTCGCCTGTGACAGCGTTTCCTCCGCGGAGTGTGTTAGGAAGAGCAGAAATGCCTCCTGCATCTTTATTAGATCCCTCCAAATGGAAATCCAGCAGAAAGCCGATGTTCTTGTAAATATCACGACCTCCCTCCCCATGAGGTGTTTGTAGAACAGTTATTTACTCGTTTTGTTTTCCCCACCTGCAGTTTACAGAAGAAAATCAAGAAAGCGTGTTTTTCCTCCATGCATAATCCCATCCCCGACTGTAACAACAACAAAACCGTCCTCCTGTTAGGAAGCAGCAGTGACTTCTTTAGGCAGGAAAAAAAAAAAAGCGTGCTATGCCAGAAAGCAGGAGCAGCTGGGAAGGGAGAGGGAGGGGGCCACACCTGGCCTACCCCCAGTCACCTTTTACCCAGGGATCCCCTGAGGAAAACAAGCTGTGACCTTGAGCCGGCACCAGCCCCAGGGCTGAAACCCCAGCCCTGTCTGAAGGGTTCCTTTCCCGTGTCCACCACGGCCCCGTGCTGTATAGCAGCCCCGGTGGAAAGCCTCTTTCTCCTGTACCTGGAGGAGTTGCTGGAAGAAGGAGAAGGCTCAGCACCAGCTTCTGGCTAAAATCGTGGCCGATGGCTGGATGATTCCGGCCCCACTTTAATAAACAGGATAGATGTGCGGTAACATCAGGTTGTCAGGCCCTATTTTGTGATAGAAAGGATGAGGAGGGAAACAAGCACAAATCAGTAGTGTCACAATCTCAACCACTTCTTCCATTTTCGTTAATAGAATCGGAGTCTCACTATGTTGTCCAGACTGGTCCTGAACTCCCAGCTGATACGGAAGTGGGGCAGGGAAGTGCTGGGAGGAGAAGGGCGGGTCCCTGTCGAGGGCTCCACCCCTGGGCCCATGCCCACAGCCCTAGGTGAGGACAGACACTCCTGCCTTTACACCCAAATGCTGCATTTCCCAAGACCACCCTGGCCCACCACACTCCCATCCTGTGCCTATAAAAACCGCGAGAGCCTAGCAGGCACACACAGAAGCGGCTGGACATTGAGAGGAACACGTGGGTGGAAGAAGACACACGTGGCTGGATATCAAGAGGACGTCGGGGGAACATGCCCTGGGGAAGAGCACACAACAGATGCCGGCACGCTGGCAGGCCACTGACCAGCAGAATGCCCCGGAGTTTGGCTGGGGCGGTCGGAGAAGAGTCAGGAAAACCATCTCCCTTCTGGCTCCCCCATCTGCTGGGTGAGCTCAATAAAACCTTGCACTCATTCTCCAAGCCCACGTGTGATCTTCTGGTACACCAAGGCAGGAACCAGGGATACAGAAAGTCCTCTGTCCTTATGATAAGGCAGGGGTATAATTGAGCTGACTAACACAAGCTGCCTACGGATGGCAAACTAAAAGAGCACCCTGAATGCCCACCGGGGCTTCAGCTGTAAACATTCACTCCTAGACACTACCATGGGGTTGGAGCCCCACAGCCTGCCCGTCTGCATGCTCCCCTTGAGGTTTGACCCGTCTGCATGCTCCCCTCGAGGTTTGACCCGTCTGCATGCTCCCCTAGAGGTTTGAGCAGCGGGACACTGACGAAGCGAGCCATACCCCCATCACATGCCCTTTGAGGGGGAAAAGGGAACCTTTCCCGTTTCACAGCCACAGTTTCCTGCTGTTTTCTGAAATTCCTGGTGGCCACTCCCTTGGTGTCCATGGGTGTCTGGTGTGTGCCTATGTTTGCTGCGGGCTGGCTCGGCGAGGGGGAGGTGGGCAGCTGGGGGCTCTCTGGACCCTGCGGCTGGCATGGGTTAGTGGCTCCGTGTCACCTGGTTCCTCTCACCTCTGTTTTCCCTTCTAGCCCCTGCAGGCAGGAGACTTCAACGCAGAGATTAAGAAGTTGAGATGTCTTTGTTCCCAGAGGAAAGTCCCTGCAGGCCCCGGCCTCATGGCCTCTGTGACAGCAGCAGGATTAGAGGCAGAGTTGGCCCAGAGGGAACATTTCTCCCACCCTCTGTCCCTCGGGGACCCCACTTCCCAGGTGGCCTGGAGGATGAAGTCAGGGCTCTGGCCTCATTGAGGGCCTGGAACTCTTTAGAGCCCATCAGGACCAAGCTCTGGTGGCCTTCCAGGCCCACTCAGTGGCTGGCGGTCCCACCTCCAAATGCAGGCAGACCACACTCCCTGAAGGGCAGTGGCAAGGCCAGGCCAGCACCTCTCCACTCTGAGGAAGGGGCCTTACCCAGATCCCCGTGTCCCCCACAGCGGTGGCGGTTTTATTGATGTATTGTGAAGGCACAGGGAGGGCCCTTTCCAGAGCAGGCTGCATCTCCCCTCAGCTTCCACACTCTGAACCTGCCTCCTGCCTCCTTCCACAGTGCCCGCCGGGTCCACAGCGCCCGCCGGGTCCACAGCGCCCGCCGGGTCCACAGCGCCCACCAGGTTTGATGTGGGCTGAGCACACCGTCACTAACTCATTCCTTCATTCATTCTTCACTGTGTGGGGTGTCGGGACCCAGCACGGGCTCCTGGCGCAGCAGGCCTCAGACCCTGGGGAGAGCTTTGCTGGAGGAAGTGCAGTGCCAAGGACCCATGTCCTCATTCCCCCTGGGTAGAGCGTGTCGGGTGACTCTGCTGCGGTCTCCAGGAGCTGGCAAGGGAGGGGTGCACCACCAGGGAAGGGAATTCCAGGCAGCAGGCACCAGGAGCCTCATCCAAGAGAAAGAGAAGTTCCCTAGACTCCCAGGCAGGGTGAGCCGAAGGGCCTTGGAGAGTCCCTGAGGTCCCGTTTCATGGGAGACTTCTCTCACAAAGCGAATGAGCTCAAATACGGAAGATGGAGAAATGGAAAACAGAAACAGAACAGAACCTCCACCTGCTGGGTAGATGTTAACTGAATCTTTTTTTTTTTTGAGATGGAATCTTGCTCTGTCACCCAGGCTGGAGTGCAGTGGCACGATCTCTGTTCACTGTAACCTCTGCCTTACGGGTTCAAGCGATTCTCATGCCTCAGCCTCCCCAGTAGCCAGGATTCCAGGCACCCGCCACCACACCTGGCAAAATTTTTGTATTTTTAGTAGAGACAGGATTTCACCATTCTGGCCAGGCTGGTCTGAAACTCCTGACCTCGGGTGATCCGCCCACCTGGGCCTCCCAAAGTGCTGGCTTGAGCCACCATGCCGCCCGGCCTTACCTGAATCTTATCACACATTCCTTTGGAAAATGAATCTCCTGTGATGGGAAACCAGCCATTTTCCTGGTGAGGCCTCAGCCCTGTAGCCATTCCAGCATAGTTAACCTGGGACTCTCTTCTCCTCTCTTGTCTCTCCTCTTCCTCCTATCTGGCCTGCTTGCTCCATCCTCCCCTGCTTTCTGTCTCTCTCCTCACCACGTGCCTTTGGATGTTCTGAATATGCTTTTGTTTGCCTGTCCAGCAGTATTCTCTCCACGGTCTCCTCCTGGGTGTCTGGCGTGTGCCTTGCGTGTGCTGCGGGCTGGGATCTGTGGGAATGACATAGTCGGACATGGTCCTGAGCCTGTTGGCCTGGGGACTCCTTTTCTGTCATACTAGATGAGACAGGCGAGACTGCCCTGGAAAGCCCGGCGTGTCTGGCCTCCCCAGTGCTGGACGGTGGCCAGTGTGGTTTTCCAGGCGAGTCCGTGGGCTCCTGGGTGGGTGGTCGGGCTCGTGGGGAGATCCCAAGCAATGGTTGTAGAGGGATGGGAGGGAATGGGTGGATCCCAGAGAGAGAGAGAGAGAGAGAGCAGGCTGGTTCCACTGTGGCCTCGTTGTCTAATGAGGAGAGTGTACAGATAAGTCATGCTTTGTTTTGCTCTGTCTCTGGAATTTTAATCAGTTGCCCTAATTGCCTTCAAATTATTGGAAGGGAAAAACGCCAGCAGAGGGTCCTGACAGATCCCAGCTGTCTAGCTGAGGACTTATCTTCTCATTGTTCTTGGGAAACCAGTCAGGTTTAGGGACTTGAGGTGGATGATTCATTAATTCTTTTAAACTGATTTCCTCAGCCATGTACACAGGTGTGAAAGCCCTTCTTATGTTATCAGTATTACCCTAATATATCAGAGGGCTAGGATTTCTCATAAGGCGACTGTTATCTTTTGATAATCACATAAATAACGTTTCCATAGTTCTCGAAAGCTTGCCAGATGCTTTCATGTACATTAGCTAACTTCTTAAATTTTTTTTTTTTTTTTTGAGATAGGGTCTCACTCTTGTCAACCAGGATGGAGTGCAGTGGCATGATCTCTGCTCACTGCAACCTCTGCCTCCCAGGTTCAAGCAATTTTCCTGCTTCGGCTTCCTGAGTAGCTGGGATTATAGGCGCCCGCCACCATGCCTGCCTAATTTTTGTATTTTTAATAGAGATGGTGTTTCATCATGTTGGCCTCAGACTCCTGACCTCAAGTGATCCATCTGCCTCAGCCTCCCAAAGTGTTGGGATTACAGGCATGAGCTGCCATGTGTGGCTGACATTAGCTAATTTAATTCTTACAATAATCTTATGAATTGGGATTCTCATCTCTTTTAAAATGAGGAAACTGAGGCTCAGAGAGGTTAAGTCATGTGCCCAAGATCACTTAGCTAGTAAGTGATGGGCAGGGCTGTGGAGCTGGTTCACTTGACTCTGCTGCCATTGCATCCAGTTTGCTCTGCCAGCGAGTCAATTGAGCATTTGGAGCATTTGCTGTGTGCCAGCCTCATGGAGGCAAACGGAGCTTCGGAACCCAGGTGTCGAGAATGAGCTGTTGGCACTCAGTCCTGGAGTGGCAGCATGGGGGGCGGGGGCAGGAGCATGGGGGACAACAGTCCAGGGAGGGCCACATGACAGCAAGCAGAGCCTCGAATGCCTGAGTCCTGGCTCCAGAGAGAGGCCAGCCTGAGCTCCTCCATGTCCTACTCCTGTGGATAGACCCCCCGGAATGCAGGGGGCCGGGCTGAGCAAGAGGAGGAGAGGACAGGGAAGGAACATGTCTGCTTCTTTCCTTCAGGAAAGGAAAGGTGAGCTGGGCGATGGGGAAGGCCTCCACGGTGTTCTGTTGTAATGTTCTGCCACTTGGCAGCCTCACCAGGGACATATCAGCCCCAGGCTGATTATCTGCAGACCGGGATCCCATTTCTGCTGCTTTGGGAGAGAAGGGAGGGTAGCCCTGAGGCCATCCCAAATGCGAGTCTGTTCACAGAGGGGCTCTCCTGGCACCTTCCCCAGCCCAGACGCTGAGGAGGGCAGCCAGAAGCCCCTGCATCAGGTAGGAGTGCTGAGTCATGAGATTGGGTTGAATGGCGGCTTTAGCACAGCTGTGGCCTGTGTTAGAGAGGGTGAGTTTGGACCATTCCTGAGCAGAGGGGGACCTCAGAGGACAGTCGGACTGGGGAATCCCTGGCCCAGAGAGGGAAACTGGTTTTCCCAGAGTCACACAGCTAGGTGCCCCTTTGATGGTTCTCTCAGTGACTCACGCCTGTAATCTCAGCATTTTGGGAGGCCAAGGTGGGAGGATTACTTGAGCCTAGGAGGTTGAGGCTGCAGTGAACCATGATCATACCACTGCATTCCAGCCTGGCCAACAGAGCAAGACCTTGTCTCAAAAAGTAAATAAAAAATAAAACCCATTCTCACTCTAACCCATGCTGTATCTGATTTTTTTCCTGAGGTAGGCTTGAGATGGGAGGGTTGTTATTTTTTGTAAATGCATTAGGGGCGGAGTGGTGGGAGAGTGATTCCCCTGCAGCCCTTCTGAGGTCACTGCCACACCATGGCAAGAAAAGTATTTCTGACTCCTGGAGCTCCACGGTGTGACAGGTGGGCAGGAGCTGCTGGGGGTGCTGGGCAGACGTTTACCGTCCAGCACCCCCATTTCTGCTGCTCTGATAACTTGGATCGACTGAAGAACCTCGGGGCTTTCTTGGCTGTTTGTAGGAGCTTCCAGAAGCGACCTTTCGGGATGCCTCTTACATAGTCCTGCCTATACCCTCTACACGTGGCGTTTCAGGTCTGGAGAGTCATGTGGTGTAGCTGTATTTCTGGGAAGTGTGTGACCCGAAGCCTCCTCCTGTCAGAACCACCGGGGAGCTCACAAGCTAAAGTGCAGATTCCTGGGTCATCCCAGACCTGCTGAAGCCAAATCTTTAGGGTGGGGCCAGGAATCTGCATTTTAAACAAGCTCCGGAGGTGGCTCTGAGGCCAGCCACAGTTTGGGCACGGCAAGGCTGGGGAGCCAGGCTTGTTTCGGATCTCCAGTCCTTGTGTGGGCTGCGTGACCTTGGATGAGTTATTTCCCATCTCTGAGCCTTGGTTCTCTGGTCTGTTAAGTGGCAATCTTGCCCCTTCTGTTTTAGGCACTGTCGGGGTTGCCTGCCTTCTGGTAAGCGTTTAGTGCCCTGAGCCGACTCAGCTGGTGCTCAGGGAGGCCTGATGATTCGGGGCGCTTGGCCGGGTGGTGGGGTGGGACACCCCAGAGGGAAGGGCACTGGTCCCAGCTTGGTGGGGCAGGCCACCTGGAGGAGGGGTGGACCTTGGGAGTGGGTTATATTAGGGCCTCCAGGCCTCAGTTTGGGAGGAGCTTGCAGTGACCTTGGAGATGGTAGTGACCTTGTCCTCCTGCCCTGCCTGGGTGCACAGGCTCCCAGCACGTGGGTGGCAAAGGTCCTAGAGAGCACCCAGAGGCGGGTGTCTGCCTGGGGTCGAGTGTGGGAGCTGGGCCCAGAGCCCCCACTTCTGCCTGGCATCCGGGGGTCCCTCCGGGAAGCTGAGGTTGTTTTCTTGAACAGTAAGGACTGGCCAGAGCCCTGAGCACCGAGAGGTGAGGGTGAGGCCCCCCCTACTCTTTCCCCCACCCTCCTGGGAATGACTGCCGACATCAGGGAAGGGAGGGGCCCCAAGGCCAGTGACCTGGAATGCGATGGCCAGGGAGGCAGGAGCTGGAGGCTGTGTGGGGCACGAGGAGGCCGATCGGGTGTCCCGGGGGAGACTCCTCGCTGCTTCCCTCGGGATGGTTTCCATGAACTTCCCTCCCCGGCCCTGACGGCCTCCTCTCCTAAGCTCCCGCCTCCTTTTTTTTTTTTTTTGGAGACAGTGGCTCACTCTGTCACCCAGGCTGGAGTGCGGTGGTGCGATCATGGCTCACTGTAGCCTCGACCTCCCCCGGCTCAGGTGATCCTCCCACCTCAGCCTTCCAAGTAGCTGGGACTACAGGTGCATGCCCCCACACCAGACTAATTTTTGTATATTTTGTAGAGATGAGTTTTGCCATGTTGCCCAGGCTGGTCTTGAACTCCTGGGCTCAAACAATCCTCCTGCCTCGGCCTCCCAGAGTGCTGGGTTTATAGGTGTGAGTCACTGCACCTGACCATCCCTCCCCGCTTTTATGTCCTTTTCTCCCTCTCTGAGGTAGGGGGACCAAGCCCTCCTCCCCAAGCCCTGTCCACTGTGGGGCCTTCTACAATGTGAGCTTGTACATCTCTGTGATGTCACCCAGGTGCCACCAGGTGTGTGTGTCCTGATGCCTTTGGCCACCAGCCTCAAAATCTCCCAGAGTTCCAGGTGCTTGGTGGAAGGGATTCATGTACCCCTATCCCCATCCCTAAATGAGAGTGTCCACACCACCCGCCCTGAGTTCTGAACTTAGCCACCTCATGTACGGAAGGAGAAATGGAGGCCGCCAGAGAGGTCTAGGCCTCCGACCCTGACCTTGCTCCTCTTGGATGGTATTGGGTGGCATTCCAGGACAGCTGGGATCTTGATCATCCAGTGGGTGCCCTCACTGTGCACCTGCCTCCAGGTGGTGGCGCGGTAATTGCAAGAGCGTGAGCCCCTCCTCTGGGGCATGTTCTTGGAAATAAATACACCTCGTGTCATGGAGATGGGCAGACGAGGTGCCAGCTATTTGAACGGACAGCCCGGAGTCTGTGCAGGAGTTGGAGGTAGAGCGGGTCGAAGGCTTGCGGAGGGACAGGTGGGTCTCCCATGGATGGCTTTTCTTGGAGGCTGCAGCCAGGAGCCATTGTTTCTCTTCCCACCTGACCTTGGGTGGTTCCCCTTCAGCCCTGGCGTTATGATGTCCCGCCCAACCCCCGACCGCACACCTCCCTCCCCCTTAGCTGCTTCGAAGCCAAAGGTGTGGCAACAGCTAACAGGTGCTTGGTGGTCCCCGCCCACCCTCCTTCAGGCTCCCTACACCCACCTGAGTGGGCCTTTCTGTGTTCACTTCAGGGATGAGGCTTGGAGAAGAGGGTGTGTGAGGGGGTGCGGGTGGCCCTCCAGACTGGACCTAGGCCTGCTGCATTCTGGGTTGAGGTCCTCTTGCTGCCTCTCTGTGAGCGAGCCTCGCCTGCTGGGTGCTGAGCCCACACCGCATGTCCTCGGCCTCCCATTGAGATCAGCTATACGTGATATAGACCAGGGATGCACGCCTCATGAGGAGACGCTCACTCCCCCAGACACACTGAGTACTCTTTCCTCAAGCTCAGTGCAGTTCGTCCACGTTTGCCCAGCAGCACGCCTCCCGCAGCGTTGTCAATATTTATTCGTGGTTGCCGCTGCCTCCCTCCTGGACCGCCCATTCCCTGGGCCCTGTCTGGTGGTGGCTGGCCTTGGAGAGCTGGCCTCTCAGCACAGCACCGGGCACCAGGGCTCAAGGTCAGTGGGTGTGTCTTTGGGTCCCTTAAGGAGCAAAGTCTCATAATTTGCTTTATTTTGTTTTATTATTATTAATTTTTTTTGAGACAGTTCTCGCTCTGTCGCCCAGGCTGGAGTGCAGTGGTGCGATCTCGTCTCACTGCAACCTCTGCCTCCCGGGTTCAAGCGATTCTTGTGCCTCAGCCTCCTGAGTATCTGGGACTACAGGCACCCGCCACCACACCCAGCTAATTTTTGTATTTTTGGTAGAGACGGGGTTTCACCATGTTGGCCATGCTGGTCTCGAACTCCTGACCTCAGGGGATCCACCTGCCTTGGCCTCCCAAAGTGCTGAGATTACAGGCGTGAGCCACCACGCCTGGCCCCTTAATTTACTTTAAATAAAGATCTGGTTCTCCCAGATGAGGTTCACAGACAGATGTTCCAAGAGCACATCTGTCTGGCATCAGGAGACTCACCCATACCAAGCTCACAGTGCTGGCCATGATCCGACTCCCGCCCTGCAGCTCAAGCTTGGTCTGGAGACCTTCTCTGGCACCTGCCCCGGCTCCCCAGCCCCGGGCTTCCTGCATTGTGTGCTTCCACTCCCGTCTTCTCCACTAGGAGCTCTGTGGTACGGGCTTTCTGCACCTTGACCTCTGGGCCTCCCACCACAGCACGGTGAAGGCACCAACTATTTCACTGCTAGATCCAAGGATGCTGGGGCCGGGGGCAGCTCTGAGTGTGTCTCATACAGTGACCTTGTTTGAGGAGGCTGTGTAGGCCCAGGATTTTCCTGGGGTGAGGGACGCCAGGTTCCTTGATGTGTTGGGACAAAGACGTTGGCTGGGCGAGGAGGCTGCCTGAGATCCCACAGTGAGGCTGGCCCTGCCCTTGCTCGCCCAGCTGATCTGACACCCTCCAGATGGCCCAAGAGAGACCGGGAGGAGCATCTGGTGGAGGACCTGGGTGTTCTGTCTGGAGATTTCCCATTGCTTTTCCAGTTTATTGTCATCTGCTTGGGACTTGAGGGTAACTTCATCTCTCAAAATAGGCTGAGACTTTTTACAGTTAGATATTTAATATACAGATGACGGGCGGATGGTAGTGTTGTTTTAAGGGGGGATTTTGTTGCTGTCGTTGTTGTTGTTGTTTTGAGACAGAGTCTTGCTCTGTCACCCAGGCTAGAGTGCGAGCTCGATCATAGCTCACTGCAACCTCAAACTCCCAGGCTCAAGTGATCCTCCCACCTCAGCATCCTGAATAGCTGGGACTACAGGTGTGCGCCACCACGCATGGCTAATTTTTTGTAGAGATGGGATGTTGCCATGTTACCCAGACTGGTCTTAAACTCCTGGGCTCAACTAAAATTTTAATCTCCAATTCATACATTTCAGAAAGTATAATAATATGTAAAGCAAAATCATAATAGCAACAACAATCACTGTCATCCCACGGGTTGGTTTAGATGTAAATTTTATGCTTCCTTGCAAAAATTTGTCGAAAGTGCCAGAAAAGCCCTTGTCCCATATCACAGTCCCATGACCCACACTCCCATGGAAAGCCTTAGAACTGATGTCAGTGTGAGCCCTGTGCTGGAGTGGAGGGTGACAGAGCTTCGGACATGAGCAGCCTCTGCTGCTGCGGCCACCCTCGCCGGCCCTGGATCCCCACACAGTGTGGGGTGTTCAGGATTCCTCATGTGACCCTTACCCTGCCTGCCCTGGGACTGTGTGCCTGTGTGCTTGCATGTGTGTATGTGCGTGTGTGCCCATATGCGTGTGTAGGTGTGTGCATATGTGTATATAGGTGTGTGCATGTGTGTATATACCTGTGTAGGTGTGTATGTGTGTACATGTGCATTGTAGATGTGTGTGCATATGGTGACCTCAGTTCCAAAGCTTTCCATGTGTGTGTCCATACACATGTGTAGGTGTGTGCCTGTGTGTGCATATGCGCATACACATGTATAGGTGTGTGCATGTGTGCACACGTGCATGTGTAGGTGTGTGTGTGCATTGTGTGTAGGTTTGTGCATGTGTGTGCATACGTGTGTGTAGGGGTGTGCGTGTGTACACATATGCATGTGTGTGTGTGCATTGTGTGTAGGTTTGTGCATGTGTGTGCATACGTGTGTGTAGGTGTGCATGTGTGTGCACATATGCACGTGTGGGTGTGTGTGCAGTGTGTGTAGGTTTGTGTGTGTGTGTGCATATGTGTGTGTAGGTGTGTGTGCGTGTCAGCATATGTGTGTCTGCATTCACTCGGCCAGAGCTCCTTGAGGGCAGGGTGGTTCCCACCTCTCTGTTCCCCCAGCTCCCAGCTCCGGCCTGGCTTTTAATCACAGAGTAAGTCAAGCCTGCTTTGGGAGCCTTCTGACTCCCCCAGACACACTGAGTACTCTTTCCTCGAGCTCAGTGCAGTTCGTCCACATTTTCCCAGCAGCACGCCTCCTGCAGCGTTGTCAATATTTATTTGCTGTTGCTGTTGCCTCCCTCCTGGACCGCCCATTCCCCAGGCCCTGTCTGGTGGTGGCCGCCCTTGGGGAGCTGGCCTCTCAGCACAGCGCCGGGCACCGGGGCTCAAGGTCAGTGGGTGTGTGTTTGGGCTTGAACTGATGTGTGTGTTTACTGAGCTTTCTCCGCAGCCTGCTCCGGCAGCTCCAAAATGGCATTTCAGGAATTGAATTACCGACATTTCAGTACTTGCGGAATCCAGGAATAGATTATTTGATTGTATCTGTTGGAAGTCATTGCCGTAACTGGCTTCGTTTTCTTCACCAACATCTAAACCGAGTGGGGAGGGACCGCAGGAGAATGCTGTGGTGACTTGATTTTCCCAAAAGCACATCTCCCAAGCTGGCGGCAGCCGATGGCGTTGCCCTGTGACTGGGGGAAGCCTGAGGACTCACGGTCGCCTCAGGCTGGCCACCTTCGCACTGGAACCTGCCCATCACATCAAGGAGCCCTCTCAGGCTGAAAACCCTGTGCCGGGGTGGCTGCAGCAACACAAGGATTCCCCTCCAGCTCTGTGATGTGGGGAGCAGAGGGCCACTGAGTCCTGCCATGTGAGTCACATGATGCCCGTGGCCTGATTTCTGTGCCCCCATCTTGCCTCTTAGAGTTTGTTGACCTCAGGGCTCACATATCCCTTGTAAGGGGTTGTGATGGCTTCCACGGCCATCATGGCTAGTTAGGATTTTCCTCCAGCCCTTGAGGAATTCTCTCGGGATTTTTTCTGGCCTTGCCTGTCTGCAGAATCCATAGAGGACCTACAGGAATGTCTGCCTCTGAGTCCATAGTACTTGCAGGCCTGGGAGGCTGGATCAAGGTGGATGTTGACACTTGGTGGGGCCGGAGCCCTGGCTTCCTGGCTGCCTCATAGCTCAGGCCCGTTTGACAGCATTTGTGAGCACCTGTCCCAGGCAGGAGCAAGTTCAACAGCAGCAAGGGCTCCAGGCAGAGGGAGGTGGGCTCTGATGGGACTCAGGGGCAGCCTAAATGTAGCAGAGAACTGAGAGGGGATCCCTGAGGCCTTCTTGGAGGAGGTGGTGGTTAAGCCAGCTAACTTTGTCCATTGGAAACTGTCACCAGGTCCTTATTAATCAAATAATAATGAATATGCCGTGTTCGGATCCACTAGGGAAAGCTGAAATTGAGCTCAAAGGAGGCATAGAAGTTCAGCTTGTAATTTTGAAAAAGGAAAAGGCTCTGGCCTCATTAGGCTGCCCCCAGTGTGTCCTTGAGACCTCCTTACTCCTTGAAATGTGCTTCTTAACGTTTTGGAAAAAACAACTTTCTCCTTCTATACTTAGCCCTTATCTCAATGTGCAGGCGCCTACCTGGCCCACTTATCTTCAAGAAATGTGCTGGGTTAGGCCTCAGGAGTGGCAGGCACATAGATACTGTATTTGGCCTTGGCCTTCTGCCCAAGTGGAGTCTCCGCATTCCTTTGTATGGGCCCATTGGGCATGCCTGGCTAATCTGCGCACCCTCTTTCCACTCTCCTTCCTGCATTTCTCCTTCCCTTCAGTAGTGGCTCCCTTCCCATTCCCCAAATCGCCTCTGCTTTTATCTTCTTCCAATCGAATTCCCGTCAGTCGTGGAGCAGGTGGGACACCTGTGTATGTTGCGGGGGCACAGAGAAGCAGCCTGTGCTCACCCATGCCTGCCTGCAGGTGCATGCTTGGGACTTGGCAGTGGGGGAAGATTTTGGGGTTAGGATTTCCAGGCTGGCTTGACACTGACCTGTTTTGTTCCAACCCATACAAGCCCTAAACCCTCATGTGCAGATCCTGCTGGCTCTCTGGGGAACACTTAGTTGGATGCAGGTAGGAAGAGGCTTCAAGGAGCAGAGGAGGGGCTGGCTGAGGGCCAGCCACTTTGTCTGGTCCCCAGAGCGGGGTCTAACATGTGGGAACTGAGCAGCAACTGTGAGCTAGCCCTCAGGCAAGGCTGCCCCATGATGCCAGGGCACATAGGGCAGACTCCAGATGATGGGGCCACTGCTGGCATTGGCCTTTTGCAGGGCACAGGAGTCTGCCAGGGGTGTGTTTTGGAGCCACCCATACAGGTGTACCAGCTTTTGGAAAATCCCAAAGATGTGGTGCCCTGCTCCTGGGGGTCTTGGGGGCTCCCAGGTAGCAACAGCGTTCTGGGAGGACGTGGGCTCAAATTCCAACTTTTCTACCAGGTTTTGGCTATCCTTCATCCCCGTGGGGCTCAGTTTCCTCATCTCCAAGCTAAGGGGGCCCACCTAAAGTTGTCACAGAATTGGACGTGTGACGGGGCAGCCCCCTTCACCTGTGGGATCCGAGGCAGAGCTGGCACCTCCAGGCTGTGGGTCCAGTGACCCGGCATGGAGCCAGCAAACAGAGGAGGCACCTCCAGGCTGCAGGGTCCAGTGACCTGGCATGGAGCAAACAGAGGAGGCCAGTGGGCAGGTGGGTGTTACCAGGGCCTGGAGCAGCAGGGGTGGAGCCCTGGGGCCAGGCAGGGCGGGTTTGGGGTGGCATGTGGTTTGTTGTGGCCCTGTCATTTGCAGTTTGGGTTAGTGGGTCTGGCTGGCCACCGGGGTTGGAGGGGAATGCCAGTGGGACTATACATTGTCTCCTTGGAGGTGACTGTGCCCCCAGAACTGAGTGGACAAGCCAGGCTTGTGTCCACACCTGCCCCCGTCTTTTACCCTCTTCTGGCTCTCCTCCAAGAAGAGCTTTTCCTAAATCATTCGCCCTGTTCACCTGGGCTTTGAGGCCCCAGGTGTAGGCCCAGGGGGTGGGGTGGGGTGGGGGGATGGTCTCTGACTGGATAGCCCCACCTGGGTAGGAAGCCCCCAGTGTGGCCCCACCTTGGCTGTGACCTGGGGGTCCTGCAGAGTCCTGTGTCCTGTTGCAGTGAGGGGTCAGTCAGTGGGAAGAGTGGACAATTAGGAGACACCATGTCTGTCTCCTCGACGCCAGTCAACACTGTTGCCTTTGTTCCCAGGGCAGCCTTCCCCTTGCCTTCCATTCCAAACTCCTCCTCCTCCCTCTAAGATTCCCTATTCACCTCCTAGAGGAGGCCACCTGAGTGTCAGCCAGGCACTGGACCTGGGCCTGCCCGGAAAGGTCCCTGGGCCTGGTGTGCTCCAAGAACCTCGCTGTCAGGGGTCAGCGTGCCATGGAGGATAGGGAGAGGCATGTGCCCTTGGGGACGTCTGGCTTTGTCCGGGGGGTTTTCTGCTGCTCACTGGCTTCAGGTCAGGGCTTGGCTCTGTGCTGCAGCCTTAAGCCAGCGGGCCCAACCGCCTCCTCCAGGCCCGCCAGCGCCTCAGATGTTTCTCTCCTTCTTAGAGGGTGTTTCACATCCTTTCTTTTGTTTGCCCTGATTATTTTTGCAGATGAAGGAATACACACAATGGTCATCTTTGTCTTATTTGAAAGCCAAACACGTTGCTTACACGTTGGGTGCACAGTGAATATGTATCAGTCCAGCGCTTTTCACCATCTGGTCTGGTTTTAGTGTTGCTTTATTTCTGGTCATTCCTCAATCGGGGCTAAAGATCAGAAAAATCGCATCTCCAGGTCCTGAGCCATGGCGAGGAAGCTGGGTGGTGCCCTGTGCTGTGTGGCTAAGGTGGGGGACGAGGGTTGTCGGTGGGGGAAGCCCCATGGGGGCCCCACTGGAGTCATAGGAGCGAATGGAGCACCCACTCCATGCCTTCTGTCAATTACAAAGCACCTATTATGTCCCGGATACTGTGTCCAACACAGTGGACACATTGATGGGTAAGGCATAATCCCCCCCCAGGAGCTCCCAGTTGGATTGAGGAGGCAGACAGGCGAGCGTATGGCTGTGACACACCCAGCAACTCCCAGTTGGATCGGGGAGGCGGACAGGCGAGCGTATGGCTGTGACACAGGGGGGCAAGTGGCGTCACCAAGGCAGAACCCAGCAGCCGGGGCCTGAAGCCCCCTCACCCAGCTGCAGCCTTCCCGAAACAGCTGAGATCAGCCTGGAGAGCTCTTCCTCCCTGCCTGCCCGGAGGGTGGCGTGGGTCCCATCGCTCTCCGTCAGCCACGGCCAGAGCACACCTGTGCTGCTCCTCAGAAGGGCATCACCTGTGGAGACGGTGACAGCTGTTCCTGTTCCCTGCCCCAAGGACAGGATCTGGAGCCTGTGGGTGTGTAAGGAGCCAACTCCCTGACCCCAAAACTGTGGCCAGTTCTGGAGAAGGTGGCCAGGCTCTGGGTCCCGGGACTGTGGCCCCCCTCCTGCCTCTAAAGCCCCTCTTCTGGCCTCCATGACTTCAGCCCCTCCTGCCCCCAGAAGGAGGGATCAGCCCTACAAGGGACCCAAGAGAGGGAGCCTCACACACAGGCGCTGCCTGACTCTCCTCCAAGCTGGCCTGAGCCCTGGGCAGTGTTCTGAGGCTCAGCCACACGGCTGTGCAGGGCAGGTGAGAGCGGCAGCCTGAGAGCTGCGAGCCGGGGCCGGGGTTTTCCTGGAGCAGCAGGAGGGATGAGTTGGGTTTCTGTAACTACAAGGGCCAAGAAGAGGGAGAGGATGATCTGGGAAGGAGAGTGGCTTTGGGCCAGCATTTGGGCCAGCAGGACTCAGAGGCGAGGGAGGTGGTAAGATCCCTTGCTTGGGATGAGAGGCAGATGGGGAAACTGAGGCTTGGAGCAGAGGGAGGGGCAGGGCCTGGGCCCCCAGCAGGTCCCAGTTCATGATGGCATGCTGCTTCTGCATGAGTGAGACATGAGGGGGTCACAGACGCCCGGAAGCATCGGCATCATCAGATCATCCGACTCGATAATAGAAAAATTAAAATTTAAAGTCACTGAAAGTGACGAGTGACAGAAATGTTCCTAGAAACTGGAGATTGGGTGCTCAGCGGATCTCAGGATAGATGATATCAGACACAATGTCCCCTGGGCTGAGGTTTTTTTTTGTTTTTTGTTTTTTTATGTTTCAGAATTCTAAGGCAAGGATGAAAGTCTTCTCTATTCTTGAGGTGCTGGGGTTCCTCAGCCTCCACCGTCCAGCCTCGAGCAGCTGCCCCCTCTCACCTGCTCCTCAGCCTTCTGGAACAGACAGGCCCCCCACAGCAGCCCAGCCCAGGCCACCAGCACCACCCCCAGAGGTTTATGCCATCTTCATGCAGTGGGAGGCTCAGCCCCCACACTGGGACCTGTCCACTTTAGCCCCAAGGATCTTACCAAGGTCAAATCTTTGGAACTCAGGGTCTTTGGGAACTTCTGGGCCAGACAACCCGGCCATCACAGGGGCTTCTGCGGGGTTGGCTTTATGATGCATTTGGGTCAGGAGGTCTGTTTTTATCCTTTGGGCCTCTGGGAAAGTCCGTCCTGGCCAAGTCCTCTGTCCCCTAGTCTCATGGCTGGCTGGCCCTGGAGCTCGGGTGGCCTGGCCCGGCCCGCCTGCTTCCCCACAGGCAGCGGCTCTTGCTTCTGCTGCCTGCAGTGCTCCAGATGCTGCAGGCTCCTTCCTTCCTTCAGGGCATCCTAAGTCCCCCGAGTCTCGAATCCCCAGTCTCAGCTGAGTCCTCGAGGTCAGTGGGGCAGAACGCCAGAGCCCTGGGACAACGGGCTGCATAAAACACTTATTTTAATTATAAGAGTGATGTAAGAACATATCAGAAAATTGGCAAAATACAGGGCAAAAAAAAAAAATCACTGGTGGTCGCCTTCTCACACAGTCACACACAGTGGTGTGCAGCCTTCTGGCTTTTGGTTGCTTTGTTGCAGTATTGGCACCTGCGTTACAAGATTTTGTGTTGACCATTCTTGTTCTTGCTGTGGTCTTTAAGGTTTACAGCGACAGCTGTTCCTCTTCAGGATGCAAGGAGACCGAGCCTGCCTGCCCTCAGGGAGCTGACGGTCCAGCAGGAGGCATCCTGTCTGCAGGGCCCATGCGGGGGACAGGGCAAGAGGTGCGGTGGAACCAGACCTTGCCCTCCAGAAATGCAGGGAGACAGACACGGGCGTATTTAATTCAACTATAGCATGTGGTTCTGAGAAGGCTTCTTGGAAAGGGCCTGGGGTTGAGCTGGGCACCAGCAGGGAGGTCTCAGAGTGGAGGCGGCAGTTCCACCCTACGGCGTAGAGGAGGCGCCCTGATCACTGCCTTTCAGCCGTGGCCCTGCCTGTAATCTTATCCTTTTTGTTGATTGTTGTTGGCTGATGTTGGCTGTTGCTGTGTCCTCCACCAGAGTGGAGAACTCCCTGGGGCTGGACCCCTTGTCCTTATTCACCCAGAGAATAGGTGCCTTAAAATACTGACTGGACAGAAGGAGGAAGAGATGGGTTGGGGGGCCGTGTCATGGAAGAATTCCTTGGGCCAGCCGCAGAGGAGTAGGCCTTGGCAGAGAGCTGGGAGCCTGGAGGGGAGCTGAAGACCTCTCCCATAGTCAGCTGCCTTTAGGGAAGAAATACTAGAAAGTCACAGAAGAGAAAAGAGGCGGGGAAGGGGAGGAAAGCATTTCCACCCACAGTCCTGTCGGGAGAGGTAACATTTTGGAGTACAGTGTGCCCTGCCCCAGCAGGCCCTGGCTGGATGCATATTCCTATAGATATAATTCTATAAGTGAGATCATTCCATATCTACTATTTTACAACCTGTTTTTGTTTTTTGTTTTTTCCACTTAGCAACACTTTGTTCTTACCTAGAATTCACCAGGCAGGACAGGGCTGATGAGGGAGCCCCTCCCACCTGGACACTCAGTGGCCCCTCCCAGGACTCGGGGCTTTCCTGGGGGCCTCAGCTGCGGAGCAACAGCTCCCTGTGCATCAGAGCCGTGGGGGAGGGGGGCCAGGGGGCATAGGTACGACCACCACTCCCATTTCGTGTCCTTTAGGAAGCTTGAAGAAAAGTGGTTAGCCAAGAACACAAATTACGGTGATGTTGTTTGCAGTGTGGCGTGTTGGGTTAACATAAACTCTGAAGTCAGAATTGACATCAATTTGAGCCCAGATCATCCTGTTAGCAGCTGTGTGACCTGGGACAGGGTGCTTACCTTCCAGACTTTAGTTCCCTCACTGTACAACAGGGACAGGGATCATACCTTTCTCTGAGAGTTGAAGGAAGAAGTGAAACCAAACACAGCCCCATGACAGCCCCTTATGCATGGTAGGCACTCAGCAGGTGCTGGCTCCCTTACGGCCCGAAGGAATCGATTGACAAACTCTCAAATTAATGACATAATTCAAGAGAGTAGCTGCGGAGACAATAAATAATTATAGTAGCTGATGTGGTTTGGATGCGTGTCCCCTCCAAGTCCATGTTGAAATGTGATCCCCAGCATTGCAGGAGGGGTCTGGTGGGAGTTGATTGGATCAGGGGGGCAGATTCCTCATGAATGGCTTGGGCCATCCCCCTGGTGATGAGTGAGCAATTTGGTCGATTAAAAGAGTGTGTCACCTCCCTATTCTTTTGTTCCCACTCTTGCCATGTGACACATTGGCTCCCCATCGCCTCCCACCATGATCGTAAGCTACACCAGAAGCAGATGCTGGCACCACGCTTCCTGTACAGGCTGCAGAACTGTGAGCCAATTAAGACACTTTTCTTTATAAATTCCCCAGTCTCAGGTACTCCTTTGTAATAATGCAAACAGACTAACACATTAGCCATAGCCATTTATTAACATAATTTTAAAAGATTTCAGTCTTGTGCTGAAATTGTTATGTTGATGGTTACACATTTGTCAAAACTTAGTGACCTGTACACCTAAAAGGATGAACTTAATTGTGTGTAAAGTATACCTTAATAAACTTGACTTTACAAAAAAAATCCCTCTTTTTTTTTTTTGAGATTGGGTCTCACTCACCCAAGCTGCAGTGCAGTGGCACAATCTCGGCTCACTGCAACTTCCACTTCCTGGGTTCAAGCAATCCTCCTGCCTCAGCCTCCCAAGTAGCTGGGATTACAGGCGTGCATCACCACACCTGGTTAATTTTTGTATTTTTTAGTAGAGATGGGGCTTTACCATGTTAGCCAGACTGGTCTTGAACTCCTGATCTCAAGTGATCTGCCCGCCTCGGCTTCCCAAAGTGCTGGGATTACAGGTGTGAGCCACTGCCCCCAGCCTTTATATCTCTTGACTGTCACAAAATGCATATTTTATTTAAGTTTGCCATAAACAGAACATTTTTACATACTGTATTGTAACAGTATATAATACAATACATACCGTATTGTATTGTGTGTAGTACAATACATAGCGTATTGTATTGTGTGTAGTACAATACATAGCGTATTGTATTGTGTGTAGTACAATACATACCGTATTGTATTGTGTGTAGTACAATACATACCGTATTGTATTGTGTGTAGTACAATACATACCGTATTGTATTGTGTGTAGTACAATACATGTATGTAATACAATACATACTGTATTGTATTAATCAGATATGTTGTCCTGTGTTATTAAAATCATCCCTTGTGGCCCAAATTTGAAGGCAGTACTCTGTTCCTGGGTGTGCACCGTTAACTTCTTTAATGAACATCCTGCTGTTCAATAGTGAGGCTGCATCCTTCTAGAAAGCGCTGTTGAGAGGTGTGAGGAGGCTGCCACGCAGGCCGCGCCGCCCCGAATGGCAGGTGGAAGGCGGCTGAGTGGAGCCGCAGCAAATGCAACCCTGCCCCCGAGCCAGGCCCCAGGCTGCACCTTTCCACTGCTTCACACCAGCAGTGCTTTACCTGGAAAGGTGTCTGAACAGTGCTTGCAAAGGTAACTGGCATTCTGCCGGCTGCTCAACTCTGTGGACACCAGTACAGTCAACAACTCTCACTCGCCGCGGGCACCTGCTGTGCCCACCTGCTGCCATCTGAGTGTCACGACCACACCCCCATCCCTGTCCTTTCACGCACTGTCTGCCCGCACACACTCTTCCACCCTCTGTCGGCAGGGCCCCTGCCACCTCTGAAGCCCCCTGCCAGCTCTCGGCAGCCCCCTCCTCCCCCTGGCTCCCGTGTCCTGCCCACCTCCCCACACTGGCACCTCCTGAGCAGCCCTGGCTGAGCATGCACTCTGAGGGCAGACCCTGGCCGGGCACCAAGATACAAAAGGTTATGAGGGTGTTCTCTTGAGGAACTGAGTCCAGTGTGAACAGTGAACACAGAAACATAAAGGGACACCAGAATCCCCATCCCCATCCCCAGGGTGGTGAGCCACCGAGGGGGGCCAGGCACGGGGGAGGGTATTCAAGGGCGGCAAGCCACCAAGGGGACGGGGCAGGCACAGGGAGGGCATTTCAGAGAGTGCAAGGAGGCGGCGAAGATGCTGGTTGAGGGCACGGGTGAGGCGGGGAGGCGTTTCGACTTTGGACTGAAGGCCTTAATTGACCAAGGCGGTAATTTCCAGTCCTGTGACCTCACGACAGGCTGGACATTGGAGGATGGGATGACACTGGCTCTTCTGGGGTAACTTGTCTGGGTTTAAGGTTCTTGATGGGGTTTAGGACATGGCGGGACCCTAAGGATGGTGCCAGCATCTGAATTCTCTGCCGTCTTGCAGAGTCAGGATTCTGCAGCTACTTGCCCAAGAAAAAGTAGAGAAAGGTGGTTTCATGTTTTTTTTTTTTTTTTTTTTTTTTTACTGCTTTGAAGGGAGGTGTGGGACTCGTTTGCACACACAGTTAATATTTCCAAGGCTTGTGCAGGGCCAGACAGATTTGGTTGCAGCTGTTAGTTTTACTTCCTGTCCCGATAAAGGAGGGTGCTTGCCTCAGCTCTCACCTGCTGCCATAACAAAGCTCCATGGACCGGGCCGCCTAAATGCAGACACATACTCAGCTCTGGAGGCGGGAGGTCTAGATCAGGGCGTCCGCATTGTCAGGTTCTGGGGAGGGCTCTTCCTGCTTTGCAGGTGGCTTTTTTCTCTGTGTCCTCCTGTGGAATGAGAGCAAACTATAGTCTCTTCCTCTTCTTACAAGGACACTAATACCATCATGGGGGCCTCACTCTCCTGACCTCACCGCAACCTAATTACTTTCCAAAGGCCCCACCCCCTACCACCATCGCCCTCGGGGTTAGGGCGCCTGGGTACACATTTGAGGAGAGGGCACAGCCGTTCAGTCCATGACCACATTGCATGTTCCAGGGAGGAACTGGAGAGAGGCTGCTGTTTGCTGGGCACCTGAGCTGGTTATAGATGTTAAATCCTCACGGTAGAAAATGTGGAAAATACAGAAACAATTATAATGCATAATCCTACAATTCAGAGATCATCACAGCAGACATATGGGTCCATTTCTTCTGGTCAGTATTCATTTACAGCGAGGCGGACAGACTCATGCTGTAATTGAGTCATGCTATGTATTTGTTTCAGGTCCCGCTTTTTCTTTCCACTTAAGACAATATCATTCATTTCCTGTATCATTAAAAATATTTGCGGTCGGGTGCGGTCGCTCCTACCTGTAATCCCAGCACTTTGTGAGGCCAAGACGGGCAGATCACTTGAGGTCAGGAGTTCGAGACCAGCCTGGCCAACATGGTGAAACCCCCATCTCTACTAAAAATATAAAAATTTGTCCACCTGGGCCAGTGCGTGATTCCGAAGACTACATTTGAAGTCCAGCCTTGCAGCTTTCCAAAAACCCGTGCCTCCCTCTTTCTGCTTGTAAATGTCCCTCACAACTGGTTTCCCAGAAAAATTGTGAGGATGAGCGAGGTGTTGCTTGTGGAAGTTACTTTGGAGGGAAAGTGTTTGTGACACCCCATGGGTGTGGCCCATGGGGCTCCTGAGGGTGGATGGATGTGGGAGTGGACAGGCCTGGCTCCTTTTCTTGGTGGGCTGGGCTGGGCTATGAGCAGGAGCTATGGCCGTGGCTGACCCTTCTGCAATGGGAGCTGAGCAGTGGTACAGTTAGATAGCTGCGCAGATGGTCCGATGGCCCGGCCTCCAAGGCCTTGAGTGATGGGATGACCATGACCACTGGATGTCTCTCAATAGGCTTTGCCTTAACCATGCCAGCAGTTCCCCCATCTGCTTTATCAGCCCTGGTATGTACATCAGATTGGCTAAGGGTGCAAAACTGGAATGCTATTAAATTCCAGAGGCTCTGGTCGCTTGAAAAGATGAGCTGAAAATAAGATAAAATTTCACAGGGTTAAAGGCAGGCTTTGCACTCTGGTTTAAGTATAGAGTCGTCCATTCATGAGAGTATAGGTTTGGGAGACAATAGCATTGAAGAGGCTTGAGCGCACACTCAGAACCAGTGGCTCTTTCTTAGTCTGTCCATGCTGGCTATACTGCAGCCCCCCTCAACTGGAATCAGATGTGGCCCAACCATGAATACTTTGGACAAAGCTCCCCCAAGTCAGGCATGCCCTCTTGTTAGGGAAGGTGGATTCCTGACCTGAGTCCATCTGGAGGTCCAGGCAGGAATTAGAACCACTTCAGAAAAGCTCTGCACAGATTTAATTGCACGAGTACCTGCGTCTCAGAGCTGCAGACTGAGTGTGTTGTGCAATTGTTGGGCGGCTTTTCCCTTGGCCACAGTAGATTCGCAATTAAGAAAAACAAATGCAGCTCTCAGTCAGAAGTGTGCAAGGTTTGCTTGGTCTGGAGACAGCAGCTTCTGTGCTCTGGGGTAGTGAGGAAGTGTGTGGGCAGGTTGGCAAATAAGCCACATGTATGTCCCCTGGGCTCAGCCCCCATCTTAGTGGGCACACCAGGGCCCACGAGATCTGGGGACTATTTATGTAGGGTCTGCTGGGGCAGGGGTGTGGGTGGGTGTGCGCTGCTTGTGTTGTTGAATTGGGATTTTTCCAGCCAGACCAGTCTGCTGGGACAAGCCTTCTGGCTCTGGGCCAAAGGCCTCCCCAGCTGTGATCCATTCAGGCCTAGAAAGCTGGGGGTGCTGACTGCCATCACCCACTGGCCTCCATGGTGTGTCCACAGAGGGCCACCTTCCTGCAGGGCTGAGCTACTTCTGTCTGGGTGTAGCTTCTTGTAAAGTCCCTAGCAGGGTTGCTCCCTACAACCCACCCCTCCCCATTTTCTCTTTCTCTCTGCATGACTATTATTCACTCTTCAAGTCTCTGTTTAGATGTCACCTCCTCTGGGAAGCCTTCCCAGATTCCAGGTGGGGCTGGAGGCCCTTCTGCGGACTCCCCTGGCATCCTGCACTCACTCACCTATGGCACATATCATTGGCCGCAAAATCTCCTGGGCACTTATCACACTGCGGGTTCCTTGAAAACAGGAATCATTCTTGTTCTCTGCTGCATCTTAGGATGGTGACTGGCACATAGTAGGAGTCCAATTAAGAATGTTTTGAATAAGCGAAAGAGTGCCTAAATGAGACTTCTATTCCAGCTTGAAGACCAGCCCACCACCCTGATAAGAAAGTTCAAGTGTGGGAACCGCTGGGGATCTTGATGGCCTGGGACCTCTGGATCAGTGCTTGTGCAGGACAGAGGCAGCCCCGGAGTTCTCATGGGGGCTGGTGAGCAGAGTGGGGCCCCAGGATGCCTGATGGCCCGGTCTGAGGTGTGCAGGTGCCCCTGAGGTGGGCACCACCCAGGAGATGCATGTATCTGTGAAATACCAGATAGGCCCTTAGTCTAAGCAAGGAGGCATCTAAGCTCCTTAAAGATTCCACAAGGATGTTACGTTGTGCTTTGAACAACAGAGACGTGGCTCTGCTGAGCCCCAGCCAAAGCTCTGCACAGGGACCTTGACTCTCCCTTCCCGCTGTGTGGCTCCAGCAAGTTTCCTCCCACCTCAGGTCTGGGTTTCCAGGCATTAAGTGACAAAGTGGATGCGACGCTCCTTCTGGACTGTAATGCGCACTGCGTGGAGATGTTCGTGTTCCAGTGTAGACAGGGCGTTGTCACATCAGGCAGGACTACAGGGACAATGTTTGTCAGCCTGTCTTCTGGGCAACTTGGGGTATCCTCCCTTTATATCACCTCCTGCCCAGGTGCTCTGCGCCGCCAGAGCATCATGTCATTTGGGATCCCTGATGGCAATTTTGAGACTTTGGTTCACAGTAAAGATTGGTCCTGTGTGATCTTAAAGTAATGTGGCTTAAAAACAAATGGCTGTCAGGGAATTGTAAATCAAAGCAAACACCGATGAGAATGGCCCAAATCCAGGACACTCAGCACCAAATGCGAGGGAGGATGTGAAGCCACAGGAAGCCTCACTCACTGCTGGTGGGAACGCAAAACAGTACAGCCACCTTGGAAGACAGTTTGACAAATCCTTAGAAAGCTAAACACACTTTTACCCTGTGATCCAACAATCATGCTCCTTGATATTTACCCAGAGGAGTTAAAAAAACTTATGTCCACACAAAAACCTGCACATGGGTGTTCATAGCGACTTTATTCACGATTATTCATAACAGCTGGAACTTGGAGGCAGCGAAGGTGTCCTTCAGCAGGTGAATGGATAAATTAGCTGTGGTGCATCCAGACAATGGAATATTATTCCACAGCACTAAGAAGAAATGAGCTAGCAAGCCATGAAAAGACATGGGGGAACTCATCTGCATATGAGTAGGTGAGAGAAGCCAATCTGAAAAGGCTATGCCTATGGAGGATTGCAACTCTATGATATCCTAGGAAAGGCAAAGCGATGGAGATAATAAACAGATCAGTGGTTCCTACGGGTTAGGAGGGAGGGAGGGATGAGCAGGCAGAGCACAGGGCATTTTTAAGGCAGTGAAACTGCTCTGTGTGATACTGTAGTGGGGGAGCCATGTCATTGCACAGTTGTCAAAACCCATAGAATATACAGCACCAGCAGTGAGTCCTAATGTAACCTACGGACTTGGGTGATAATGACGTGTGAAGAGACAAGGCGGGTTCATCCGTTGTAACAAACAGCCACCCTGGTAGTAGGGAGGGCAGGAGGTATGTAGAGAACTCTGTGCTTTCCACGCGATTTTGCTGTGAACTAAACAGCTCTAAAAAATAAAGTTCATTAATTAAAAAAAAAAAAAAAAAAAAGGGAAATGACCACATGCAAAGCACTGCGTGGAGGGCCACGCATCCCAAGCAAGTCAGCTAGAGTAGAGGCAGGAACCAAACAGCTCTATGAGGTTCTGGATGAGAAGCCGCATGCACCACCCCCTCCCTGCTCCCGTGTGGGACCCAGTGAAGACCTCCTGTGCCCGGCTGCAGCTGCTGAGTGTGGGAGTGTGCTCTCCACAGCAAACCAGCCGTGAAGGCTGCACACCTTCCTGTTTCTGCCCAGCCACACCACAGGGCACTCAGCCCTTTTCCTGAGCACTTGAAGCTGCGTTTCCTCGAGCTCCTTCCTGTTTAAGAACAGGAGGGGAGTGGCGGCTCGCTTGTGCACCACTCTCCAGGGCAGTGGTGTGCGGGACACCCTGCAGCACCTTTGACTCCTCCTCTGGGAATGAGGCGTGGTTTAATCTGCAACCCCTTACCATTAGAGTCTGCAACTAGTCAAAAGGTGAATCTGGCTGGGCGCGGCGGCTCATGCCTGTCATCCCAGCACTTTGGGAAGCTGAGGCAGGAGGACTGCTTGAGCCCAGGAGTCCTGACCAGCCTGGGCAACATAGTAAGACCTCCTCTCTACAAAAGTAAACAAAACTAGCCTGGCGTGGTGTCATGTGCCTGTGGTCCCAGCTACTCAGGAGGCTGAGGTAGGAGGATCACTTGAGCCCAAGAGGTTGAGGCTGCAGTGAGCCAAGATCGCGCCACTGTGCTCCAGCCTGGGTGACAGAGTGAGACCCACCCCCCTTTTTTTTCAGACCGCATCTTGCTCTGTTGCCCAGGCTGGAGTGCAGTGGCACGATCTCGGCTCACTGCAACCTCCACCTCCCAAGTTTAAGCAATTCTTTTGCCTCAGCCTGCCAAGTAGCTGCGATTACAGGCACCTGCCACCACACCCAGCTAATTTTTGTATTTTTAGTAGAGACTGGGTTTCACTATGTTGGCCAGGCTGGTCTCAAACTCCTGGCCTCAAGTGATCTGCCCACTTCAGCCTGCCAAAGTGCTGGGATTACAAGTGTGAGCCACCCAGCCCTGAGTGAGACCCTTTCTCAAAAAAAAAAGAAAAGAAAAGAAAAAAAAGGTAAATCTAAGAGGTGACCAGTAGGGGAATATATTTGTCGAGTCTCCTCACCTCAGCACTGTTGCCATTTGGAGAAGCATAATTCTTTGGTGTGTGCGGGGAAGGGGGGGCTGTCCTGTGCATTGTGGGGTATTGAGCAGTATCCTTGGCCCTACCCATAAGATGCTGGTAGGCATGTCCCCTCAACTCCCCAGTTGTAATAACCAAAAATATCTCCAGACATTGCCAAATGTACCCGGGAAAATCACTCAGGTTGAAGTCACTAAATTATATGTGTGTACATATAATTACACATGCATATACATCGCGTACACACACACACCCACACACACACACACCTTTTGCTGGTGGCTCTGGATTGGTAAGCTGGCTCCATGGCAAGAATCAGCATCCTAATACTTGCCCCACCCTTTAAAATAAACTTCCCAATCCTAGGCAGACAAAAGAACAACCCCAGACCTCCTCCCTCAGGGTGGGGACAAGGTGAGGGAGGTGGCGGCCCGGCAGGAAGGTCATTTCTTTCTTCAGTCACATCAGATGAGCTGCTTCCCCTCACTAGGAGTGGATGGGGCTGCCAGTGGTGTTCTTGCAAAATACCCCTTGTGGGAGGAGAGGGGTGGAGGGAGAGAACACCCTCCACACATCCCCGTGGGATGTCTGGAGGGAAGGGTTTTGGGCACCCACCCTGGGGAGAGAGGAGAGCCCAGGTTACCATCTGTGGTGTCCCCTCGCTCACACTCACTACTGCCCTCCACAAACTGCCATGCTTGCTTGGTGCACGGTGCTGTGCTGGGCACTGGGGCAAGGCCCCCTCCCCCATGGGGCTACAGATGCTAATCTGCAAATCCCAGAAAAGTGGAATCTCGGTGGCAGAGTGGATGAAGGGGAGGTGCTCAGTGCTATGAAAGCCAGCAGCTGGGAGTTTCAGGGGCTTCCCTAGGGAGGGACCCTGAGCTGGGGTCTGAAGGAAGAGCAGTTCACTGGGGAGTTAGGGAGTGTTCTAGGCAGAGTAAACAGTGCAGTGGCAGCCGGGGCTGGCACTTTTAAAGAAAGCCTCAAGACTTCTCTTTCTGATTGTGAAGTGAGCTGAGCAGACTGAAATCAAAGATGTGAAAATAAAGATAGAGGCGACAGGCTGGGTGCGGTGGCTCATGCCTGTAATCCCAACGCTTTGGGAGGCCGAGGTGGGTGGATCACAAGGTCAAGAGATGGAGACCATCCTGGCCAACATGGTGAAACCCCGTCTCTACTAAAAATACAAAAATTAGCTGGGCATGGTGGCACACGCCTGTAATCCCAGCTACTTGGGAGGTTGAGGCAGGAGAATCACTTGAACCCGGGAGGTGAAGGTTGCAGTGAGCCAGCCTGGCGATAGAGCAAGACTCCGTCTCAAAAAAAAAAAAAAAGATAGAGGTGACAGGAAGACCCCACCATGAGTGGCCTCCACTGAGTGCGCATGTGAGTGAGCAGCTGTGCGGTGGTCCTTGCCATCTTCCCATCAGCCCCTCCCAGCCCCTGGGCCTGGAGAGGCTGAGAATCTGACCTAAGGCTGCCCAGTGGCGTGAGGCTGGCCTGCCGAGCTTACGTCCCTGGGGGACTCCAGGACCCCAGTGCTTCCTACTGGTGGCTTCAGCTCCCGGTCACTTGTCGGGAATGCAGGGCTGAACCCCTGGAGGTTGTGTGGGACAGGGCCCAGGAATCTGCATTCTAGCAAGCACCTGCTCCAGGCTTGCTTCCCTGGCAGGGAGGCTTGGTGATCCAAGTTCCTTGGGTGCAGACACTTGCTGCTTCTCTCGGAGGCCGGGCTGGGCTGTGATTTTTTCATCCAATGTGCTGGGCTGATTTCACTTGCGGATGCAGAATGAGAAGCTGTAGAGGAGATCACGGCAAGCTGTCTGCATGGACGATGGCAGAATCCGGTGTCTGCTTGGCCGCGTGGTGTCACTAATAGGATTTGCCGAGCCTTTTGGATGTTTGTGGCGCGACGGCTGCTGTGGGAACCCAGAGGCTGCTCATTTGCAGGGAATGAATAATTTATTTCTGTTTTCAGATGACTTATTCCTTCATCTGCAGCCGAGCCCCCACATGTTCTGTAGGCTCCTGATTAAGTGATTTCAGCAGGAGAATTTGGCTTAATCCCCCACTGCCCTGGACGCCTGGTTCCAGGCTGCTGATTTGTCGGCCTCGTGTCGGGGGGTGTCCGGAGCCTCTCCTCTCTGGGGGCTTTTCTTCCTGCTCTGCCTGTTTGGGAAGCCTCTGGCCACTGAGCATGTGCTGGCCTTGGGTTTTACGGCTGTCTGGCAATTAGAATATTAATGTCGATAACACAGCAGGACTTGCGTGTGACAAGCTGAGCCACATAACGTCACAGTCGCTCTTGAACATCTCGGACTTTCACATGGGCCAGCCACACCCCAGCCTAGGTTGCTCCCTCACCTCCTCAGGGCCTCCCTGATGTCGGTTTAGACATGTGCCTTCCATCTTGCCTGGGCCACCATGTTGATCCTCTGGGTCCATTGCTCAAGAGCCCACCATGGCTCCCTGTTGCCAAATGCAGCCTGAATTCAGTATTCAAAGCCCTCCGTGAATGGGCTTGGTCCTTCCTCCCTGGCCTCTCTTGCGTGGCTCCATGCTCTGAGCTGCCTACTCGCTGACTCATTCATTTAATGTTTATTCTTTGGTTGTTGTTTCAGCACTGAGTGGGTCTGTGGAATCATTTACATGTTTATTGAGAGTCCCCCTGGCTGCAGATGCTGGGCAGGGGCTTTGATGTGGGGAGAAAGACCCCCCCCCAGGTTACAGGTAAGCCCTCCCAAGTGGCCCAGGGCCCTGGGAGGGGGTGAGGTTGTGTGAGATGGCAGTGTGGGAGAGTCTCAAATTTTTGGCATCTTTAATCTGCCCACTGGGTGAGATTGAGGACTCAGGTGGGTGTCAGGGGCTTTGAATGCCAAACCACAAAGGTCTGCAGGCTGGGGGAGCTGCAGGAGGTTGTCATCAGTGGCAGGGGCCTTGGAGCTTGGTGGAGGAGACCACGCTTCAGATGGCCAGCTGGAGCACCCCCCACCAGCCCCGCTGCCTGGACCCCTTCCACCTCTCCATGGACCCACCTCAGGCCCTACCCACCCTCTGCACCGCCTTGCACGGCATTGCTTAATTTCACTGCAATGGCTCACTGGGGCTGCTTTCCTCCCTCTCTTATTGCTCTCTGGGTGAGAGTTGGTCTCTGGCCTCCACATGAGGCAGGGACAGTGCCCAGGGAGTGGCCAGTGGGAGAAGCGGGGCTTGCAGGCCAGGTGGGCCCAAGTGTGATTCCTGGTGCAGTGCTGGTGGCTGTGTCGCCCGGGGCAAGTGGCTCAGAGCCTGTTTCTCATCTGCAGATGGGGGGATGGTCTGTACCTGTCCAGCACCCATGAGGAGCAGGTGGAACAGGATGTGGCAGTCAAGGGCTCCTGAGGGGACCCGTAAGTGCCACATTCAGCCTTCTGTGTTAAGGACCATGAGTCCAAAGAGTAGTCGCGTGTGAATCCACCTCCTTGTGCCAGCCTCACGGCCTCCTCAGGAAGGGCATGGAGGAGCAGTGGGATGCCCACGGTACCGTGGAGGAAGCAGTCCTGGAGGAAGGGTGACTGGCCGAGGGCCATGCGGTGACGCACTGGGGACTGGCTCTAGCTGCTGTGGGGCACGTCCACGTGGAGAAGCGCTTGGTGTATTCCCCCACCCTCTCACCCCCACAGCGTTCCTGGTGCTCTGGGTGCCTGCTGTTTCTGAGCCATCTAGGTGGGCACAGGGACAACCTCACCAGGGACAGTGTGGCCCCATGCTGGTAAGCAGGCGATACTGACCCTGGTTCCAAACTGCATTCCTGTTGGTCCTTTGTCTTGCTCTTCCGGTATCATTACGAACACAACTTTAGAAAGTTTAACAGTGGTACTCAGAGAGGCTTGTGGCCCCAACTCATGTGACAGTGACCAACAGGTGAAAGGTGACTTGTGGTCTGAACACCTGCAAGGGACACTTATTCCGATGCCTGAATCTTTGCATCTCTGCCCAGCAGATGACAGCACCTGGAGTGTTAGCTGGTCATACCTGGACCTGCGAGTGTAGGTAAGACCCTTCTTCTCAGGGCCTGTTTGCTCAACTGCACGATGGAAGGGTTGGGCAAGATGGATCTTTCCTTTCTTTTCTTTTCTTTTCTCCTTTGCAGTTGAACATTTTTCTTGCCACTGAAATCACAGGTGGAGGTCTGTGTGTTCGGCAGGTGAATGGCCATGCAGGGGTGGAGGGAGGCCTGGATGCTTTTTCTTCCCTGCACTCGCAGGCCCCCCATGGGACCCTCAGCCCCCAGAGGACAATTGGAGGCTTCTGGACTAGGGTTCTAAGGTCTCCTGAGAAGGTCAGAGGCTCGTTGTCCGGCCAAGACAGACAGCAGACAGTTGGCGTGTCTCAGGGTAGGAGGCTCCCCAAATAGAAAGTACTGGATTGGGAGCGGATTTATTGTTCCCTGCCTCCCCGGGGCCGTCGGCATTTCCCCTGTGGCTGCCTCACTGTTCTGATGTTGGCAAAGGTTTGTTTTATCTTCCTCCTTCCAGAACAGGAGGTGCCTCAGTGCCTCAGATGCTGCCTGAGAAGGTCAGTGGCATCTGGGAGCCATGGTGAGGGTGGCAGTGACTGGGCTCGGGAGGTTCCAGAATTCTGTTAGTGAGCAGTGAGCTGTTTTATTTTCCTTCCTGCCTATGGAAGGTCCTGAGTGAACAAACAAGTTTCAGTCTCAAGACAACACATCGTGTTTCGAGGTGACCTGTCCCCACCCCACCCCTGTCACTGGGAGAAGACTGCAGGTCTCACGGTCTCCCGTCTGTCTCTGCTGCCCCCAGGTCCAGGGACTCCTGCGATTTCTCTCCCTGGTGCCTGGTATTTTTGTAGCACTCTCTGGTTTTCAAAGTTTTCCTACAACAATTGTGCTTAAAATGAAATATAAACTCCATCCCCAGCCCCCAAGTCCCACTCCCTGCCGACCTCGTCTCTTACTGGGAAGGCCCATCTTTGTCACCAGCAGCAGCTGTGAGTGCCTCGTCAGTGTTTAAGAGTCCAGGTCGCTGCAGCATCTTGGTGTGTACTGTGGACCCATTGTGTGTGTGCCCCCAAATTCCTGTGCTGAGACCCTCACTCCGAGTAGGATGTTATTAGGAGGCGGGGCCTTTGGGAGGTAATTTGGTCATTAGTGCCCTTATAGGAAGAGGATGCGAGCCAGACCTGCCTCTGCTGTCTACCAGGCAAGTATATAATGAGAAGGTGACGTAGGAGGCGGGACTCGACTCCAGAGGCAGGACTCAGACACCAGACCAAATTGAGGACTAGCTACAACAGGGCCAGGGTAGAAACAGCTTTCCCTAAGACGTGCCCACCAGTGTGCATGTCAGTTTACCACTGCCATGGTAATACCCGGAAGTTACGGCTCCTTTCCGTGGCAATCATCTGACGACCTGGAAATTACCACCCTTTTCCTAGAAATTTCTGCATAATCCACCCCCTAATTTGCATGTAATTAAAAGTGGGAATAAATCTGATTGCAGTGCCGCCTCTGAGCTGCTGCTCTGGGCACACTGCCTGTGGGGTAGCCCTGCCCCGCAAGGAACAGTCCCTCTGCTGCCGCTGGGCACAGCTGCTTCAGTAAAATTGCTAATACCACCGGCTCACCCTTGAATTCTTTCCTGAGTGAAGCCAAGAACCCTCCTGGGCTAAGTCCCAGTTTGGGGGCTCACCTGCCCTGCAAGATCAGGAGCCATCTGTACACCAGGAAGACAGCCCTCCCCAGAACTCAACTGTGCTGGCACCTTGATCTTGGACTTCCAGCCCCCAGAACTGTAAGAGGTAAATGTTTGTTATTGAAGCCACCCAGTCTATGGTAATTTGTTAGAGTGGCCTGGAGGAAGACACAGTATTAAGTAAGGCTTCGTGTCTGACTTCACTGAACACTGCGGTTGTGAGACGCATCTGTTGTGTGGGGCACTGAGGTTCATTCTGATTGCTTTATGGGACTCTGTTGTGACTGTACTCCAGTTTCTCTGCCCGTGGAATGTACATGGATGTTTGGATAGTTTCCAGGGTGGGGCTGGGACAAATTGTGCAGCTCTGAGTGTTCCTGCACATGCTTTGTCTTGGACATGTGTCCTTCTTTCTGTTGGACATACATGAAGGAGGTCAGCTGCTGCTTCACGGGGCATGTGTGTGGTCATCTTTAGTAAATATGCCAGTTTTTCAAAGTGGTCATAGACAGTAGATTCCTTTTATTATGTGACAAGAGCTCAAATGCCCTGGTAGTGGGAGTGGCAGCAGGAGCTACAGTAAGACATTGCACATTCTCTGGAAGTCAGGGATCCCTGCCAGTCAGTTCCCAGTGCCCCAGGAACCAGGGGTTTGGTGCTGGGCACTAGTCATGACCACTCGCGGCTCAGGTGTTGGGTGGTCTTTCCAGACCTTCACCTGTGTGAAGCTTGCAACCTGGATGGTCTCATGTGGACATCTTGGCTTCCACCCTGTGCTCTGTGTCTGGTCTCAGACCACAGCCCACCCTGGTGGTCTCCTCAGGACACATAGGCTCCTCTGTAACTCAGTTTCTTGAATTGAACAATGGAAGAAAATGCCTCTATGAAGAGAGGTCATTGTGCAAAACGTCTGTGTGACAGTATTCTTGGAGCAACTGTGCTTATCACCCGGAGGCCACAGTGGAATTAGTCATTTGAAAACCAGTCACCTCCAAAATAGTCATAATCCAAAACCATCCATCTTTGACTTCAGACTCCATTATAATTTTTTCTCCCTAAGGGACTTTGCTTTGTAATTATGTTGGATTTCCTAATATATTAAAATAATTTGTCATCTCTTGAGCACACATCTGCCTGCTATGAGCAAGCAGGAGAGGCCACTTCCGGTTTTCTGCAGGTCCCAGTGAGCATGTGAAGCCTGCGCCTGGGCAAGAGGTTGGATACTGGGAGGAAGAAGCTTTTCCAGTACCCTTTCCCAAAGACCAGCCAGTGAGGGAAATGGGCACCGAATGCACCCCACCCCCCGGCCTGGGACTGGGCCAAGAAGGAGGAACTGACCCCAGAAATGGCCCCGGAACCATAACCTGCTTACACTGTGACCTGCAGTGCCCATGGTGGCAGCCTGGGCTGTTTCTGGAGTTGAGCGGAGAGTTCCTCCAGTCTAAACTCCTTAGAGAACATGAATATTCCTGAGGGCCTGGGGTCCGGCACCACCTTCAGTGGACTGGATCACCTTCTTGAAGGCAGAGAGATCTTAAGAGCTTATGTCTGACTGCCTACCCGATGCCCAGCACTAATCTGCATGCACCCCACTGGGCCATGGGCTTCTCAAAGGTGGGGACGCTGTCCCTGTACCTAACACACATGGTGGGCACTCGGCCTAGGTTTGCAGGGCCTGCTGGGGAGTTCTCCAAGGCAGTTTTATAGCTCAGCTCCAGCACCTTCCTGGGGGCCCAGTCCTGGATTTGAGGCTGCCAGGGGGGTTTGCAGTCAGCTAAGTTGGTACCCATCCATCCCTTCCCCTCTGTAAGGGGTGACAAGCACTAAGACCTGTTATGTCCCCTGGAAGCTCTACACTCTGTCCCCTTGCTCTTGTGACTCTGCTCTTTGCTCTCCTGTCCACTGGCATATAGGAGTAGGAGGATATTGACTTAGATTCCTTTTTATTATTTTTGTTTAAATCAGCTTTGTGGAAATGTAATTCACATACCCTACCATTTACCCATTTAAAGTATACAATGTAAAGTATACAATTCAGTGATTTTTAGCATATTCACTTGTATGTGCAATTATCACCATGGTCAATTTTAGAGTGCTTTCATCACTCCAAAAGGAAACCCGTACCCTTTACCTGCTAGCCCCTCTTTCCCCATCCGCTCTTCTGCCAGCCCCAAGAAACTACGAATCTACTTTCTGTCTCTGTTCTGGACATTTTATATAGATGGAATCATACCACATTTGTCCTTTTGTGTCTGGCATCTTTCATTATATTTTTGGGGTCTTGTTGCTGTTTTTGTGACAGAGTCTCGCTCTGTTGCCCAGGCTGGAGTGCAGTGGCACGATCTCAGCTTACTGCAACCTCTGCCCCTCCAGGTTTAAGCAGTTCTCTGCCTCAGCCTCCGGAGTAGCTGGGATTACAGGCGCGTGCCACCACACCCGGCTAATGTTTTGTATTTTTAGTAGAGACGGGATTTCACCATCTTGTCCAGGCTGGTCTTGAACTCCTGACCTCGTGATCCACCCACCTTGGCCTCCCAAATTGCTGGGATTACAGGCATGAGCCACTATGCCAGGCTGTTGTTGTTTTTTAAGACGTGGTCTCGATCTATCCCTCGGGCGGGAGTGCAGTGGCATGACCATAGCTCACTGCAGCCTTGAACTCCTGGGCTCAAGTGATCCTTCTGCCTCAGCCTCCTGAGTAGCTGGGACTACCCCCATGCACCACCATGCCTAGCTTGTTTATTTATTTAGTAGCGATGAGGTCTCACTATGTTGCCCAGGCTGGTCTCGCAGTGCTGGGCTCAAGCGATCCTCCCACCTTGGCCTCCCTTAGGGCTGGGATTACAGGTGCGAGCCACCACACCTGGCCAAGAATTGGTATTCCTTAAATATTTGTAGAATTCAGTAGTGAAGCTATTTGGCCAGGGCTTTTCTTTGTGGATAGTGTTTTGATTACTAATTCAATCTCTTCACGTGTTATAAGTCTTTCAAATTGTCTCTTTCTTGAGACAGTTCTGGTAGTTTGTGTCTTTCTACTTGGCTTAGATTTTGCAGGCCTCCCCTGCTCTTTCAGTCATAGTTGACATTTATTGAGTTCTTTCTATGTACCAAGCATTTGTTGTGCATTAGCTCATTTAATCTTTACAAAAACTTGATGAGCTAGGTAGTACTATTGTCATCTCCATTTTACAAATGCGGGAGTGGAAGCAGGGAGAGGTGAGATAACAGGTCAAGGTCACACTGTTAGGAAATAGGAAACAGTCCAGCTGGGCTTTGATTCCAGACAGTCCAGCCATGCAGCCCCTGGCCTTGCCACCTCCCTCTGCCATTCTCCAGAGACTCGGAGAGGGGCCTAAGGCCTGACATGAACGAAGGGCTGGGGGAGGTGGGGTCGGAAGGGCCCCAGGAAAAGCGTGTGTGTGAAGGGCTCAGACTCCCAGTTGGGGAGTTCGGATGTCCCCTTCTGGGGCTTTCATCTTCTAACCTCCTCTCCCAAGCGCTCAGCCAAAGGGCAGCACAGAGCACCCTACCCTAAGGTGTGACGCCCCAGCTGGCAGGACTTTGGAGCAGTAGATCTGTGCCCAGCAGGTCTGTATGAATCACCCAGGCCTCTGCATTTTGCTTTTCTAGAGGAAGAGGCATGGCAATTTGTAAGACAATCGCCAGACAGAAATCGGGAGCAACCAGACATAACTCAACATAATTATTTCTGCATAATGACTTCTGCTACTTGATTCTGTCTCGAGCAATGACTGTAATCTCTATCTGTCACTGGGAAGCTGGTGGCCAGGGAGCCCCTGTGGCTTAGAGATAGAGCCAGGAGGAAATTTGCAATTCGAGTTAATGGAGTGTTCCCAAGCAGCCTGAGCGCCAATTCCTTCAAGGTCTCCGGAACAGCAGACCCCCTTCCTGCTAGGAAGCCTGGTGTCAGAGCTGGCTGGGCCTCCTCTGCGGAGTCCAGCTCATCCACTTTGTCACAGATGGGGAAACTGGAAATGGCAGAGGTCACAGGATGTGCCCAAGGCACAGGCCAACCTGGAACCAGCACTTCCTCTCCACCCTCCCACCACCCAGCATTTTCCCCTTCAGCTGGCCTGGCTGTGGTGGGACAGAGGAAAGATGCCTCTGTGGAGCTGGTCACTGAGAGTGCTGGCCAGGCAGGGCTGCCCCCAGGAAGCTGGAGACAGTGGGGCCTTTGCAACCAGATAGCGAGGGACCTCAATGTGGAGATAGGGTGTGCTTGCTGAGCGTGCCAGCAGGCTTGTGCTCACCTGCTCCAGCTGGGGGCATGCAGAGGCCCCTCCTACCCCAGGAGGATGCTTATTCACTGCATTCCATGGCCTTTTAAAAATCCCCTTTAGGCCCGGGCGTGGTGGCTCACACCTGTAATCCCAGTACTGAGGGAGGCCAAGGCAGGCAGATGGCTTGAGCCCAGGAATTTGAGACCAGCCTGGGCAATGCAGTGAGATCTCATCTCTACTAAAAATGAAAAAAAAAAAAAAAAAGATTGGGGTGCACCTGTAGTCCCAGTTACTTGGGAGGCTGAGGCTGGAGGATTGCTTGAGCCTGGGAGGTTGAGGCTGCAGTGAGCTTTGATTGTGCCACTGCGCTCCAGCCTGGGTGACAGAGCGAGATCCTGTCTCCTGAAAAACAAACAAACAAAAAAAAAACCTTGTAACTAACCAGAGCAGCTGAAAAGAACAGAGCATGGGTTTGGGGATTTGTGTTTTGGGCGCCCCACACCCCATTTAGCCGAGTGTCACCTGAGCTGGTGTCCCGGAGTCTCTTTCCTTCTCCATAAACAGTTGAGAATGAGCTCTCTGCCAGGCCGGTAGGAAGGGGATGATGAAATGAGGACCTGGTACATTCTGCTGCTGGTTCCATTGCTGGGTTTCTCCTCGTGGAGAGCCCTTGACCCTGTCCAGGTCTTGATTTCTCGGAGTGTCAAAGCAGTGCGCACGGAGCTGTGAGATAAATTGGCTGAGATCATCGATTTGAAAACGCCGTGAGAAAATATGGGGCAAGGCAGAGAGCACAGAGGGGCTTTAGGGCAGCGAGCCCGCGCTATGTGATGCTGTAATGGTGGGTGCGCATCGGTACACGTTTGTCAAAGCCCACGGAGTGGCCCACGCCAAGAGGGAACCCTAACGTGAGCTGCGGACCTGGGGGGTGATGATGGTCAGTGCAGGTCCCTCAGTTGTAACAAATGGCCTGCTCTGGCAGGGGATGTGGATCGTGGGGAAGGCTGTGGCCGGGAGTGGTGTAAGGGGTGTGTGGGAACTTTCTGCTCAATTTTGTTGGGAAGACCTAAAAAATAAAATCTTTTATTTTATTTTATTTTTTTGAGACAACATTTCACTGTCACCCAGGCTGGAGTGCAGTGGTGTGATCTCGGCTCACTGCAACCTCAGCCTTCTGGGCCCAGGTGATCTTCCCACCTCAGCCTCCCAGGTAGCTGGGACTACAGGCACGCACCACCACGCATGGCTAATTTTTTGTATTTTTAGTAGAGATGGCATTTCATCATGTTGCCCAGGGTGGTCTCGAACTCCTGGAGTCAAGCAATCCACCTGCCTCAGCTTCCCAGAGTGCTGGGATTACAGGCGTGAACAATGGTGTCCAGCCTAAAATCTATCTTTAAAACACACACACACACACACACACACACACACACACACACACACACACTGCTATCTTAAAAGCATAGGGACCTTGCAGTGAGAATTTCTGGTGGGAAGATGTATGACTTTGTCAGGTCTTGAATTCTAGCAGTGAGTTTACATTCCATAATTGGCCTACAAAATTCTATATTTGGGAAACAGTAGAAATTTAACTCTGAGCAAGATACACCCTATTTCCAATCACACGTGATGCATCTCGGGGGCATTCATTTGTCAAACATTATTTGTTGAGCACCTGCTGTGTCCAGGCTCTGGACGCATAGACGTGAAACGGACGATTTCCTGACCTTGTGGCGCTCACAGTCAGGGGGGTGGGTTGGTGGGTGGGTGGAAGGAGGGGAGAGGTGCAGCACCCCCATTGTGCAGGAGCGAGGGGAGCCCCGCTGGCACGCCGCACTGTGCTGAGGCTGGGTGTTCTAGGGTGAACAAGCCACTTCGTCTAGTGGGTGCTTGTAAAGCGGGATCGTTGCTATGAGAGAGAGAACCTTGCGTTGGGAGAAAGTAATTAGGGAGTGTGCGGTAGATGCGGAAGAGAAACGGGCCGTCAGGTGAAGTGACTGTCAGGATTCCATCCTGGCTCGGCCCCTTGGAAGACACATGATCTTGCAGGTAATTAGCTCCTGTAAGCCTCCATTTTTCCCCGTCTGTCAAATGGGGATGATGATTGTGCCTGCCTCCCAGGGCTGCTGTGTGGATTACGTTGGATAATGAGTACAAATGCATAGACAGCCTTTAGCAAGGAGCCTGGTTGTATAGAGCTGTCGGCCTCAACACTGTTAATACACATATGTACCAGAGGCTGCAGGTTCACGGAGGAGGAGTCACCAATCCATGCCCGGGGAGCAGGCAGAGAAGAGGGAGGCGGGCCCGTCCCGAGTTCACGCCACGTGAAAGGTGCTTGGAACGCTTGTGCCAGAGCTGGCAGTGAGGGTTGAGGGTGGGAGTGGCCGAGCACCTAGACACCCGCAATGCAAATTTTCCTTCTCAGTCTCTGGATGGTTTTCTGAGCTGAGCTGCGGGCTGAATGTCAGGTGATGCGTCCTGACCTCTTCCTGAGCACCTAGTGTGTGCCCTGTGCTGGGCCCAGGAGGCATGCTGGGGGCAATGTGGGCCTCAAGGAGGAGGTCGGGTGATGAGGGGCCAACCCAGGTATGCCAGTCAAGAAACCGTGGAGGCTGGAGAGACCCTGAAGGGAGCAGGGCACAGTCGTGGGTGGCAGGCCTGGGTGTGCCTGATTCCACTGAACCCTCGTAACAGCCCTGGGTGCAGAGTGTAGAGTGCTGGGTGAGGACGGAGGCTGTGCGTCTGTGATGGCCCCAGGTGACAATGCTGTTGGGATTTGAACCTGAGTTTGTGGACCACAGAGGTCCCGGCCACACTTAGTTTCCATGCCAGTTTTGTAGTAACCAGCAACCTCACTCGAAGGGTGGCCAGCATCTTACCTTGGGGCTTCTATCAACGTTGTCCTGGGCTTCTCGCCTGCTGGGGTGCAGCGGCCTTGGGCATGTGCCCCTGTCCATGGTGGCTGGCCGGAGGCCGGGAGCCAGGGCTTTCTGTATGTAGCATGGCACTTGCAAAAACTGTGATCCCCCAGCAGGCACCACAGAAGCAACCAGAGGGAGGGGCATGGGCTCCGGGCCGGGTCGTCACAGCCTGCGTGACCTGTCGCTCTTCTCTTCCAGGGGCATGGTCTAGTGGCCCAGTCAGGACGCGGAAACACTCCCTGGAGGTTCTGACCCACTCCCTCTCAGCCTCCGCCTGGTCTCTGGTAAGTCACTCCCAGAGGCCGACTGGCTCAGGGTGGGTGAGGACTGAGGATGGAAGTGGGTGGCTCCTGCTGTGCCGTGGGGTCCTGCCCATGTGTGGGGACTGGACCCAGCTCAGCAGAAAGAGCAGGGAAGACTGGGCGTGGGGGGCAGCCCAGCTAGCACCCCTAGACAGGTCAGGAAACTGCGGCTCGGAAATGCAGAGAAACAGCCCCCCAGGCCCCACAGCCATCTCAGCTCTCGCCCTAAGCTGGCCAGGTCTTTCTGGGTAAATCGCGTGACCTTCGGTGCTTCTGTTTGGCGATTTGTCAGGGGAATGAGGGGCCCAGAACTTTGAGAAGGACGTGTGGGTGAGGGCAAGGAGGGCACTGTCTTAGTGTCCGGGTTTCTTTGTCTTCTATCCCCTGCAGCCCCTGTACCTGGAAGCTTCCTTCTCCCAGGCTCCTGTGCATGGTCAGGGCCACTCAGCCCTCTGGACCCCCACCCACGCCAGATAAGCTGTCTGCGCTGGGAGCTGGGCATGTGGCTCTCCCCTCAGAGCAGTTACCGTAGGCTGCCGGGCCCAGGGTCTGTCTGAATCCGCCACCCTGCAGCCCCCCAGGCCCCTGCCTGCTCTGGGTGCGAGGAAGGCTTGAGGGAGGGCAAAGTGCTTACAGCTTGAATGCACCACCCTGGCCTGGCCACTGGTCGCCTCTCCCCCAGTGTTAGCCTGGCTTAGGGGCTTTTTCCATCCGGAATCCTTCCTGGCCCTGCCTGAGCTAACTCCGTGAGCTCGGGAGGGCTCCTCATGACCCTGGTCATCCTGCCAGCTCCCGAGACAGGAAGGCCTGGCCATGTCCCGGGGCTGCCCTCGGGTCTGGAGAGCCTGCCAGCCATGCTGTGGGGCTGCCCTTCCAGCGTTGAGGGTTTGGTTTTGTTTGTAAGCAAGGAACCAGGTATGCGATGCTGGAGAGTGTGTAATTCTGGCTGTGCCTCTTCACAGCCCCTTCCAATCTCGTGCATATTAAGGTTGATAAAAACACCCTCTTCAGGGTCAATGCGAGATCAGACCTGGAGTGAAGTGTCCCTGTGGTATCTGGACCAGCAGGACCTGGCTGCCCCACAGCTCCTCCTCTCTCTCCCTCCTCCCTCTCATGGTCTCATGACTATTATGGTGACTCTTGTCACTCACCACCCTGCCCCACCTGCTCCTGCATACTGTGAGCATCAGTTGGGGCCATGGATGTAGCAAGGGTCAGCTGTCATAGGCTCCCGGGGGGACACCTGGGGGAGGGACATTTGGGGACAGAGCCCCATCTGGCCATGCCCAGCCCCTGAGAGCCCTCATCACCGACTTGCATCTGGTGAGTTTGGCAGGGTCCTGTATAAGGATTAAAGTCCTCCAAGTCCTCATACAAAG
Organism: Homo sapiens; assembly: GCF_000001405.40. NCBI lineage: Eukaryota > Metazoa > Chordata > Mammalia > Primates > Hominidae > Homo > Homo sapiens. The sequence continues at coordinate 10,398,318 of NC_000002.12, forward strand.
TCGCTTTCCAAAAGTCTGGAATTTTCTTGGCCCTAGACACGGGAGATGCTCTTTATAATTTTCATCTTCCCACTCAGAAGGAACCACCTTTGAATACTCAGCCAGGCTAAAATTTGGACCCAAAACCTGTTAAAGCATCACTGTCTTAATTTCAGTGTTCATGATGGGGTTCTGGGCTGTGTGAGGGGTGGAGGGCAGATACCAGTGGCAGGTTTCATCTGTGGCCCTGGTAGATGTGAGTCCCGCAGCCGGTCAGCCCAGGGCCCAGGGCAGACCCCGGGCGTGGCTGCTTTCCCGCTGGGCACCAACGCACGCACGTGGTGTTTCCAGGGCAAAGTGAGCTCCCCACCCTCTGCCCGTCCCCTGCCCCGCCCTTAGATCTGCATCCCGTGGGTGGGGTGGGTTTTCCTGCCTTCCTCTTCCTGAGGGAGGCGATTTCTCCTTCCGCTTTCTCCTTGCCACAGTAGCTGCTGGGTTGGGAGGAGACATCCAGGCTGGGGCCTCAGCCTCAGGGTGCCAGTTAGCGTGTGGTTAGCTGAGAAAAAAGTATTTTTCTCAGCAGAAAATAGACACAACTGCATGTGAAGGGGCCACTTCCACTCCTTCATTCTCCATCCACCAGCCTTACTGGAGCTAGAGAGTGGGGGAACATCTGGGTCCGTGTTACCTGGATGTCACCTGCATACAAATGTCCTGGCCCGAGGCCACTGTCAGCACGGGTGCACAGGGGAGGCGCCTGGCCCGGCAGGTCGTGCTGAGGCTGATACCCGTGTCAAGAAGCTGGAGCAGGCGAAGAGATCAGAAGAGGGTAGAGGAGGTGGTCCGAGGTGTCCATTCCCATCCCCAGACCCCTGGGGCATTTCAGTGCACGCACAGCAAATAATATCACTGCACCACCACCACCACCACCACCACCACCACCATCACCACCACCACCACCACCATCACCACCACCACCACCATCACCACCACCACCACCATCACCACCACCACCACCACCACCACCATCACCACCACCACCACCACCACCACCATCACCACCACTACCATCATCACCACCACCACCACCACCACCACCATCACCACCACCACCACCACCACCACCATCACCACCACCACCACCATCACCATCACCACCACCACCACCATCACCATCATCACCACCATCACCGCCACCATCACCATCACCACCACCGCCGCCACCACCGCCACTGCCACCGCCACCATCACCGCCACCACTACCGCCACCGCCACCACCACCGCCACCGCCACCGCCACCACCACCACCACGAGTTGAGGGACTCTGGGATCAGAAGGCACTTTCCAGCACATTCACACCATTGGCCGTGGATGTTGTGGGTCAGGTGATGGGCACTGGAAGGGCCTTCCGCTTCTCTCTGCCCCTGGCCCTTGGTCATGTACAGCAGGCCGCTCCCCGGGCAGTGGAGAAGCAGCACCTGCATACTAAGGCTCGAGTCCCAGCCTCCCCTACCAGCCTCCCTCTCCACGTCCCCAGACACTCATGCGTTCCTTCCCTTGAGGTGGGTTCATGGAGCACGTACCCTGTGTCAGACAAGCTTCCAGGCTCTGGGCTTCTGATGGAGAACAGACCAGAGTAAACCTGGCCCCAAGGACCTTGAGCTCCACTCAAGGGGAGACAGACAGTGAACTCAACAAAACAGAAATGAGAGAAAGGATCAAGCTGGAAAGGGGATAAAGAATGAGTGTCGGTTTTGGATAGAGTGCTTGGGGAAGGCCTTCCTGAGATGAGACCTGACCAAAGGCCTGCAGGAGGTCAGGGACGGGCGTGCTTCTAGCTAAGGAGCAGCTGGTGCAAAGGGCCTGTGGCAGACGTGCACCCGTGGCAAGGAGGGGGCGAGCAGGCGGCTCAGCCAGGTCGGAGTGGGTCACACCTGAGGGGCAGGACGCTGGCAACCCCGACCGCTGAGGAAGACAGGTGCGAGCAGCATCTCGGCACAGCCAGACCCCCACCATACGGCAGCCCTCTGTGTCCCTTAAATAAGGATGCCTCCTCCCAGGCTTAAGAGATCATTGTTGCTCATAGTGATTTGTGTAGCCAACAATTCTTCTGGAAGAAGTTAGATGAACAGGGCCATGGAGATTTGGGGCCGGAAGAGCAGGACCCCAGGCTTGCCTCCCCTCTAGTGCTGGCCAGGCCGTGGATCCCAGGCGGGCATCTCAGAGAGCCATCTGAGCGGCCTTTCTGGAAGTGCCCTCCTAGGCAGACGCTGGTCATGAGGCAGGGCAGCGGGGAAGGGACAATCCTCCTGTGTTGTACATTGAGGGTTATATTTAGGGTGACTTGGGATGACTTGGCAGTATCACTTCCTGTGGTCGTCCCCTCCAGCCCTCAGCCACGGAGGGCAGATCCTGTCTGACAAGCATTGTGGGCAGACACGTGCCTGCACACACGTACACACCCACATGCACACATACACACACGCACACACATACACACATTGTGGGCAGGCACAACTTGGCATTCTCATCTGCCCTGGAATTGGTGGAGGGCTGGGGACATTGTCCTGGCCCTTCTGCAGGACCGCCAGGTGCCTGGCGGGGGAATCCTAGCCGTCAGCATCTCCGGAGCATCTGCTCCATGTCGGGCTCTGTGTGAAGGGCTGCATCCAGATCCCACATGAGCAAGACCGGCCTAGCCTCCCCATCTGGTTGGGAGATGCCAGGCAGAGGTGGAAGGAAGGGCGGCTGACCTGCCCCTTAGTCTGCTCAGCCACACAGGCAGCCACAGCCGAGGCTGCACAAGGACACTCCCCTGACCTTGCTGCCTGCTGGCCCCGGGTCTCCAGGCCAGGTCCGAGCCAGCCAGGCTCCTCCCCACCCATGTCACCGGCCTCTCTAGGTGGAGTCCACAGTGATCTTTGCTCCCCTTCCCCAGGCATCCAGCACCACACCAGGCACAGGGCCTGGTATTTCTGGGACAGCCCAGATTACACGTTTTCTCTCAGTTACCCCCTAGAATATTCTTGGACTTCTCAGACCCCATGTGCAAATTTTTAGCTTAGAAGTAATCACTGGGATCATAGACGATGTTTAGCAAATATCTGTTCTTTTGGGTGTTCCTAGGCCCCCAGAGGGTCTCCGGGAAACTGGCTCTTTTGCTGAGGCTAGAGACTATCTGGGCTAGAATGTGTCTGATGGGGCTCTCGGAGGGTGCACAGACAGTGCCGCGGTGGCCGAAGATCCACTATTCCAAGGCCGGATCTGCAGAGGATTTGGAAGTTGTCTGTAAGGAGCGCCTAGATCACCCGGACCTTCTCTCTCCCTCCTTGACTTCCTTCCTGCCTCTCGTCAAACAATTACTGTGTGCTTCCTGTGTTCTAGGCGCTGTGCTAATAATTGGTTATGGGATTATTCCTAGCCACACCCTGGGTAAATGGAACCCAGCTCTCTGTCCTTGGGAAAAGGGTCAGGAGAGAACTGGGGCCCAGCTGGGAAGCTGGAGGCTTGAGGCTGCTGGTCCATGTTGGAATGCTGTCTCCCTCTGCCATCCAGCACCCAAGCCCGGCGCCAGGCTCAGAGCAGGAACTGAAGCTTTTGCTGTTGTTGTTGTTTTTGTTTTTTGAGACAGTCTCGCTGTGTCTCCCAGGCTGGAGTGCAGTGGTGTGATCTCAGCTCACTGCAAGCTCCGCCTCCTGGGTTCAAGCGATTCTCTGCCTCAGCCTCCTGAGTAGCTGGGATTACAGGCGCGCACCACCACGCCCGGCTAATTTTTGTATTTTGAGTAGAGACGGGGTTTCACCATCTTGGCCAGGCTGGTCTTGAACTCCTGACCTCAGGTAATCTGCCCGCCTCGGCCTCCCAAAGTGCTGGGATTGCAGGCATGAGTCACCGCACCCGGCCAGGAACTGAACCTTGGTAGGAGAAGGAAAGAAGGAGTTCCTGTCTTGCTTTCCCGACCAGACTGGAAGCGCTCTGAGGGCGTTTTACACTTCGGTGTCTTCCCAGCACTTAGCATTGTGGCCTGCATGTAAGGGGTGTTCCGTGACTGCGTGTTGATTACACTTTGTGTGTATGGGTGGGTGCGTTGCCACAACTCTCCCTGCAGAATCTGTGGCCTCTGGTGCTGTGATTTAAAGACTAAAGATGGCAAAGAGTGGCTTTTATGAGCTGCCCCACTCCTGATTATAAACACACTCTCTATGAGTCAGAGGCCTGGGTGATCATGGATAAGTCACTTGCCAACAGTTAACTCCAGACTGTAGCTGCTGGGGCCACCGAGGGCGGCTGGAACATCACCATTCTGTGCCTAGCGTTTCAGCCGGGCTGAGGCCATTTTATTAATAATGATTTATTGTTTTTATTGCTTCCCAGAGATATTAAACATGAATCAAATAATGCATGTGATGATTCACTGGAGGTTCCCTTCCAAATTTAAAAAAGAATTAAAGAAAAAGTTTTTGACGGGTGTGCTGGTGTGGACACCAGGCAGGCACCTGAGAGCCCTCCCACCTTGAGCTCAGCCGTGGGCAGCACAGCACAGGGTGGACCTTGCCCTGCAGACAGAGCCATGCAGCCTGCGCAAAACCCCAGGGAGGACGCGCGTCTCACAAACACCTCTTCAGTCTAACATTTACAATGGTATTTCTTACAAATGGTTTCCACCCGAGATATATTACAATGTGGCCAAACCCCATTCATTTGGGACACATAAATTCAAAATTTGGAAATAGTTCCTTTGGGGCTCATGAACTGATCAAGTTTAGTCATTTCTCAAGCAGGGACCTGGCAGAAATGTTGCTTTTTACCATCTACTAAGACAAGAGCTAGGCAGCTGGTTCTGCTGAACAAGGTCCCGGGGAGAGGGACACCAGTCCTGGCTCAGTGAGCAGCTCCTCAGGTGCTTTGGAAGCCTCCTCTGGGGATAGACTCAAAGAAGTTTTCTATTTATTTATTTATTTTTCTTTATTTTTAAATGTTTTTCTCAAGGATGTTTTTTAGAGCTAGCTCATACCTCAGGGGCCACACTGTCCAAACACATATTGGACCCTGATGAGGAAAGTGAGAGCCGTCAGGGTGTGTGACATAGCCACTGTCACCCAGGCCTCCAGCTCCATTCTGCAGTTGAAAATGATGCCCTCATAACAAAGAGTTCTTTTGTGTGTGTGTGTGTGTGTGTGTGTGTGTGTGTGTGTGTGTGTGTGTGTGACGGAGTCTTGCTCTGTCACCCAGGCTGGAGTGCAGTAGTGTGATCTTGTCTCGCTGCAACCTCCGCCTCCCAGGTTCAAATGAGTCTCCTGCCTCAGCCTCCTGAGTAGCTGGATTACAGGTGCCTGCCATCATGCCTGGCTAATTTTTGTATTTTTAGTAGTGATGGGGTTTTACCATGTTGGCCAGGCTGGTCTTGAACTCCTGACTTCAGGTGATCCGCCCACCTCACCCTCCCAAAGTGCTGGGATTACAGGTGTGAGCCACCGAGTCCGGCCAACAAAGAGTTCTTATCCGTTCATTACAAACGCCCACTCTTTCCAGTCCTTACCTGATCAAGAATTCAGAGGCAATTTTTCAGGTATTTTTTTGACTCGGACTTTACAAATTTGAACTACCATTCAAGTAATTGGTCTGAATTCCTAAGTTTCGATGGTATTTTTCTCTTCCTTCTTCTGGCTGCCTCTCCTCCCCATACCCTGCATTTGTTAATGTACCCATTTGTTCCATATTCTGTTTGTTCTTTATTGCTCTATACACTGCTCCATAATGTTCTCTATCATTTGTCCATTCATTACCCATGAAGGTACATGCAGAGGTCACCAGCCCAGAGGTTTGTAGCAGGGACAAGTTACTTGCTGGTGGTGGTCTCCCCAAAAGTTTGGGCCTGCGAGTCATTGACACCTACACACTTTGAAAACACCCCAGGATGAAGTCTGGGACTGGAAGGAGCTCCCACCTTAGCCAGACTCTGGCCTCCTCCCCAGCTGTGTCCCCGCCAGCCCTTCTCCAGCCATGCCCTTTTGCCTCCCAGCACACTGAGGATTCCTCCTGGAATGCCCCTCACCCCGTCTTTGCTGGGTGAGTGTTTCCCCAGCCCCGCTGAGCTCAGGTATCAGCCCCAGCGCTCTGGGTAAGTCTGGGACCATCTCCTACATTGTCTGCAAAATCCTGCAGAAAGCCTGGCCTGTGCTGGTCAGCAGGATGCTGCGTTTCCTTTTAAACAGACCCAAAGCAGTCAGCAGCCACAGACTCCCCAGAGACGGAGATGAGAGGAGGGACCTCATGCCCTGAGGCAGCCCCAGCCTCACTCCCATGCCCTGCAGGCGCTGAGCAGCCCCCAGATCCCGGGCTCCTTTGCTGCCCCAGGGTCGGGCAGTTCTTGCATCTTGGACCGAGTGGGCTCTGCCCTGCTGTGGCATGACTGGGCTTCTTCTGTCCTTTTTCTTTATTTTCTCTTTGAAGAACAGGAGTTGGAATTTCACTCACCCTGCCCCAGCTGGATGTGTCTAGGCCACCGTGGTCCCAGGCTCTCTGCCCAGCTGGGCCTCAGGACCAGGTTTTAATGCCGCTGCTTGGGTGTGCCGAGCGAGAAGGGCTCGCCAGGCAGTGCAGAGATTCCACCGAGCCCAGGCCGCAGCCCCCACCTCCCGCCGGGCTGTGCTCAGTGTCAGGAATCGGCTCCCAAGATGGCCGCCTTTCTTGTAAAGCTGTGCCAATACCCCAGGCATCTGACTGGTGCTTTCCAGCTGGCACTCCTTTTACAGATTCCATTTCCCTTTATCCTCACAACTGCTCAGTAGAACCTGCAGGCAGGGACCCTTATTCCCATTTTACAGTCAAGGAAAATAAGGCCCAGAGAAGTTGAGACAGCCAGGACCATATGGCTGGAGACGGGGCAGGCTGGGCAGAGCCCCCAGCAGGGCCCCTGGGTCTGCGGGCTGCTCCCAGCAGCACCCCTCATATACACACCCTCATCCTGACTGCAGGCCCCTGAAGCTGGCATTCTGGTTCAATTTTACAGAGGAGCAAACAGGCTGGGTCTGGAGCGTTGACACTGGCAACTCTAGCCCAGCCTTGCCTGACTCCAGGGCATGGCTCCAAGACCCTGGAAGAGCTGCCTGTCCCTCCATGGCCCCTCCAGGGCGTGCTGGGTGCTGGCAGGGCAGGCTGAGGCACTCGACAGCAGAGTTGGCCCCGTAGTCTCAGTTTTGCTCCCGCTAGGGTGAAACACGGTTCCCTGGGGAAGGGCTGTTGCTCACCTCTTGGCCTGGAACATCAGGGTGGAATTTGCAGACGGAATTCTGCCATCTGACGCGTAGATCTTCCCCCCAGGCATGGGTCAGTGCTTGAGTCATTCTGCAGCTGGCACAAAGAGCCAGGAAGAATGCGCTCCAAGATGCCTGGGAGCTGGCATGCCAAATCACCAGGCGTCATCAGCACAGCCAAGCCAGGGTGGGGGCCTCGGGCAGGAGCAGCGCCCTGCCAGCTCTGGCTGACTGCACGAGGGGCCACATCTAGAGGGACTGATGAAGGGGCGTCTAAAGCCTCAGTATCTCCAGCCTGCTGTGCCCTCTTACATTTTCTCCCAAAGAGCAGTCAGCTTGCAGTATGCGCCAAGTCCCCGCAAATGGGACGTTGGGTGATTCACATGGTTGTTTCAGCTTTTGAGTTTTTGTTGTGTGATTGAATAGTAATAGAATTATTCTTGGTGTTCTATGGAGCATTACCGGGTAGTGGGGAGGTGGGCACACTGAGCCTCTACTGTTTCTCCCCTTCACCCCTCCTTGCTGTCATCAACATGCGTTCTCCTACAGTCATGCTCCGCGCTAATTCCTTTAGTCATTCCTTCCAGCATTACTGAAACTGGAAGAGTCTTTTGTGGCATGTGGGGATTCCTCGTCGTGCAGGGCTTGAGTGCCACAGGACCCAGTGCTCGCTGTCCCCATGCCCTGGCACACACTGTTCCCTTTGTCCCAGCTGGAGAACTCCTGGAACCTTTAAGCCCTGGCTCAGCCCTCAGCTCTGTCCCATCCCAGCTGACCTCTGTGCTCTGCGCCCGAGCTCCTGAGCCCACGTAAGTCTCTTCATGCCCATCACTGCTGTTTCATGGGCGTGTGTGGGGGGTCACTTCAAGGAGCCCCAGGAAGGGTCTGTGTCTTGTCCATCCACGTGTGACTACACCCAGCATGGAACAGGACTCGGGAACCACTGAGGTGTGGGTGAAGGAACCAGTCCAGAGACTCCACTCTCACTTCAGCCTGATGTTTCTGGGGTCTGTCACTGAAAACCCCAACTTCGCCTTCAAAGCGAGATCCTGGGTGGGGGCAGAGGAAGTCCCAGGCTCTGTGGCCAGGACTCCACACCCAGATTTCCACCGGGCTCGCTCTAGCCTGGCCCTGGCACGGGTGCTGCGTGGCTCTGCTCCCCGCCTGGCATCCGGCACCCTTCACCTCTGTAGAAACACGGAACTGTCACAGGGACAGACGTACATGGGTCGGGGGTTGCTTTCAGAAAGTCTATGGTCTCATTTTGGTCCTGCCTTTGAGCTTCCTTTTCCTGCTGGGTTAGGGTTCCGGACGGAAGGGGAGCATTCTCTTGGGCGTTTCCCTTTTCCTGTCTCCCTGTTCTCTCCCCAGAGGCTCATGTATGTCCGTTTCACTCACCTCCCTTTCTCTGCTTGGGAGGCAGCTCAAAGAGCTCCTCTCCAAAGACTCAAGCTGGAGTGATGTTCGCTCTATGATGACGCCGCACTGGTCCAGGGAATGATCTCACTGGAGAGTAGCAGGAAGTCCCCCATCCTGTCCCCCACCCCACTGGCTGAGGACCATATAGCTGGGATGTGTTCACCTGGGAAGGAGATTGGCACCAGTTTGATAAATGGACACCCCCAAGTCTGGCATGGCCCCAAAACTCTACTCTGCTGCAGCTGTTTCCATGCCAGAAAACAGAGATTTCCAGAATACCGAGTCTGAATGTGCCTTCTTGGAGCAGCTTCAAATCTGAGCAGGAGAGCACTTGACCATCCTAACCCCTGACCTTCCTCCAGCAATTCCTAAAACTGGAAGAGTCACAGAATGTTAGAATAAGAGGGATCCTAGAAAAAGAACCACTCACTCATTGCTTTGTTCATTTGCTCAGGCACTGTGCTAGGCGCTTGGAATACACAACCATTCATTCAAACATATTTATTGACTGAATTGTGTGCCAGGCCCTGTTTTGGGCCCTGTGGGGGTACAGTGGTGAACAAAAGGAGGCAGACAGTCAAGAGATTTTGTAAATATAGTGCCAGGTGGCAGGAAATGCTGAGAAAGGGGTCAGGGTGAGGGACCAGAGGGTGAGGGTGGATGCTCTTTGAGGTGGGTCCTTGGAGGAGGTTTCCCCACGACTGTTGAGCAAGAACATGAACTTGGAGGGAGTGAGCCTTGCAGACACTGAGGGGAAGGAAGAGCAGACAGGTGGAGGGAACTGCAGGTGCGAAGGCCCTGAGGCTGGAACACGCTGAGCAGCTTCTCTGACTGGGACAAATGAAGGATTCTCCTTCCCCCAGGAGCTCCCAGTCTAATGAAGGAAAAAGACAAAGAAGTGACGCGTTCAAAGCTGAGTTCATACTAGAAAAACGCTGTTAGAATTCAAAGGGAAGAGCAGTTGTAGGGGCTGGGAAAGGCAAGCCTGAGGAGTGACCTTTGCATTGGGCTTTGGTGGATGAGTAGGGGTTGGCAGGGTGGCTGAGGCGAGCGTGCCACACGGGTGAACTCATATCTGCAGAGGCACAAGGTGTGCAGGGACAGCCACCCACACATTCCTCTTCCTGTCGCAGTAGCAGCTTCTGCAAGAGAAAGTACAGCTCTTGGGGATTTCCCTTTTCCTTTCTCCACCTCTTCCTTCTCACCAGCTTCATTTAGGGCATTTCAGCCTTGAGAGGGTGGAAAAGAAGGAGAGATTGGTAGAGGAAGGGGATTTCTGTGCCCTGCTGGGTCTCTCTCTCTCTCTCTTCTCATATGTTATGTTTTTCTTGTAAGGTTTTGGGGAGTTGTGGGGAGTTTAAGAGGCTGGGGATGGGTAAGAAGTCAAGAAGGTTTCGGTTGGATTTCTCAACAACAGGTCATTGGCCTGGAGCCCCTCCAGTGGGTAAAATGCCGTGATGCAACAGCTTTCAGGAAGGCCTCCAGAAATGAGCTCTAGGTCAGTGGGTTGGGTTTAGGTGCAGGCACGCCCTGGAACTGTCACTCTAGAGGTGTTACTAACCTCCTCTTTCCCCGGATCTGACTCAGCAGGGTTGGCTGTTCCAGCTCCAAAGAGAAGGAGGAACCTTTTCCTTCTGCAGCCCCTCCCCACCAGCCTCATTCCTTAGCTGGGGTCAGACCTGGGGTCCTCACTGCAGCTGGCCTCTGGCAGCGTTCTCAGGCTAGCCCTCCCTGCTGAAAAGAGAACCGTGTGGGACTCACAGGTAATTATGAAATACAAACGCCATGATCTTTCACTCAAGGGCACTAAGGAGTGAATAAATAAAGGATACCACAGGGTGCTAATGAGCTTGAAGAGTCCCTGTTTGGTAGCCCCAGATCCAGGGTCCCTGGTATCACCCACTGAATGCTACTTCTACCCAGCACTGCCCACGGGAAATAAAGTGGGAGACACATACCTATGTGATTGTAACTTTTTCTATAGCCGCATTGAAAAGTAAAAAAGATGAAATTTAAAACTTGTTTGATTTAAACCGTTAGATCCCAAATGGTATCATTTACCATTTCACATGTAATCAAGAAAGAGAAAGTATTAATGAGATATTTTATGTTGTTTTTTTTCATATGAAGTCGTCAAAATCCGGCGTGTATTTTACACTAAGGGCACATATATGAGTTCAGACTGGCGACGGTTTATGTGCTCAGTAGCCACGTGTGGCTGGTTGTGACCATAGTGGACAAAGCAGCCCTAGCTTATAGGTGGAGACACGGAGGCACCTGAGAGGGGCGGGGTCTCAGCTCAGGCCCTGGGAGCCTGTTCAACAGCTCCCTCTAGCGTCGGCCCAGCCACACTTCAGCCTGGATGGTCCCAGATGCATCGGCTCCTCCCTGCACCTGGGTCCTGGCAGCCGGCACAGCCTCCCCGCAATCACCCAGGGGCAAAACGGGCCCCTCCTTGGAGAACTACCGGGAAGCTAAGGCTGCAGGCAGCTTGACTGTCACTTGCTTATTTGGAGGAAAGAAGGACACAGGCCCGAGTTGTTTTGAAAAATGCAATCAGCCCTAGGAGAGGGGCTTAGCTGCAGGGGCCGTGTGGGTCCAGCGGTCACCGGGAGAAAGAACTGGGTTGGGTGCTGGATAAGAAAGAGCACAAACCTGTTTGTCTTCCACCGGCCCCTTCTGCCTTCCACCTTCCTGTTCCACCCCAGGAAGAACAAGCTCTCATCTCAAATGGCCTGAGCCCTCTGATTCCTTGAAGTTCAAATTCACAACAAACGCCTCTCCAGCCTCTTCCTGAGCCTCAGTCTTTTTTTTTTTTTTTTTTTTTTTTTTTTTTGAGACAGAGTCTCGCTCTGTTGCCCAGGCTGGAGTGCAGTGGCACCACCTCAGCTCACTGCAACCTCCACCCTCCGGGTTCAAGCAATTCTCCCGTCTCAACCTCCCGAGTAGCTGGGACTACCAGGTGCGTGCCACCGCACCCAGCTAATTTTTTATATTTTTAGTAGGGACGGTTTCACCATGTTGCTCAGGCTGGTCTTGAACTCCTGAGCTCAGACAATCCACTGCCTTGGCCTCCTGAAGTGCTGGGATGACAGGTGTGAGCCACGGCGCCCCGGCCAGCCTGGGTCTCTCATAAGCATTTGGTGTTTCCCACCTCTCTGGTCGCCTTCCCTCAAAGCATCTCAGAGTCTGGTTGGCCTGGCAAGCTTCGGGGATCTGACTGATGAAAGCATTTTGGAGCAATGGGATGAGATGCCAACCAATGCCGTCAGCCGGCACTGAGGTGGGATTAACAGGACAATCAAGCCCTCGGTTCCCAGGAGCCTCACTGAGCAGCTGCTAGAACTGTGCCACTAAACAGGCTTTAATTTACAGGCAATACCGACTCTGGGTTAACTATTTCTCACAGGGCTCCCCAGCTGCATGTTTACATTTCTTTCCTTGTTCCTCTTTTTCTTCTTCTTCTTTTTTTTTTTTTTTTTTTTTTTTTACAATTCAGCAGATTAAGAACAATAGCAGGGTAACTGAGAACCACAGAGGTGGCTGTAAGTGACTCATTAACTCCCTCTCCCATGTTTCCATCACCGTGAATTACAACGTCATCTCTGATGCCCTCAGACAGCTGTTACTAGTTTGATCCGAGCCTTGCTTGAATATGAATCTTTTTAAGCCGAGCAGGAGATGGTTCTGCTCTCAAATAGACTGCCCTCCCCTGGGCCTCCCATTTCTTACCCCACCATCCTCCTTGGAGATGAAAGACTTCCTGAGAAATGAAGGCTGGGTTTGCCTAATTACTGGAGCAAGGTGGCTGTTCTGCTGGGAAACGTGAGTGGTGGCTTTCTGTCTCTGCAGAAAGGCTTGCTTTTGCTCGGTCGTCTTACTAGACAGCCAAGCACCAATAAGGTTGGCTCCTTTGCTTAATGAATGACAGAGGGGTCACAGCAGCATGCAGCATTCCCCCCGCCCCCCGTTTCTTGTGAGGCAGCCTGCGTCGGGCCCGACAGCCTCCAGGAGAGAGCTAAAATGAGGTCCTTCAGATTACATATTTCATCTGGGCCCTTGTTAATAAGCAAATGCTGGCTGTCCCAGTGAGTGACTGGGAGTGTGTGTGTGGCCGTCACCTTCATTTGGCATTCATGGGCTCCATTTACCAGTTTCATAAAAGTTCCAGTGGGGAGGCCATCTTGCAAAGCTGTCCTGGCGAGCACAAGCAGAGTGCTGGACACCAGCCAGGAGCACCCTGGGTGGCCTCCACGGCTGCTTATGGTCTTGGCATGGAAAGGGCCCAGAGGAGGTTACAGGACAATGGGAAGGAGGTGGGCTCTCCACTCAGACCTCCTGGGTCCACAGCCCACCACCCCACCGAAGCCTCGGTCCCTTGTCCCTAAGGTGGAGCTGACATTGCCTCCTCTCGGCCTAGCCAGGAGTGACCCCACTTTCCCAGCTCCTAGAATCTTCACTGTGTCCTCCCCTGGATGTGGCCTACAGGGACTGGGCCTCCTGCAGCCTTTGAAATCCTCCTTGTCATTCAGTTGTGATTCCAAATGCCGTTGTCCTAGGCAAGCCGCCGAGTGCCCCGGGAATGAGCGACTCCCCTGGACCCCACTTTATTCACTTTTTATGCCCCTTCCTGGGCATGCCTACACCATAACTCAAGCCCCCCAGGGAGCTGGTGACTGGGGACCGGCATCCCAGTGCTCAGCCTGGGATTCGGCACTCAGAGGGCCCGACAGCCTGGAATACACTGAGCACCCCGCTGGCACCAGGCCCCAAGGACAGGCTGATGTTTCCACTTCCCTGGAGAAAGATCCTCCAGTCCCCTGCTCGGAGGCTGATCCCGGCTGGCTGCCCGCTTGCTCAGGGCAAGGAGGTAGGCTGGAGAGGGCAGACTTCCCTCAACTCACCCATCTTCTGTGGGTTCCTCACCAGCCTTCCTCTGGGCCTGTTGTTCTCCTGTCCAGTGTCTTTCCAGAGAAGATTCCTCCCCCAAGCTTTGGAGATGGGGCTGGGGTGGGGGTGGTTACCTGACCGCTGAGTCGCAGTACAGGGTTCCATGTTGGTCAGGGGTGGCTAATTGCTGTAAGAAGCAAGTGCCAACCTTTGCTTGGCCCAGTGAAGTGGTGTTTCCTGATGTGTTGCAGTGGGATGTCACCGCAGGAGACGAAGGCTCTATTCCACGCAGTCACGCAAGGACTTAAGTTTCTTCTTTTTAGAAGGTCTTTCGTCTCACAGCCTTTCTCAGCCGGGGTTCCAGGAGGGAATCAAGGACTCACAGCAAAGGCATCATGGTGTGCAGGGAACGACTTTCCTCCTGCATACCTGGAATGAAACCAGTTACACACCATCCTTAGGTACATGACTGGTTGGGGAAATGGGCACACCAGTCATTGACTGCAGGCTGTGGTTCAGATGAGAAAGCCTGGTTGAGAAATGCTTTAGGGTCTATGCCCTCTGGGGCCTCCAAGTCCTCCCCTGGATAGTCTGCTTCCAGGTGCCCAGCAAGAAAGGGCAGGAAAGGGCGTGTGCAGCAAGGGCTGCCCTGACAGTTATGGAGGCTCAGGCCAGAAGTGTGGTCATCACTCTGGCCACATCCCATTGGCCAGAGTGTAGTCACATGGTACCACCTAGCTGCAAGGGAGGCTGGGAAATGTAGTCCGGCTGTGTGCCCTGGAAGAAAAGGCAATAGAGTAAGAAGAGCACATGGTCTCGGCACAGGCTCTATTCTTGCACATTCCTTCAGACTCTGCCTCCCACACCTCCTGAGGCTCTGGGGATACCCTATCCCTGAGCCTTCTGGAATTTTGGGGCCCCAGTTGCCCTGTTTCTCCTTCCTGGCCCCCCTCCCTGTTCAGCTGTTTGCCATCTCCCTGCCCACTTCCCACTGATATGTGTTGGGGCTTGTGGATGTGATCAAGGTCATAGGCACAGTCTTTCTTTTCTTTTTCTTGTTCTCCTTGTTGGGGTGGGGATTTTTTCAAAAGGAAGCGGCAAAGGTATTGTACTATTTTTGGGTCCCTACACTCTTCTGCCTCCACATTCTTCTGTTGTGTTTATGCTGCTAGACCTGGAACCTTAGGATGAGCAGGTCTTGGCATCAGACTTTGTTTGCATCAGCAGAATCCTTTCTTTGAAAGAGAACAGATGCAGAAACAGATCAGAGGGTTGCTGCTCTGGTCTGTGCTGGGCCTGGAGGCCCAGAGTCCTTCCTCCTCCCCTGCCCATCCTGTGGACCCCCAAAGCCTTAGGAAGGTCCCTGGGGCTCCTGGGACACAGCTCAGAGGCTCCTGGCTGGTGTCACTCCTCTCTGTGAGGCTTGAATTCTCTCCCTTGCATTCCGAAAGTGGGTCACACTGGAATACCAGCTTTGTCCAAACCTCCCTGCCTCTGGAGTTAGCCAAACCTTAAAGCAGGTTCTTGTGCATGTGTGTATACACAGCAACTGCAACCACAGCAAGAGTGTCCATTCACCCAACACAGACACCCACCTTGTGCCAGGCCCAGCTGGGTCACCTGGGAGAGGGTGAAGGGTAGGAAGCCCTTCCAGAGGAGGTGCTGAGTGAGGCAGGAGGCCGCAGGCGCACACGTCTGCCCTCTGGCACACGCAGGAAGGTGCTGGGAATGCAGGGAGCTTCTCCCCAGCAGACCATGATGCACTCCGCCTGTTACCTTCTAGCGGTGTGCTCACTGGGTTTGGCACTGCCCCTAATCTGGTACCTCCCTTTCTATACGCATCTGTGATTTCAGGCAGATAAGTGTTATGAGTTTGGCATTCCAATGGGATCGGTAAGAACATAAATCACCGATCCATCCTGGGATAAATTTCTCCCTTCGTTCTGAGAGGTGATTTGGTTTTCACTGAGGTGAGTGGATTCTTAAGGCAGTGATCCTCAACTCCCAGGGCCTAGAACTTCACAGAAGGTGGCTCATTTTGATAATGAAAAATGCAGGGGTGCAAATCAGGCAGAAAGGGCCTGCCACTAGCCAACAATGTGTCCATCACCATGTCGCCCTTGCCTGGGCCAGCCTCCCCTCTGCTGCCCATGCAAGGCCTGGGGAGGAGGCCAGACCGCCTGGGTCCAAGCCCTGGCTTTGCCTCTCAGAGGTTCCGGGGCTCTCCCAGGGTTGGTTTACTTGTGGTGAAGCGTGACTAATAGGTAAAGTATCTGACAAAATGGGCCCCACAGGCCATGGTTGCTGCTTCTGGCTGTCCCTGCTGAGAGCAGGTGTAACGTACCTGGCATCACTCCTGCCCCAGAGACACCGATAACACATGTTTGTCAGCTGTAGGTCAGTTCCCCAAGGGTGGCTGCTGTGCTACTGTAACACGGGACTGCAGACTGGGCACTTAAACTACAGAACTCTGTTTTCTCACGGTCTGGAGGCCAGAAGTCCAAGGTGTTGGCAGGGTTGGGTGTTGGCAGGGTTGGGTGTT
The DNA here is from genome assembly GCF_000001405.40 of Homo sapiens. Lineage (NCBI taxonomy): Eukaryota > Metazoa > Chordata > Mammalia > Primates > Hominidae > Homo > Homo sapiens. The sequence goes on from NC_000002.12 coordinate 10,414,404, forward strand.
GGCAGGGTTGTTTCCTCCAGAGGCCCCTCTCCTAGAATTGCAGATGGCTGTCATTTTGCTGTGCCTTCACACGGTTTCCCCTGTGTGTCTGTGTCCTCATCTCCTCTTCTTATAAGGACACCAGTCATATTGGATTAGGGCCCACCCTGGTGACCTCATTTTAACCTAATGACCTCTTTAAAGACTGTGTTTCCAAGTACAGTCCCATTCTGAGGGACCTGGGGTTAGGACTTTAACATGGGAATTTGGGGGAAGCACAGTTGAGGCCATAGCAGCAGCTGTCTCATTCTGCTCACAGCTGGTTCTCTCTGGCCACGTGCCAGAGAGGAGTACGATGCCATCCCCTTAAACCACACACGGACATGCTGCCAGGAGGAACGTCATCACCTTTCAGCTGAAAGGAGTGAGGAATGAGGACAAGCAGGTGCAGAACACAGCCTTCTCACGTACTGGTCCATTCTGCACGTGCGCTGCTGCTGTTACAGCGGCAGACGGGAGGCTGAACTAGAGACACCTAAGACAAACCCTGCTTTCCCCTCCAGATGCTGGCTGCAAGAACGCCACAGTTTGAGAGGAGTGTGGACAATAGAAAGCCTTGAGAGCAGCTGAGCTGACGAAGGGATGGGAAAATGGGCCCTTTTGAAGCCTAGGAATGACCAAGTGGAGATGTGCAGGGTTTGGGGGTGCCCCAGCTTGAGTCTCAGTGCTCTGAGGGACATAGCGCAGAGTGGGACAGCCCGGTGGGTCAACCCCTGCCTGGTTCTGCAGACTTGGAGAGGTGGGACTTCTGCCCCAGGCCGCATGGAGGGCCGGCCCTGGGCTGGGTGTGCCTCACGCTGCCTGGGAGCCTCAGGCAACCTGCTGCAGCTGCTTGTTTTGCCACTCACTGGCCTGACTGCGGGAGCTGGAGGGGCTGGGAGGTCATTCCCTACTCCACAGCTTAGCTCAACCTCCCAGGTGCCCCGCACCCCCATCCCTCCCTTCCCATAAAACCAGTTATTCCTCATCCTCATAAGCGCTCCTAGGACACTTGCCATGTTCTATCAGTTTGGGGGTTCTCTGGGGCAGCCATCCACAGATCCATGCCCCGCCTATGAGCCATCTCCCCTCTCCTTCTCACCCCCGTGCTCCCCGTGTGGTGTCGGCCCCCGAGGCAAGGACCGTATGGGTTTTGTTCACTGCCCACACTCCCTCTGACACACAGGAAGTTCTGGAAAAGCTTCCGCATGGTGAAGGAGCCACATGCGGTTTGGTCGGGTGCCCCAGGCCTCCTCTTGATCATCACGACCACCCTGCCATCCCTGTTATTCGGGGGGAGTCCAGAGCTCCAGGAAGTTGACCACCTCCCCAAGGTCCCCCGAGCAGGGGTGGGTGGAACTGGCTCTGAGCCCACACTCAATGCCTTTCCCCTGTGCCCCGGAGCCTGGCTTGGTGCCACCCAGGACTTGTTTGTGGAAGTGACATGTGAACACCTAGCGAGCTCCATGGGCTCTGCGTGTGTACGTCTTTGCTGACTCAGTGGCCCCACACAGCAACCCGAGGGCCAGGGCAGAAAGCACAGGAGGAGCCACCACGGGTGCTGCAGGGCCTCAGGCTGGGCATCCATCCTCTACCTGTCCTTCTGCCGTCCATCTGTGGGTTCTCCCTCAGGTGCCACGCAAGGCTGGTCCTTCACAATGGCCCAGGCCCTCAAACTCAGTGGTCAGGAGGGTTCCCACCACCTCAGGGCTTAGCGGCAGTCAAGGTAACCTCAGGTCCTCAGGCTACCTTTGCAAATAGGTCCTTGCAAAGACCCTAATTCACATTCACAGATACTGGGAGTTAGGACTTCAACATCTTTTAGGCGGGCCATGATTCAACCCATGCATCTGGGCCTAGGAAGTGGAACTGCCCCAGTGAGCGATGCCCTGGGCACTGTGCAGTTCTGGGGGACACAGCCCTGACAGCCGGAGGGGGGCTTTCTGGGCACAGAGCTGTCTGGGATCCGCCAAGGCAACACAGGAAGGAGTCCAGAGCTCACCTGGGTGAGACCCGAGAGCTGTCAGTGACAGCAGAATCCAGAGGGAGCCCACATCTCCAAGCCAGGTCCAGAGCTCTTCCAACAGGATAGCAGTCTTGTCAGGCACTCTGGGAGGCCAAAGTGGGAGGATCACTTTGGGGCCAGGAGTTCGAGCAACCTGGGCAACATAGCAAGATCCCTATCTCTACAAACAAACCAAAAACCTCAGTAGCATCTTTGTTGTTTTTTCTCTTCTGTCAGGTATTTTGGTAGTAGTGATCTTCTGATTTTACATTCCCTTTTTTTTTTTTTCCATGTAGAAATCTCTATGGCCATTTCCTCTTGTGAATTAATTGAGTTTCTAAAGTGAACTAGCTGCATGTTAGAACCAGGACTTTTTTGAGCCCTTTAGAGCATGCTGGCAGGCGTCATCCCCAAGCCCCAGGGTGGGTCATATTTCTGGATGATGGAGGCAGGGGGTGCAGGGGTCCCCTATCTGCACATTGTTCTGAGTCTGATGTGATTCCTCAACTCCTCCATGAAACAGGGGCCATGCTTGTCCTCGTCTGGGGCAAACTGCAGTTGGAGAGGCTGGCCTCCTGTGGCTGCATATCCAGAGCTGGGCTTAACTGGCCAGGAGGAGAGAAGAATCCTCTCTCTTAATAAAAAGTCCCCAGGGGCTGGGCACAGTGGCTCACACCTGTAATCCCAGCACATTGGGAGGCTGAGGCAGGTGGATCACCTGAAGTCAGGAGTTCGAGACCAGGTTGGCCAACATGGTGAAACCCCATCTCTACTAAAAATACAAAAATTAGCTGGGCATGGTGGTGCATACCTGTAATTCCAGCTACTTGGGAGGCTGAGGCACAAGAATCGCTTGAACCCAGGAGGCGGAGGTTGCAGTGAGCTGAGATCGCTCCATTGCACTCCAACCTGGGTGACAAGAGCGAAACTCCCTCTCAAAAAAAAACAAAAAAAAAAGTCCCCAGGGCCCATGTCCACCCAGCCGTCTCTCTCCCTCCCGGCCAATGTTATTCTTTCCTCATAAGCCCTTCCAGAGCACAAACACACAAGCACGTATGTTTGTCTTCTTTTCTCATAAATGGTAACAAGCTCTGCTTGCTGTTGTGCAGCTTCTCTTTTCACATAAAAATACACCTTGAAGATTATTTCTTATGAGTACGTAAGATGGGCACCTGAGTAGTTTGCTGTTACAGACCACGTAGGCAATGGCCACCTGCACAGATTATTTGCACAGGTGGGAGTATCATTAGATGTTTCTGGAAGTGGGATGGCTGGGTCAAGGTGAATGTGTGTTTGGAATTTTGAAAGATAAAGTCATAAAGATAAGTAAAAACACCTGGCATCTTGGCTCACGGCTGTAGTCCCAACACATTGGGAGGTCAAGGTGGGAGGACTGCTTGAAGCTAGGAGCTTGAGACTGGCCTGGGCAAAATAGTGAGGCCCTGTTTCTACAAAAAAAAAAAAAATTAACTGGGTGTGGTGGTGTGTGCCCATAGTCTCAGCTACTCAGGAGACTGAGGTGGGAGGATCACTTGAGCACCGGAGGTCAAGGCTTCAGTGAGTCATGATCACACACTGCAGCCTGGGTGACAGAGTGAGAGCCTGTCTCAAAAAATAAATAAATAAAAAATAGATAGATAGATTGATTGATTGATATAGAGAGGATAAGTAAAAACAAAAACATGTATGTACTATAAAACCTGGGATGGGCTGGGCGTGGTGGCTTATGCCTATACTCCTAACACTTTGAGAGGCCAAGGCAGGCGAATCACTTGAGGTCAGGAGTTTGAGACCAACCTGGCCAACATAGTGTGAAACCCTGTCTCTACTAAAAATACATAAATAAATAAATAAATAAATAGCCAGGTGTGGTGGTGCATGCCTATAATCCTAGCTACTCAGGAGGCTGAGTTGGGAGGATTGCTTGAACCCAGGAGGTGGAGGTTGCAGTGAGCCGAGATCACACCACTGCACACTCCTCATAAGTGCCTGGAAGGGCAACACAGTGAGACTCCATCTCAAAAAAAAAAAAAAAAAAAAAAAAACAACCCTGGGATAGAGGCAGAGAAGAAAGGAAGTGGTGGGCAGTGTGGGTGGTCTGTCTTACCTTTCATAATGGAGAGCTGGTGCCTACTGTTTAGAATTCACAAACACAGAGTTCAAAGTGGTTGCCACTGTGGCTAGGGTAGGAGACATCTTTTTATTTCTCATTCTTCCATGTACTTCAAAAATTATCACGCCCTGTATATCAGTTAACTGTTAATGTAAGAAAATAACATGAGGTGGTGCAGTGGCAGCCGTGTGAATGCCGGTTGATCAGTCTTGCATTCAGGACTTGTGGAGAACCGCCCTGGGGGATGGTTTTGAGCAGAGCAGTTCCTCGTTCCCACAGGTGCCTCATTTTTCCCTGGTTCCATTCAGAACATCATTTACTGCCTAGAGCTAATTCCAGATCCTCCTCCCACCCGGGGCAGTTTATCAAAGGCAAAATAAAGAGGGTGGGCCGGGGACAGTGGCTCACACCTGTAATCCCAGCACCTTGGGAGGCCGAGGCAGGTGGATCACCTGAGGTCTGGAGTTCGAGACCAGCCTGGCCAACATGGTGAAACCCTGTCTCTACTAAAAATACAAAAAATTAGCTGGGCGCGGTGGTGCATGCCTGTAATCCCAGCTACTCAGGAGGCTGAGGCAGGAGAATTGCTTGAACCTGGGAGGCGGAGGTTACAGTGAGCTGTGATCCTGCTACTGCACTGCAGCCTGGGCGACAAGAGCAAAACTCCATCTCAAAAGAAACAAACAAATAAACAAATAAAGAAGGTGGGTGGGGGTGACTCCCTGAAAGTTTCTAGACGCCTCTTCTAAAGATAAAAACATAATGTGATGCCTGAAAGAGGGAAGAACTGCCCCAAAGAGTCTGGGATGTGGCTGAGGTGGCCACTTTGCCAGGAGCTGATGAGGGGGATGAAAGTAAGAACTGATTTTAATCTTCGCCTCTCGTACAACCCCTGGTGGGCACCGGATGATGCCCTGTTCCACTGATTTTAAGTTGCATTTTCCCCCCCGCATTTCCACATTCTCCAAGTGAGAACGTGTCCCGCAGTGTGAGGGTGAGCTGTCGTGATATAATTAGAGTCTCTTGGCCTTCTTGGTGGTCCATAAGATAGCGGCATGCCTTCCGATGGGGGACCCGGGAGTTGCTGAGTCGCAGCGCTTGCACAGCGATGGGCTTATTTGGTCTCTCCGGCACATGGCTCAGCCCTGCTCCGTGGCCGTGGGTGGCGTCCCCGGCTGACCCCCTGTCTTGCAGGTGTAGTCGCCGCCGCCAGCCGCCATGGGCAAACAGAACAGCAAGCTGCGGCCCGAGGTGCTGCAGGACCTGCGGGAGAACACGGAGTTCACCGACCACGAGCTGCAGGAGTGGTACAAGGGCTTCCTCAAGGACTGCCCCACCGGCCACCTGACCGTGGACGAGTTCAAGAAGATCTACGCCAACTTCTTCCCCTACGGCGACGCTTCCAAGTTCGCCGAGCACGTCTTCCGCACCTTCGACACCAACGGCGACGGCACCATCGACTTCCGGGAGTTCATCATTGCGCTGAGCGTGACCTCGCGGGGCAAGCTGGAGCAGAAGCTCAAGTGGGCCTTCAGCATGTACGACCTGGACGGCAACGGCTACATCAGCCGCAGCGAGATGCTGGAGATCGTGCAGGTACCGGCGCCCGAGGCCCCGGGTCTCACCGCGGGCCCAGGTCCCCTCCCAGCTCCCAGCCCCCAGCCCAGGGCTTTTTTTTTTTTTTTTTTTTTTAAGACAGGAATCTTGCTCTAGTGACTGGAGTGCAGTGGCACTATCTCAGCTCACTGCAACCTCTGCCTCCTGGGCTCAGGTGATTTTTCCGCTTCAGCCTCTTGAGCACCTCCATGCCCTGTTAATTTTTTTGGTATTTTTGATGGTAGAGAGAGGGTTTTGCCACATTATCCAGGCTGGTCTTGAACTCCTAGGCTCAAGCGATCTGCCCGCCTCAGCCTCCCAGAGTGCTAGAATGACAGGTGTGAGCCACCGTGCCTGGCCTCCCTGTGTTCTTTATGTTCACTCGACATTGGGTCTTTCTTGGCCAGGTTGCTACCTGGTGCACTTTGGAAAGTGAGCAGTTGTCACCTGATTGGGCAGACCCTTGCAAAGGGCAATGGTAAAAGCCAATGTTTATTGATCACTTGCTATACATCAGGGCCGGGTGGAGCACTTTGATCCGTTTTCATCTTCATAACCCAACAACGTGGGTCATTCTCTGCATTTTACAAAGTCTGAGACTCAAATAGATGAATTTCTAAAAATTATATTTTATATATATTTGGAGATGGAGTCTCACTTTGTCGCCCAGGCTGGAGTGCAGTGGCATGATCTCGGCTCACTGCAACCTCCACCTCCTGGGTTCAAGAGATTCTCCTGTCTCAGCCTCCCATGTAGCTGGGATTACAGGTATGTGCCACCGCAGCCAGCTAATTTTTGTATTTTTAGTAGAGACGAGGTTTCACCATGTTGGCCAGGCTAGTCTTAAACTCCTCACCTCAGTTGATCTGCCTTCAGCCTCCCAAAGTGCTAGGATTACAGGCATGGGCCACCGTGCCTGGCCAAGAATTGTATGATTGCTGGGCTCCTTGGCACTTGCAAGAGGTACCTGCCAAGACCTGGGGAAAGCCCTGGATTTGAGAACTCAACAGATAGCTTGTGATGTCCCCAGGAATGCGCAGTCATCAAGTAAAACTGAAGCATTAACGATCACGAGAATCAGCTCAGCACGGGAAAGACGTCACTTTAGGAGGCATCTCTTCACCTTCATGCCTATCAACAGCTCTAGCAGAAAGGCCATGTTTCAGAAGGAAACCAAGTTTTGTTCACTTGGCCAGGTGCCTAGGTATGCGAGAGAGAGTAGAGAGCAGAGCTGCCCCTCCCTGGCATTCCCCTGAGTGCCTCCCTGAGCCCAGGAGCATCCAATTCTAGAACTCATGGCCAGGCCTGTAATCCCAACACTTTGGGTGGCCGAGGCTGGAGGATCGCGTGAGCCCGGGAGTTTGAGACCAGCCTGGGCAATATAGTGAGACTCCATCTCTATAAAAAATTAAAAGAGTAGCAGGGCATAGTGGCATGCACCTGTAGTCCCAGCTACTTGGGAGGCTGAGATGGGAGGATTGCTTGAGCCCAGGAGTTCAAGGTGACAGTGAGCTGTGATTGCACTGCTGCATTCCAGCCTGGGTGACAGAGTGAGACCCTGCCTCCAAAAAGACCAAAAGCAAAATAAGAAAAAAATGGAACTCTTCAGAAGGGGTGGTCCCATGGTAGGGAACTTCAGGGGTGGGCCTCCAGTAGCGGGTATCAAATCCGTGAACTTCTGCAGCAGCAGTGGCCCGCCTCAGGAATGAGCGACCCATTTCCCACGTAGATGGTTTTCACACTGTCAGAGTAAATTAACATGGGCTCGGGGAACTCTGGTACTGTCGTCACTTTCTGGCTCTTAGCTTCATGCAGTGGCGGAAGTAAGAATTCTATTCCCCAGGAATCACCCGTCCTGTCCTGTGTGTTAACCCTTACCCTTTGCAAATAGGTGTGCCTGTCACTGGCCGTGCAGAGGCTTGGTCAGAACATCAAGGCACTGGTAGAACTGTTCCAAGCAGTGAGGAGCAGCCACTTCTGTCCAAACGGGACAGCCCCCAAACCAAGTCCCCAAACCCTGAAAGCCTTCCCCCGACGCCATCGATGGCTCCCTGGCCGGCTGGGTGGTGTTTCTCATGGGACACTTGGTTGCTACCTCTTTCTCACAATGAGAAAATGGTCTGTTGTCAGGAATGAGAATATCAAGCCACCTTCACGTGGAGTGCTCAGAAAATCCCACAGCAGTGCCACCACTCCCCACGCATGTCACTCTGCTCAGTGGCCACTCACCAGTCCCATCACCGTCTCCTCTGTACACCCACCAGCAGCACAGAGTCACATGCCCCAGGCTGGGCCACTCAGGCAGAGACACGCAGAGAGACCAGTGGCTAGACTGAGCCCTCGGCTGACAGTGCCCTAAACAGGCCATGGAGACCCCAGTGCTGCTGCTTCCTGTCCTGTCGGGGCTGGTGATGGGGCTTGCCCTGTGAGTTTCAGGGACTCAGTCTCTTTTAAACTGAGGGGTAACAGCCATGGAGTAAAATGCACACAGCTCAGCAGGCAGTGTGGGGAATTTCACACATCTGTGACCACCACTCTCCCTCAGCATTCCCAGCCCCCGACAGGGACACTTAGGCACCTTCCTGGCACTACCCACCCCCAGGCAGAGATACCAGCACCCTCACCACCCTCCCAGTAGAACCCTTCTGCCAGCTCTGCTCTTGAACTTCACATAGACACCCGTGAGGTTCACTAGGGAACATTCTCCCCACTGGGGAAGGGTCCCGAAGGCCACCGGGAGCCCCTGACCTCTCCGAGCCTTGTTGTGGGCTGGGCGGAAGCCCACCCTTGCTGCACCCGCCCAAGCCCCCGGGCCTCTGAGCACAGTGTCATTGCCCCCATCCGCAGGCCATCTACAAGATGGTGTCGTCTGTGATGAAGATGCCGGAGGATGAGTCCACCCCGGAGAAGCGCACAGACAAGATCTTCAGGCAGATGGACACCAACAATGACGGTAGTGCGGGGTGGGGGCGGGGCTGCATGTGTACGCCACGGTAGGGGCAAAACCATGTGGTTTGGGGCACCCCCTCCCCTCTGCAGCTTCTTGGTCTCCTGAGGGCCACCCCCGCCCGCCACCTGCCTGGCGCCTGCCATGCCCAGGGAAGAGCGGGATGCAGTCAGGGACACCCGTGCTGTATCCTGGCTCCTCTGTGCAGCTTTGTGATGCTGGGCATGTTGTGGCCTCTCTGAGCCACTGTCTCCCCACTTATAGAATCGGGCATACCCATATTCCCGTGGGTACAATGTTTAGGGGCAGGGAGGCAAGCATGCTGGTGGCCCTGAACCTGGAGGGGTTGAGATCAAAGGATCCCAGATGTTGGGGTCCTGGGGTGCTGGCCATGCCTCTCTTGCTGCCATCCTGAGAGAAGAAGCTGCCCAGATGGCCCCAGTGTCCAAGGGGAACTGTCAGGATGTACGCTGCCACCTTGTCCACCTACAGCAGCTCTGTGGAGACTCAGCCCCACTGCAGAAGTGCAAGTCTCACGATGGTGGGTGGCAGCAGTGGTGACAGGGCTGTGCCTCGAGTGCCCTCCTCTGCATTGGCTGTGAGGTGAGGGCGGCTGTGCGGCCCTCCCATTCTGCTCTTCTTGCCGGCTTTGTCAAGAGCAGCCACAGCACCAGGTTTGCTTTGCTTTTGAGCAATAAAGAAACACGACCTTAAGAAGAGAAAATACAGGCTGGGCGCAGTGGCTCACGCCTGTAATCCCAGCACTTTGGGAGGCCGAGGTGGGCAGATCACGAGGTCAGGAGATCGAGACCATCCTGGCTAACACGGTGAAACCCCGTCTCTGCTAAAAATACAAAAAAATTAGCCAGGCGTGGTGGCGGGCGCCTGTAGTCCCAGCTACTCGGGAGGCTGAGGCAGGAGAATGGTGTGAACCCGGGAGGCAGAGCTTGCAGTGAGCCGAGATCGCACCACTGCACTCCAGCCTGGGCGATAGAGTGAGACTCCATCTCAAAAAAATAAAGAGGAAATACTCCCTGGGTTGTGCTGGGGATTAAACGATAAGCTAATGCCCAAGAAGCTGCTCTGCGAAGTCTGGAGTGCAGCCCTCGGGTGAGTTAAGCATGGCCCCAGCGGGAGACGGGATGTGGGGGAGCTGTAAGCAGCAAAGAGCATTCCAGGCAGCCAGGTCACAGTTTCAAAACACACACACACAGAAAACAAGGCTGCCTGGTGCCTGGCGTTGCCTTTGGGCTGATGGGAAATGTGTGTTCCACCCTCCAGCCTAGCAGGGCACCTGCTGCCGCTCTCCTGAGGCTGTCCGCTCCTCGTGGGGATGGTGAATCCGGTCCCATGGGGTTGTGAGGTTTCAGCGAGATGATGCCTTAAAGCTTTTAGCAGGGCTTGCACTCCACAAATAATGGCTGTTGTTCCCAACTTCACAGTGTCCCTGGGGAAGCCACCCATGGTCACTCGCTGCCCGAATCTGCCTCCTGGCTTGGCCCTGCCCACCTCTTCAGAGGGCATCTTCTAGGTTGGTTGGGAATTTGGATGGCATGGTCGTTGCTAATGTGCCTGCTGGGATGGAGCACTTCCTCCTGTGAGCCCAGGGGACCCGCCTGTCCCTGGAGCTTGGGGCAAGGAGGGAAGAGTGATACCAGGAAGGTGGGGCTGCAGCCAGGGGCCAGAGTCAGTTCAGGGAGTGGTCCTCGGCCCTCAAAGCTCCTCCGGGGACTGCTCAGGAGTGATGGTGCCCTGGAGTTTGCCCCAACTTCCCTGGCCACCCTGGAAGGTGCCTGGCTGCTCCAGGCCTCTAGGCTGGGCTGATGGGTTTCTCCAGGACACAAGTATCATTAAAGCCACCCTCTCCTCAGCTTGTCAGGCCGCACATGTGGGACAGGCTGTGCTCAGCAACCCCCTCGCCTGCCCTGCCCTCCATCAGGAGGAGCCAGTGGAACCTTCGGAAGCTCCCAGCATCTCAGCAGCCCTCAGAGTCGTCCTGGGGCAGCTCTGGTTCTCCTGACTGGAGGTCCATCTGGGCTGGCCTGCTCTCTCTCGGCCTGAGACAGGAGGGCCTGGGGTCAGGAACTGGAAGTGGGGAGGCTGGGGCCGTGGACTCTGAGGCCCCACACCTAGCCAAGGAGATGACCACACAGCTGGCTGCCCTGAGTGGTCAGAGGTGGAGGGTGGGGAGCCACTCTCTCCATTGGCAGAGGTTCCTGGGGACTGTCTGCTGAGGGCCTGGCTGTCCCTCCCTCTCCCTACCCACCCCTTAGCCCGGGCATTGTTTGGGCTCTCTTGGGGCCAGCAGGCTGCCCAGGCCCCAGAGGCATCAAGTTCGTGCCCTGGAAGAAGCCAGCCTGCCCAAGCCTGGGCCAGAGTCCCATGAGGACAGGTGTCCCTGCCTGCCAGTGGGCTGGAGGGGCTGAATTCCCAGCAGGGCCCTACTGTGCAGGGGCATCCTCCGTCCTGGTGCTGGTCTGAGTCCTCAAATGCATCCTCCCAGGTGCCTTTGAGATGGGTGTTCCCATTATCCCACCTTCGAGACGAAGATCCTGAGACCTGGAAACGTTGGTGGCTTGCCATGCGCCAGAGCCGAGAGCCCCTCCTGCATGCCTTCCCCTGTGCTGGGCCTGGCTGCATGCGTCTGTGTTGCCTGCACAGACATTTTGCAGGGTGCCCTAGTGATTCCAGCTGACAGCACAGAGCCTCAAACAGACACATGGAGGGGCTGCCCCAGGACCAGGCCGCCAGGACGCAGCCAACCTCAAACCTCATCCTTCCCCACCAGCTGGAGCCAGAGGGACCGCCTCCTGCCCTTGAGGCCATGTCTGAACGGGCAGAATCCTTACAGCCTATCCTGCTTGTGGACTAGCAGAGCCAGGGCTATAGTGACCACAGTGTGAGCTCATTGACAGCGGTTATGGGATGGGGAGCGGAGGGTCAGAAAACCTCACCCCACCCAGCTCAGCCGATCAGCCTTACGGAGCCCTGCCCTAGGCCACGAGCCTCCAGAGGCCACTCAGCCCAGTGTGGAGTCACCGAGTCTGTGTCCTGGGAGAGGGAATATGTTGTCACCAGCATTGGATGCGGAGGATGAGGGGGCAGCTGATTCCTTAGCACGACCAATCTTTTTCTAGGTTTTCCTCTCACCGCATGGGGCCAAAACAGTACAGAGCATGAGTTTGGTACCCCAAGCCTGAGCAGCGGGTCTACGCTGATGCCAGGGAGGATCCGGACCGTGCTTCCGGGGGCCCCCAACCAGCATGGCCTTCTCAGCCTGGATTCTGTATGGGTTAGAGGCAAATGCTTCATTTTTCTGCACAGTGTACACGTTCCTTAATAAGCGAAGTGTGGGGTGATTTCTAAAAGGATTTAAATGGCCCTCATCAGCCACGTCCTGCTGAGCTTGCTGGGTAAGCCCTTTGAGGTACCTGATGTATTGCAGGGAGCAGGGAAAGGAAAAAGGATTTTTTTTCAGAAATGCCTGTAAAGTGAATGGAGACTAGACACCGTCCAGCTTCAAGAAGGCTCAGGACTTTCAACAAAGGGAGCATACCTGACCTGAGAGCTGTCCCCATCCTCTCTGGAAGCATAAAGAACAGTGAGCACTGGCTAATCCCATTGTCTCTGGTCCCCTGCAGGCAAACTGTCCTTGGAAGAATTCATCAGAGGTGCCAAGAGCGACCCCTCCATCGTCCGCCTGCTGCAGTGCGACCCCAGCAGTGCCAGTCAGTTCTGAGCGAGCGGCCCCTGGACAGTTGCAGAGAAACACAGGCTTGTCGTGCCGTTTAAGCTTTGCTTGCAAGAGTGGATGCCCCGCAATCGTTCCTGCTCTCCCGGGCCCCGGGCCTGGGGCATGCGTTGCACCTGCCCAGCCCGGTGGCTGCGCCTCCCTCCTCCACCTGACCAACGCGACATTCCTCCCCTCACGCCTGGCCCGGTCCCTTCCAGGGCAACTCCCAGGGATGTGGTGACATGCAGGGTTCAAGTGTTCTTGGTTCCAGGCACCTCCCGGCTCACGGGGAGCTCAGAGGTCCATGCCGAGGAGACCAGGCAGGACCTCCCGAGGCTGCGCCCCGGCCGGCCCATGCGTTTTGTGATCCCAAGTGACTCTGTGGGAAGGGTGGGGACGAGGCGTCGGGAGGGTATACAGGGAGCCCCTCCCGTGCATGGCTGCCCCCCCGTTCATTTTCTCCACCACAGCCGCTTGCACGTATAGATACTGTGGTCCCCTTTCTTTTAATATATAAATTATGTATGGTGAAGTGGAGTGTATTGTGTAGGTCCCGTATTTAATGCCTCTGACTGCCTTTGAAGCGCAGCCCTCTGTGGCCCGCAGCCCCCTGAGCCTGGCTGTTGTGTGGTATTTATGCTCTCTTTGTCTGCCTGTTTCTAAGGAAATGCATGTGTGCCCTGAGCCGTGATGATCCTCCCATCCGTGTTGTGAGCACAGGCATTTGTGTCTGGTCTGTCCTCCCTGTTGATTGGTCTGGCATTTCCGGTATTAAAATGATAAAATAAATGGCATTTTCTGAGTTTTGCGTCTGCCCGCGGGAGCCCCCATTCCTCAGGCCGTGGCCCCTGCACTCTCCAGGCAAGGCGGGTGTGCTGCGTGCCACCGCTGTTGGTAAATCCGGCCCCTCTTACGTCCCTCCAGCTGTCCCCGCGTTTATAAATCTTGCACAGCCTGTTCTTCAATATCTGCCTAATGCCAAGAAATACTCGTGGAAATAAACGATGACTGTTCTTGGCAGATCTGACGGTCAGGCTTCTGCCTCCCCCCAGCCCTTCCCTCTCCTTCTCCTTCCACGGTTTCAGGTCGTAGGAAAGCCACATTCCAAGAGAGGACGGGCATAGCCAAGGGTGCAGTCAGGCTGGACCCAGAGGTGGCAGGCCTGGTTCTCCATCCAGCCTTCGCCGCTGCCGTCAGTGCTTCTGGTCCCAGCAGCAGAAGGCCCAGCTGAAGAAGTGGGGGTTGGTTGGTCTCGCCTGCCAAGGGATCCAAAGGCAGCATCGCTGGGGATCCCCAGGCATCAGCTTGTCTTTTTTTTTTTCTTTTTTTAAGAGAGAGTGTCTCTCTATGTTGCCCAGGCTGGCCTCAACCTCCTGGGCTCCAGCAATCCTTTCGCATCAGCCTCCTGAGTAGCTGGGACCTCGGGTGAACAGCACTGCGCCTCCTAATCACAGTCAGCTTTTCACCTCAGGCTTGTCTTCCTGGGGTGCCTACAACTGCTGTTGTGGTTCTGGGCAGTACAGCTGACATGGGAGCATCAAGAGGCAGGGAGAGAAGCCTCTGTCCTCCCACTGAGGGACAGGAAAACCCTCCAGAATCTGCCCACCACCCCGTCCCCACCAGCCCCACATCTCATGGCTGAAACCATGGCCTGTGTTCACAAGATGACCATGTCATGGCCACGGCTGGCTTACGCTGGTCAAGATGGCCCTTGGCCAAGGTGGCATCTGCCTCCCCCAGAGGGCATAGGGTTGGGAAGGGGTGAGTGGAATGGAGGTTCTATTACCAGGACGGGCACTACGGCGTCTGCCCACCTGCCTGCTGCTGTCGGCTCCTCTGTGCCTCAGTGTCTTCACTGTAGGGGATGGGGGGAGCTGGGTGGCTCAAGGTCACATATGCAAAGCGCATGGCTTGGAACCTGCCTCCCAGCAGGCCTTCAGCAACAGCAGCTAATTTGTTGATTTTAGTCATTTTAATATTTTTTAAGACTCCATGTCTCTTTTAATAGAAATGGTGAGTCTGTTTGCCAAGTGCCTTCTGAGTCAATGGCACTGCTAGAGCTATTTCATAGTAAAACTCTCCATGCACCCAGAGCCACCAAGCCTTGATGGGGGAACCAGGTGGGGTGCGAGATGGAGGCCAGGTGCCCTGGGCAGATCTAGCTTGCTACAAAGAGGCAAGACGGTGCCTTTGGCAACACTGCCTCACCTGGAAGAACAGCCAGTGAACGGCTTGAATTTTATAAACATTTAACTGGGACTGGCAAAGGTTAAATCAAGAGTGCTTGTTGTGGGGAGGGCTCACTTATGATGGGGACAGAGTCCAACAGAAACAGATGGGAGTGACCACTACATTAGTCAGGGTTCTCCAGGAACAGAACTGATAGGAGACATGCATGGATGGGAGGGGTGGGTGGATGGATGGGTGGGTGGGTGGGTGGATGGATGGATGGATGGATGTATGGATGAGTGGGTGAGGGGATGGGTGGGTGAATGGATGGGTGGGTGGATGCATAGACAGGTGGATGCATGGATGGGTGGATGGATGGCTGGGTGGATGGGTTGGTGAATGGGTGGGTCGGTGGGTGGATCGATAGGTGGATGGGTGGGTCGATGGATGGGTCGGTGGGTAGATGGATGGATGGGAGTATGGGTGGATGGGTGGGTGGGTGGATGGGTCCCTAGGTGGATCGGTTGATGGATGAATGGGTGGCTGGATGGATGGATGGATGGGTGGATGGATGGTTGGGTGGGTGGGTGGATGGATGGATGGGTGGATGGGTGGGTGAATGGTTGGGTGGGTGGGTGGATGCATGCATGGGTGGGTGGGTGGGTGGGTGGATGGATGGATGGATGGATGGGTGAATGGTTGGGTGGGTGGGTAGATGCATGGATGGGTTGGTGGGTGGGTGGCTGGATGGATGGGTGGATGGGTGGGCAGGTGGGTGGATGTATGTATGTATGGATGGGTGGGTGATTGGTTGGATGGGAGGGTGGATGCATGGATGGGTGGGCGGGTGGGTGGATGGATGGATGGATGGATGGATGGATGGATGGATGAATGGGTAGGCGAATGGATGGTTAGATAGATGTATTTATCATAAGGAATTGGCTTATACGTGATTATGGAGGCTGAGAGGTCCCAAGGAGACAAGCAGCCCTGTCCCCTGTAGACAGAGGTCAGCAAGCTGGGGACCCAGGAGAGCTAATGGTGTAGTTCCAGTCTGAATCTTAAGGGAGGAGGAGGCCAATGTCCCAGCTCAAGACTGTGAGGCAAAGAACAAATTCTCAGGCTTTTGTCCTATTCAGGCCTTCAGCTGAGTGGATGAGGACCCCCACATTGGGGAGGGGGATCTGCTTTACCCCACCTGGTTCCCCCATTGGTCACCAGTTCCAATGTCAAATTCATCCAAAAGCACCCTCACAGGCACACCCAAAATAATCGGTTTGCCCAAATGTCTGGGTACCCCCTGGCCCAGTCATGTTGACACATAAAATTAACCATTATAACCACCTCTGCTCAGATATGGAGGAGGTAGATATGGGGATCCTAGTGGACCCTGCCCTACAAGGAGCTCACAGAAGCCAGTATGATTTGTCCAGGAGTCCAGTGCTCTCTGGGAAGGCAGGGAATTGAACCCCAAAGATGGTGTCCCTGTGCCAAGAAGCCCAGCCTATCAGAGGAGGAAAGAACCCAGAAGTGAACCCAAAACTGTCGTCCATGCCACCCACCCAGCAGGAGGCCTCCTCAGTCTCTTCCTTTGTCCGGGATCAGGATCTTTCAGGGCGGGTTGTTAGAAAGTGTCTCGGCTGGGTGCGGTGGCTCACGCCTGTAATCACAGCACTTTGGGAGGCCAAAGCGGGTGGATCATGAGGTCAGGAAATCGAGACCATTCTGGCTAACACGGTGAAACCCCGTCTCTACTAAAAATATAAAAAATTAGCCGGGCATGGTGGTGGGCGCCTGTAGTCCCAGCTACTCAGGAGGCTGAGGCAGGAGAATGGCGTAAACCCAGAAGTCGGAGGTTGCAGTGAGCCGAGACGGTGCCACTGCACTGTAGCCTGGGTGACAGAGACTCTGTCTCAAAAAAAAAAAAAAAAAGAAAGAAAGTGTCTCCACCTGTCCTTCCCTGGTAATTTGCAGTACTGGCCCTGGGCCTGCTTCCTCTTCCTCCAACCACCTCCTTCTGCAAGCTTCTCTCTTGTCCTGCCTTCTCCTTGCCCCAGGGGATCCCAGACCCTTTGCCATCCTGCACGGGCACTCCAAGTTGTTAAAGTTCCTTGGGAGTTGCATACAAGTGTCCCTTATCCTATAGACAGATAGAAGATCTAATCATGTACCTGCATAAGCAAGGCTTATGTGGGTGGACTCAACAGAAACTCTGGAAAATGGCTCCGGTGGCTCCATGGTCCCATCCACCAGCTGTCCTGACACTCACTGCATGGTGTCCCATGCTCACTGAGTAAATACAGGGTAATGGGAACAACTCCTGAGACAGGAAAATGTTTAGACTCGAAGGAAGGAAGCCCTGGAGTGTGGAGGGAAGGGTGGCAGTATGAGGTGTTAGTCCCAAGACAGTTCATCTAGTCAGGCCACGATGAACCCCTAGTAGGGCAAGACTGTCACCTCCCTTACTCTGAACCTTAGGCCTTAATTAATACAGCCCCAGGCATTTTCTGCTTGGGTAGACTGGCCTCCCGCGTGGGAACCAGCATTGAGCTAGCAAAACATTAGCTCCCATTTATCAAGGGTTTCCACGTACAGACACTGTTTAAAACTTTAAACGTCTAATTTAACCCTCCCATCAACCCTGCAATGTGGTATCACTACCACATTATACAGATTGATAATGCTGGTTTAAGAGAAGTTAAGTAACTAGCCTGAAATCCTTAGCAAGAGGTGGCAGAATCAGGAATTGAAAGAAGGATCAGCTCCCAAGTCCGAGGTGCGTCTTCTCCCGATTCCAGAAAGGTCTTCCAGTAGCTGGGCTGGAGCCGGGTCCATGTTTCCTTGCCAGCGGCCTCCTTCAGGGCCCCTGGTGTCTAGAGAAATGAAGGAGTTTCTCCCTGGGTCCCTGAACAAGACTTAAACGCACTGTATTTGTGGCACCCAGGCCTGACTCCCTCCCCACCCCGTGCCAGGTCACGCCCTAGTGGAGAAGGGGGCGCGCCTCCCCACCACTGCCTGAGGGGCGCCCTCCTGAGCGCCCGTTTCTCAGGGCGGGGCACTGGACTCCGAATGGAACCCTCCCCTCCTTGCCGGGCTTAGGCAGGTACGTCATTAGATCTTCTATCTGCCTCTTGAGATCAGGGGTGCGCATGAGCAGGGACCCAAAACGGGGGTCCAGTTAGGATCACAGCCCCCCAAGAGGAGACAGAACCCACAGGACCTTCAGGCTTCTGAGAGGGACCTCGTGGGCCCCGGAAAAGGTATTTAGAAAAACAGGAGTTCGGCCTTGGGTTCATCCGTGGCGTGGCCTTCCCCCAGCCGCCTTGCCCTGGGCTGGGCGCCGTTGGGAATCAAACCCACACGCCTGGGGAGCTGCCAGCCAGCGGGAGCCTCGGCCGTCGGGGAACAGACTCCGGCTTGGGGCAGCCTGGCAGCCCTGAAAGGAACAAGAAGAAAATGGAGCTGTGGGGCAGGGGCGGGGCTCGGCTCGAGAGGCAAGTGGTCCCGCGCTAGTCCCACCTGTCACCAGCCACCCAGTCCTGCCGCTCTGACCCCGCCACTGCGGCGCAGGGGCCTGGTGCCCGCTGGTCCTGGGCTCCGGCTCCGGGTCGGCAGCGATGTATCCCGGCCCAGAGTGGGGCGGGGTAGGGCAGGGCCAAGGTCAGTTTCCTTTAAGCTGGGCACGCCCTCTCCTTGGCTTGGGGCTCCCTTACTGTGGCCTGGGAAGAGGTCTCAGAGGAGAAGGGGTGATGCTGGAGACACGGTGGCGAAGGAGCACTGCGGCCTGGGCCCCGGGGGGCAGCTGTTTATCCAGCAAACACCTCCCCAGGGCCAGCGCGGGGCATGGCACAGCAGGGCACTGCCGGGGCGCAGGAGCTGCGGGGGCGGGTACAGCCTGCCTGGGGCAGGAGGCTGGGGAGGGTGGGAGGGAGCTCGGGAGGAGGGGTGACTGAGGCCAGCGGGGGCGGGCGGGGCGGCAGCCCCTGGAGGGCCCCTGGAAGGCCTCAGCTCCTCCGGCTCTTCCCAGCGGGCTGTGTGACTGTACCATGGGGCCCCGACCTGAAGGGGCCACCTGCCTCCTGCAGTTCACGGGAAGGCAGACCCTGGCCCGCCCTGGAGCCACCTGCCCACGGCCTCTTCCAGCTGCAGCCAGGCCCTCCGGGCTCGAGCGGGCTCATCCACTAGGTGTGTGTGTGTGCGTCTGTGTGTTGTCTTGGGTGTGTGTGTGGCTGGGGCATGTGGTCTTAGTGTGTGCTGTGGATGTGTGTGGTGTGTTTGGGTGTGTGGGAATGGTGTGGGGATGGTGTGACTTTGTGTGTGATGTCGAGGTGTGTGGTGTGTTTGCATGTGTGGTGGTGTGTGGGCATGGTGTGACCGTGTGTGCGATGTGTATGTGTGTGGTATGTTTGCGTGTGTGGTGGTGTGTGGGGCATGGTGTGACTTTGTGTGATGTGGATGTGTGTGGTGTATTTGCGTGTGTAGTGGTGTGTGAGGGATGGTGTGACTGTGTGTGTGCTGTGGATGTGTGTGGTATGTTTGCGTGTGTGGTGGTGTGTGGGGCATGGTGTAACTATGTGTACATGTGTGTGTTGTGGATGCATGTGTGTCTGTGTGTGTCATGGTGTGTGGGGCATGGTGTAACTGTGTATGCTGTGGATGTGTGTGGTGGTGTGTGCTGTGTGTGAGTGGCATTGCGTGTGCTGTGAATGTGTGTGGTGGTGTGTACTGTACTGTGTGTGTGTGTGTGTGTGTGTGTGTGGCATTGCGTGTGCTGTGGTGGACCCGAGTCCACAGGTGGGTGGCTTCTGGAGTGCCACATGAGGCTGTTGAGTGGCAGCCCTGACAGCTCATTCCAGGAGGGCCAGGTGGGGTGCCTGTCTCCGTGGCCTGAGAGGCTGGGCCTGGGCTCTGGGCACCCTGCTCCCCTTCCTGGCCCACCTGGGCCCACAGTGGCCTCCCTCCACACTGAGCTTCCCTGCACCAGGCCTGTCCTAGGCCTCCATGTCCCCTCCTCCAGAGGTCGCCTTCGGTGACCTCATCAAATTACTCTGGTCGTCTCCACCCTGAAGCCCTGCGAGGCTGCTCAGGAATGAGTGGGGATGAATGAATGAAGGGAGGGTCAGCAGGTGGCTCTGCTCTGTCTTCACGCAGCTGGAACCGCATGAGCTTATGCCCTGGACACACACTGAGACCCAGGCCAAGTCCCAGCTCCACCTCGAATGAGCCGCCTGGCACTGGACAAGCGCTGTGTCTTCATCTGTAAACCATGTGGTCAGGGAACCAGGGGCAGAGGGAGGGGCTGCAGGGCCTTGAGGGGAATGGCAAGGGTCCTCAGGGGCAGGACCTGACCTCCAGGTTCCTGGGGACCTCCGAAGGTGGGGGCCCCAGGGTTAGGGTCAGGCACCCTGGCAGGGATGGCAGAGCATGGGAGCCATGTGTGCGGGTGTCTTGTGGGGTGTGTGTGAGGCTGGGGCATGTGGTCTTAGTGTGCGCTGTGGATGTGTGTGGTGTGTTTGCATGTGTGGTAGTGTGTGGGGGATGGGGAGGGCGGCACAGGCAGCCTCAGGTGGGCTCTGCCTCTGGCTCAGGGACAGGTGCCAGGCACCAGCCCCACAGGAGGGGTGGCGGGGGGAGATCTGCCCTCCGCCCACTCAGCCTATCATGGGGGGTGGTCAGGGGAGGCCGGGTGGGGTCACCAGTCGCTGGTGGGCACAGGGGAGGATTGGGAACACCTCAGAGGGGATTGGGGCCACTTCGGGGACGGGCAGGGGGACAGGCAGGACCAAGGCTGCAGGGCCCCACCAGCTGTACACAGGGCTGGTTCTACAACATGGGGCAGGGGTGCAGGGGCTGGGCTGGGGGCTTCACCTGGGGGGCCTCAGGAAGTGTTTTGGGGGTCAGGGGAGTGGTCTGGTCGGGGACTGGGCTGCCTGGTGCCCCTTCCTCAAAGCCCCCGGGACCCTGGAGTGGCTGAGTCGGGAGCTCTGGATCGAGGCCACGCTCCAGTCTCACAGCCCTGTGGCTGTCAAGGGCCCCCTGCGATAGTGGAGCTATCAGTGTTTGCCCAGTGGTCGAGTGATTTGACTGCCTTTTCCTGGCCCCGACCGCGCTGCCACCGCGGGGTGCTGCTGCCCCCTGGTGTCCATAGCTAGGAGGGCCATCCAGGGCTTGGGTGTGCGGGTTCCAGCTGGGCCTGCTTTCGAGAAAAGCTTTCTGTCCTGGGCGGCATTTGATGACAGAGGAGGATGCTGAGGCCCAGAGGAGCCCCTGACTTGTGGTGGGCCAAACGGCACACAAAAGCTGAGGCCAGGCTCCCGGTACCCAGGACCAGAGGCCTTATTGCCAGATAGGAATGCCAGATACAATACAGGGCACCCAGTTACACTTGAATTTCAGATCAACGAGAAGCAATTTTGCAGCTGACATATGTCCCGTGCAGTATCTTATCTTTGTGCTAAGTCTGGCAACCCTCCTTGAGAAGCCAGGGAGTGGGGCCTGCACAGCCCTGGGGCGGGTGAGAAGCTGGAAGGGCCAGGCCTTCTGACAGGCACCCCCAGGGCCAGGTGCATGACCCTCCTGGCGGAACCACCCAGGCCCAGACTGACCCTCGCCCAGCAGGGCACCAGGTCTCCTCCCCTGCGGAGCCACCCCCGAGCTGGCCCAGCCTGGAGACCCCCGCTCCCCAGCTCACAAGCTCACGGGCCTGAGCTCCACAAGTCACCTGACTGAGCTCCACCTAGGTAACCCCTGGCCAGTGGCAGAGCACGCCTGGTCACAGCCCTCTCCAGCCTGGAGTCAGTGCTGCATGTGGATAAAATTCTCCGAACTCCCAACAGCAGCAAGAATTCCGGAGGCGCTTCCACTCTGTGCCCTGCATTCGGGCCTTCACCAATCCTCCCTTGTAGCTGCCCTGCCGTGGGTGGGGGGCACCAGCTCAACCCCCACTCAGAAGGAGGCGGCCGTGGGGACCCCTGTGCCTAGTGAGGCATAGGGCCTGGGTCTGGCTAGTGCCTAGTGAGGTGTGGGGCCTGGGTCCAGCTTCGTCTGTCCAGCTCCAGCCGAAGCTGAAGCCACAGCAGGAATGCAGGGCCAGGTGCCACCGTCTGTGGTATTCCGGAGCCATGGGTGCTCGGGGCTGCCTCTGCCACCCTGGCAGGGAATAGGATTGGCAGAGAGCAGGGGCCGGGAACACGTTGCCCTTGGTGAGAGAAGGATGCCGCATTCTAGTCATGGTCATTGTTCAGCAAGAGCCCAGGAGCAGAAGCTGGCTGGCGAGGCAGGGCCCTGAGGACACCCAGGCCCTCCTTCTAACTTACAGACTCGCCTTGGACGAGTCACTTGGCCTCTCTGGGCTTCATCCCATCTGTAAAAAACAAGAACTGGGAGAACTCTGCAAAGCCTTTGCTTCACATGACGTCCTACCTTGAAACCCGATGGGTGAGATTGGGTGAGGCGGAGAAGGCAGAGCCCCCCACTTGCCCCCCTCACCCCCAGGCACTGAGGCTTCTCGGGAATCCCTGGTGGGGACAGAGCCCGATTTGAAATGGGTCGACTCTTGCCTTCAGGGGCAGTTTTCCAGCCGGGCCCAGAGATGGTGCAAAGCAAACCCCCAGATCCAGCATGGGGGAGGGCCCATGTCAAAGAGGGTACAGGGTGACAGCCAGAAAACCCCCTAAGCGGAAGGGGCTAGCCAGCCACTTCGAGTCACTTAGGAAAATCTAGTAAGGAGGGAACCTGCGAAGAGATGTGTGGTCCCAGTAGCAGAGGTCACTGCTGGGGTGTGACGAGCACATGACTTCACAAGACAAGCCGAGTGAGGCCCGGGAAGGGGCAGGCCCTACCCACGAGAAAGTGCAAAGTGGGCATCAGCCAGGGCTCAAGAGGGCCGCAGGGGGCACACGTGGCTTGCTCTGCCCACCGGCTTCTGGCCTGCCCTTGGTTGCTGCAGGCTATCTGTGAGGGGCAGTGCCTGGCCCTGACACTGTCGGGGAGGGAGGGGTTGACCACCTGCTGATGTGCCAGGAATGTTCCCATCTTTGGCTTCTGATGGGTCTGCTGCCTTCGTCGGCCTCATGAGCTGGGTTGGCATGAGCCAGCCCTCCTGGACCCTGCAAAGGTGAGGACCAGGTCGTGAGCAACTCTACCATGTCCCCCTGAGCCAGTCCACTGCCCAAGCCACCCTCCAGCTGCTTAACAGCATGTTCCCAGGGTAGGGAAACACCGAATGAATGCTGGGGTCCTCTGACCTGGCTTGAATGCTGCCTCACTATCTGCGTGACTTGAGTTCATCTCTGAGTTTATGTCTTCACGCGGGAAACCTATTTTACAATCCTCGTAAAGTCAGTAATACATTCCAATATCAAAAGCGCAGTGTGGAGCCAGTCCCCACTCTCGGCCCAGGCCTCTGGTTCTTCTGCCTAGAGGCAACCTCTGTTACCCGTTTCTTACAAGCTCTTCCAGAAATATGCCATGCATATGCAAGTATGTATGTACACACACAGTTTGTTGGGGTTTGATTTTGCTTTTTACACACACAGTAGCATACTACACGTGCCCCTTGCTTTGCTATCCTCACTGAATCTAGCTTGGAGCTTGTTCCTTATCAGTACTGATGAATCTGCTTCATTCCTTAACCACTGTATATCCCGTTCCATTGACAATTTCATCAGTACCTGCTTGTGTACAAGAGATTGTTTACAAATGATGCCACAATGAATAATTTTAGAAGAGTATCATCAGAGAAATTCTTAGAACTGCTGGGTCAAAGATAATGTGGATTATTGATATTATCAAGTTCCCTCCAAAGAGACTGTTGCTCTAATTTACTTTTCCGCCCAGTGCTTGAGCACACCTGCTCACCCCGCGAGCTGGGGAACTCTTGTCTTTGCCAATCTGATAGGTGAGAAATAGATTCTCATAGTTTTACTGTGTGTTTCCTTTGGTTGACAAATGTCTTCATGTTCAAAAAGTTTACTGTTGGCTGGGCGTGGTGGCTCATGCTTATAATCCCTGCACTTTGGGAGGCAGAGACGGGTGGATCACTTGAGACCAGGAGTTCAAGGCCAGCCTGGCCAACATGGTGAAACCGTCTCTACTACAAATACAAAAATTAGCCCGGTGTGGTGGCATGCACCTGTAGTCCTAGCTACTCAGGGGGCTGAGGCAGAAGAATCGTTTGAACCCGGGAGACAGAGGTTACAGTGAGCTGAGATGGTGCCACTGCATTCCAGCCTGGGTGAGAGTGAGACTCTGCCTACCAAAAAAAAAAAAACTTTACTGTGAGCCAAGTTTATGCCTTGCCCACTTTCTATTGCATAGTTACTTTATTGATTTGTTGTTTTTAATATGAAGAAAATTAGTCCTTTTCACGGGCATTGTAGCCGTTGGTCCCTTGCCTTTTGACTTTGTTTCCAGTAGGTTTATGGTCTAATCTGTTATATTTAAAACTTTCATCTATCTGGAATGTATTTTGGAGCAGGAGTTGGGGATACTTTTATGTCTTCCAGATGGTTCTCCAGTTGCTCCAACACTACTCCATCCCCAGAGTCTGGGGAAAGTGGTCAGGGGGCAATAATGAGTATTTTTAAGAAGCACCCTAAGTGATTCTAATGCACTCTGGCTGCCTTTACCTTTGCCCAATAGTTCAATTCCCCTGAATCCCCTCTCCCGGGGGCCAGCACGCCAGGAAGAAATTCACAAGTGGTCTTGGTGGAGCTGTATTCACTTCAAGTCACGAGTCTAGAAATGCCCAGTATCTGTGCACGACCAGACAGCACCATCTTTAAAAATGACGTGGAGATACCCAAATGCAAAGCAGGACTTAAGCCTCCTGGAGGACGGTGCCTGGTGTCGACACAGCCCCGGCTACCGTCTGGCTGTCCTCGTTCTCTGGTCTCTCCTGCCAAATTCGCCTGCCTGCTCCCATGTACAAGGGCCAAGGAAGATCACTTGATCAAGCCTGGCCACATCATTTCACAGACCCAAGTCTGGCTTTGTTGGGGCCTGTAAGTGGCTACGCCAAGCTGTGGTCAGAAGCGAGGTTTCAGGGGCCACTCACGTGTAGCACGGGATTACCTGCGGCTGTTTCTGTCCCCACTGGCACTACTGACCGTTGTTGGATTACATTTTCCCTAACTGGCTGAAAGAGCATTGTTTCCAAAGCCTTAGTTGATTTTGAGTGGAATACCCCCCTTTTCAGTCCAAGCTCACCACTGCCACTAAGCGATCTCGGGAATTTCTTCCTTTTTAAGATGGAAGACCTAATTTACCAAGATTCTAGGCTTGGTGTCTAGCTCAAATTTCTTGGCACACAGTACATACTCAGTGCCAACTCTCTTAACATAGTGGGTCCCGGATCCCAGGGAACTGCCCTTGTTGGGGAGCTCAGAGTTACCCAAACACACCAGCATCCTACTTCTCAGGCTCCCGGAAGGTAGGGCTGTGGACTACAGCACTCCTTCCCGCCCTCCCCCTCCAGTCAGAACCAACCTCTGGCTCCTGAAAAAATCTTTCATGTTTTGGCAACCCTGGCCCAGGGAGACCAGAGTTGGTGATAAGCCAAGCCCTGAGCTAACTCGGCAGCCACATGAGGGCTCCTGGCTTCTCTGGACTCAGGGTTCAGGGGAAGGTGATGCTTTTGAGAAAGGAAGTCACTCTCTTCAGCTTTGGTAAATGGGTGACAGCATCGGCTTGACCTTCCCACCCCGGGAGGAGCCACAGCCTTCCTCCCTACACATTTGCTCTCTTCCTGTCCCCCTCATGAGGCTGGTGGGGACTCCAAGATGCTCCCACTGCCTGGTGGCTCTGACGTGTCCTTCCCTCCTCCTGCAGCTCCAGCGTTACCCGTAAGACATTGCCACAATGGGGGTTAAGGAGCATGAGAGCCTGCCACACTTTGGGGGAGAGCGGGGGTACACGTTGAGTAAAAGAACACACAAGGCCAGTGGTCATGGTCAGACAAGATGGTGAAGATACACAACATGGTAGGGACTTGCTGTTGCTGAATTTATTAAAATAAGCTGACTGCCAAATGTGGTACCGTATACATTCCTAACTTCTCACAGGCATGAAGGTGGGAGGGGACACGGATGGTCTCTGCAGGCCAGGCTCAAAGGGCCTCCCACACCTTCCCTGGGCACTGGCCTGGACAGGACAGGTCCGTCAGACTTAAGTAGGTCCCACCACCAGAGGCTCTGGACAAGGAGTTTGCAGCCAACTCTGGACATGTGGGGTGGGCTGAGCAGATGTGCACCGTCCACATGGGAGGATGGGGCTTCCGTCTCACCTGTCCTCCTACCTGTGTGTGGGTGGACCCACTCATTGTTCTCTGAGAATCAGAGCGAGCTATACGGGATTCGTGAACTGTCTGGAATGAACACACCATAAAAACGTCCCAATGCCTAATTATTTCAAGATACTTTATTTTAAAAACAGGTCACAACACTAAGCTTTTGGCCCATTCTGCCATTGTACAAGCTACAAATGCTTGTTCAGCAGCTGAGGGGCACTCTTGAGTAGCGTGTCTGAAGAGTGAATAAAAATCCATATAAAACAAATATTCAAATAGTTTCCATAGGAACACAGATAAGTGTGACCCATATCCTAGTCTTCCATATGGCTGCATCATGGCGACCCTACTCTTACAAAGACATTTCAAAACTAGCAGTAATTAAGTTACATGGTCCCCCCAAATCCCTTAATTCAAGCTAAACTTGCAGTTAACAGCTACCAGAGTGCTATCTACACATTAATACTAGCCGAAGCACAGGCTGCTCTGTGGCGTTTCATCCCACTCTCCCAGGCACAAGACACAGGCAGGGTGCTGGCATCCTGTTCCTCTACTTCGGGTGGGAAGTCGGGGTTCTGGAATTGCTGCATGAGTTGCCTGAGAAAGAAAAAGTGGCATATTAAAAACCCTGACTCACTCCTAACTGGGCATGAGAGTATTTACTTCCCATCAGGAAACAATTCAATGTATTTTTTTTTTTTCTGAGACAGGGTCTTTCTCTGTTACTCAGGCTGGAATACAATGGTGCTATCATAGCTCACCGCAGCCTCAACCTCCCAGGCTCAAGCAAACCTCTCACCTTAGCCAAGCAGCTGGGACTACAGGCGCCCACTACCATGGCCAACTAATTTTTTAATTTTTTGTAGAGACAGGGTCTCACTATGTTGCCCAGGCTCGAACTCCTGGGCTCAAGTGATCCTTCTGCCTTGGCCTCCCAATGTGTTGTGATTTCAGGTGTGAGCCAGCACACCTGGCCAATTCAATGTATTTCTAAAGCAAGCGTTTCTTCAGTCACCGTTTTGGTAATAAGGAAACCACAAGACACATGGCATGAACTTAAATATATTCCAATTACATAGAAATACACTCATCAGTCTTTTCTAAAACTTTTCTTAGGAAAAATATCCATATATATTTAATCTTAGGCAAGACAATTTCTTATTCGTCTAGACAAGAAGCACACATCCAAGAAGGTGCCTATTCTTGGCAGCACCATCAACATGCATGGCTTACTTACCACGCAGGCCCTGACATCACATAGTAGATCGTCGGCCTCTGGAAGCCATTGAACGTAGAGGCAGCAGCAACAGTGTAAGCGCCCATGTTTTCAAAGAGCATCCAATCACCCACATGCATTTCAGGCAGGTCACAGCGCTCAACAATCCGATCGAGGCCATCACATGTTGGTCCCCATATGCTGGATGAATAATACTTCTCATCTGGTTTAGGTCTCTATATAAAGAGACGGAGAGAGGAAGTACTACTTAATTACACGTGTTGTGACCAGTCCTCTTAATTGTTTTATACAGTATGCTCAGAAATTACCTTTTGCAGAAGGGGCTTTACATGTGCGTGGTCATAGAGTATGCAATTAAATGATCCATAGACGCCATCATTCACATAATACATAAAGGTCTGCTCACTCGACTCATCTTCGTCTAGAAAGGCAGATCAACAATCTTAATGACTTTTTGCATCAGCTTTCAGTTATACATGAAGTGATTCGTCCTTTATACATACCATCAGAGCCCGTCTGTTCCTTTAATACAATTTTCTTGGCAATGATATTAACTGCAAGCGTGAAAGCTGATGCAACATAGTATCTGCCGGGCTCAGCTATGATTCTCACTCCAGAGTCTGACGGAAAGTATTTGTCCAACGCTGGGTTGATTACGCCGGTGATCTAAGAGAGTGAAACAGAAAAGAAAGAGCAGCCTTCATTGTGGGAAATTCACATGGGGGAGTAACATCACAGGGCCTTGTGACATGACATCATGAGACCAGGCATCAACAGACAGGTTTATCATTAAAGTAACAAAAGCAAAAAAACATCAACATCTCCCTGAAAACCAGGCTACATATCCCAGGTGGCTCGTTTTCATTCCCCTCCAGGCACCCTATCTCCTTTAGGATGTTATGGGTATGATTTTTATCAAAGAACAGTACGCAACTAACTACTACCTAGGAAGGCATCAAGATGTCAAAACATTTTAACAAATACATGCCAACAGGATAAAAATCCTATTCTGCCTACGTCATGATTTTAACAAACCATGTGGATATATTTTATAAATTCAAGCACCAATATAATGGCTTAACTTCCTAAGTGACTAAACATTTCAAGTAT
Organism: Homo sapiens; assembly: GCF_000001405.40. Classification (NCBI taxonomy): domain Eukaryota; kingdom Metazoa; phylum Chordata; class Mammalia; order Primates; family Hominidae; genus Homo; species Homo sapiens. The sequence goes on from NC_000002.12 coordinate 10,442,619, forward strand.
TTTAAGGAGAGGAAGCATAGGTCTAGCAAAGCACATTTGGGGTGATGATGTGCTACAGTCAGCATATTCTCTAGGAAGCCCACAGCAACATGCTTTTTCTTTTTTTTTTTTGAGACAGGGTCTCACTCTGTAGCCCAGGCTGAGTGCAGTGGCATGATCATGGCTCACTGCAGCCTCAACCTCCTGGGCTCAAGTGATCCTCCCACCTCAGCCTTCCAAGTAGCTGGGATTACAGGTGCCCGCCACCACACCAGGCTAATTTTAAAATTTTTTTTGTAGAGATGGGGTCTCACTGTGTTGCCCAGGCTGGTCTCAAACTCCTGGGCTCAAGTGATCCTACCACCTTGGCCTCCCCAAGTGCTGGATTACAGGTGTGAGCCATGATTTCCAATGTAACCAATTATCCAAGACTTCTGGGAAAGCTGATTCACACTTTAGAAAACCAAATGGTATCAAGTGTAATGTCAGACAGCACAAAGAAATCACTCAAAATATCACACCAAGACACTTCAGCCCATTGTGGTATTAGTTAAGACACTTAAATTTTGAAATATTCCAAAAAGGAATTTATTAGAACGGCTACTGAGTATTACAGTTTTGTTCTAAATTACCTCTTCAAATTTAAGTTTCACATCCTCAGATCCAGGAAAGCCACCGCCAATATCAAGCAGATACATGCTGAAACCAACCTCAGCCTAGAATCAAGAAAATAAGTCAGCCAGATCCACAGCTAATAACAAAAATGTATGCAGCAGATAGGCTGAAACCCATGTAATACAGAACCAACTGCCATAAAAAGTTAACTCTAGAATTAAGACTAGTTATTGTCAGTTGTGTCCCGCCCTTCCCTAACAGGGTCACGTATACTCACCCCCATGTCAAAAACACAGCGGGCATCAGAGATTGCCTGCACGAAGGTCTCAGGATCGGTACAGCCGCTTCCTACATGGAAGCTGGGGTAAAATAAAGAGACGAGACACTGTGTCTTAGTATTTCTTAAAATAATAGCAAACACTAGGAGAAAGCCTGTAAAACTCAAACTGTTCAATGTCTTGACCTCTAGCTATCCCACCAAAATCTCACCTGACACCAACAACATCGATATTTAGCTCTTTCGCCCGTTCCAAAAGGAGCCTGCTGGTTCTGAGCGTGGCACCGAATTTCACACTGAGACGACAGACTGCTTTGGAATCATCAGTGGCAATCCGCAAAACCAACCTACAAGCAAGGAAAGTGCAGCAAATGTCTCATGATAGATGTTCACTTATAGCCACAATTAAAATAAAAACAATCCTGTTCTAAATACTGTCGCTGATATATTCTGTAGTTTGAGTCCCAGGCTTCATGACTCAATGGGGGTTTCAACTACTTTCTACTAAAGTATAGAAATATAATAATCAGAAATTTAAGTTTGTTTGATAAGAATCCACATATCTTATGCTCCCGATCTTGCCCTCAGATGGGGGAATAACTCACTTTGCTTTGGGATGTGCTCTGGCAACTTTCATCAACTCAACTTCACTATCAAAAGTCATCATCTGGACTCCATTATTAGCAGCATACTTAATTTGAGATACTTGTTTACAAGGATTTGCATAGATAATCCTCTCTGGAGGCACCCCCAGACTCTGCACCAACTGTATTTCAGTCTGAAAAAGAAGAGTGGTGTCATGCTATCCATATGTGGCTTAACACGTGGAATAAACAGAAAAGCATGGGAAGTTGTCATGTACCCCCCCGCCCCATTTGCCTTTAGTGAGCATTTATTGCCCAAAAAACACAACTTGTATCTGCCTCGTGGGGAATACCAGGCCCATTTTATACAACGCTTTTGAGGCCTGCTGCTATCGCTTACCTTGCTAGCACAGTCAAATCCTGTCCCGGTAGCAGCAAGGGTCTTCACGATGGCTTTGCTATCATTACATTTGACTGCATAAAAGGGGGTGACACGAGGGAGAGCTTTTAACCACCTCAGATGTTTCTTTAGAATGTCTCCCAGGTCTGCCACATAGAAGGCATCCTTATCATCCTGAAACAAGAGTGGTCACAGGTGACTCACTAGCAGCCTCACCACACACCACACCAATAGCCAGCGACCTTCATTCCCATCAGTCACAATGAATCCTGCTCTTTTGAGTCTAGCCACTGATATGAGTATCACCATTATCACTATTAATTTACCACCAGTGAATTAATTTCTACATTCCATAACAAGACATGTAAGCCTCATTGCTCTTCCTTAGACCTTGCCAAAGTTTTCCACTTGCCTGGCACTCTCAGCTGCACTGCCAGCATGGGCCTCATATACTTACAGAAGAAGAAACTTCATTAATTTTCTGGTCCAGAATGTCCTTGGCAGTAAAACCTTCATCGAGGAAGTGGCAGTCAAACTCTTCATTACCAAAGTTGTTCATGATTTCTTGATGTTCCTCTGAAATGCAACAAAATGCAAATAGAGTGGAGAAATTCACTTAGAAGCCTTAGCAATACAATTCTTAAGATTAACCTGCAACATAAATGTAAACTGAATACTTACATGGAAAACTAAGAGATGGAATTGAAAGAAATATTTCCAGCTTCTCACAAAGGCAACTCTCCAGGAATTCCAAATCCCTCTGCGTGTGCCCTTGGAACAGCAGTGACAATCTGAGAAATAAAATAGGGAATTTGCTGTCTACCTTAGGAACACATCGAGTTGAAGATGGGGCACTGGCTGAGCACACGCAGAGCTAATCATGCCCCGGATATGAACCACTCACTGGCCTGGTCATCCTAATTATTACTAGGCATAAGGTACATGATTCCATAAACCTTGGCAGTATAAGGACACAACAAAAAATACCAGGTTTTTCCAAGGCAGCACACTAAGCATTTCAAATATTTGTACCAAAAAAATCTAGCATGCAAGTTTCAGAAGCTTATCTGCACTTAGCTCACTGATATGGAAAAAAGTCTTATAATGGTCTGATTTATTTCAGAGCAGTTTCAGTTCCTTAGAAACTTAAAATAGCATTATAGACTTTTTTATTTTTTTTGAGACAGAGTCTCACGCTGTCACCCAGGCTGGAGTGCAGCGGTGCAATCTTGGCTCACTGCAACCTCTGCCTCCCGGGTTCAAGCGATTCTCCTGCCTCAGCCTCCCCAGCAGCTGGGATTACAGGCGCCTGCCACCATGCCCGGCTAATTTTTGTGTTTTTAGTAGAGACAGGATTTCACCACGTTGTCCAGGTGGGTCTCAAACTCCTGACCCCAGGTGATCCACCCGCCTCGGTCTTCCAAAGTGCTGGGATTACATTATAGCCTTTATACACAGCCATACAAACATTTCCTACTTCCACTAAGTCTTAGAATGATTTTTACTGACCAACAGGCATCATGGAAATGTCTGGAGCATTTGAGATTTTACGAGTTAATTTTCATGTATTAGCTGGGTATATACTTCTTAAAAACTGTAATCTTCAAGTCAACTTATCACATTGTATTACAGTTGCTGTTACCTGATCAGAATTCAGTATTTTTTTTTTTTTTTTTTGAGACAGAGTTTTACTCTTGTTGCCCAGGCTGGAGTGCAATGGCATGATCTCGGCTCACCTCAACCTCCGCCTCCTGGGTTCAAGCGATTCTCCTGCCTCAGTCTCCCGAGTAGCTGGGATTACCGGCATGTGCCACCACACCCGGGGCCTGGCTAATTTTATATTTTTAGTGGAGATGGCGTTTCTCCATGTTAGTCAGGCTGGTCTCCAACTCCCGACCTCAGGTGATCCGCCTGCCTCAGCCTCCCAAAGTGTTGGGATTACAGGCGTGAGCCACCACGCCCGGCTAGAACTCAGTATTCTTAAACCAGCGTTGCCTACCAAGTTTAGCAATTCCGGGAATGCCAACTGTCCTTACAGTCACTCTCGTATTTGCTTAGCTATGAGAATAATTTGGGGCTAACTTCACCAAAAAAGAAAAACAAGCAAGAACATCACTCTAGTAACAATAAAAGCCACTGTATTTTGCTTTCATCAAATGTGGCACCTTGTGAACCAGCTTTCTTAAAATTATTTATTTTAACCTTTAAAAATTTCTGCCAGGTAGAGCTTTCTTCTTTTCCACTGTGCAACCCACTTCAGTGCCAGCAGCCTACGGGCACAGAGGCCAGGCAATGGTTCGGGGACACAGTTTGCTCTGGCATGGGGTACTATGACAGGCCCAGGGTGACGGGCCTGTCATAAATCCAAACCCATGCATAGAATTTGCTTTAAAGCTCTATCTATTGTGACTGCTTGGCATTGTCAACCTCCGAAGTTGCCTAAATCACCCCTCGGAGAAGGGAAGAGAGTAACAACGCTAGCAAAACCATTTTTGTTACAGACATGGTTATATATTTTTGTTTATATGAAGAATATTTACAATTTAATAATAAATAGGCTCATGCAGTCTCGGACTGGGTCATTTGAGGCCTTATTAAATATTTTTAAGGCAATGTTCAGGCCTAAACTTGGAAAGTTTTGATTTCTTTTTAATACGCCAATACTTTTTTGCTTTTCTGTATCTTTTAAGGCGTTACTTAAGTAACTTACTTGAATATATTTTACTGAAGAACACCTTTCGGTCTTTCTGTAACAGCTAAGTTATTTAAAATGGTCAATCAATTAGCACAAGAGGATAATGTTAGAAGAGATAGGGGCTAATTCAAACAAACTTTGAAAAAAATTTCACAAATCAATTAAAGTCTGCCCAATTTTATGTTTAAACAAAGTCAGCCAACACATTCTTTGTCCTCCCCAGACATTCCTGAGAGGTTCTGCCTTCTACACTTTCACCAATTATTTCGACTTCGCAAACAGCACAATCAGCCTTTTCTGCAAACCTTAGGGCTGTCTCCCCTGTGTATGTCCGTTCATCTAAGCCAAGCTTTTCCGAAATCACCGAGTCATTCACAGTCCTTAAATAAACACCTCTAAGTCATGGCCGAGCATCTAATATCACAGCTACTACAGCAAGACTATCTTAGCTCTACCCACTCTCGCGGGTTTCCAAATTGGTGTCATCTGCTCTGTAGACACAGCGAAAATAAAAACTGGAAGGAAACTGAAGGCGCCAAGGCCGGGGCCCGCTCGTCTGTACCAAGGCGAGCCCGGGCTCTGCGCCCCTGCACCTGCTGCGCGGCCGCCAGGGCCTCCCCAACGGCTCCCCGGCCAGCGCGCGGCCGCCGAAGGGTTGGGAAAGAGGCCGGCGCGGGGCCGCAGGGTCTCCGGGTGGGTCTCCCCTAGGCCCCTCCAGCCCCGAGCTGTGAAGACGGGGGCAGAACGAGGCGCCCGGATCACCCTTATCCAGCCGCGGGAGAACCCCGGGCCGGGAGGAAGCGGCGCCTCAAGGTCGTGGCCCGCTCGGCGACCACGTGTCTCCGCAGGCCGGCGAGGCGCGCCGCACACGTGCCCGGGGCCCGGGGCCCGCAGCCCGCCCCGGCTCCCGCCCTCGCTCCCTCCCTTCCTCCGCGGCCGGGGAGTCCCTCACCTCAGAGCGCCCAGGCGCCGCAGGCCAGCCCCATGGGGAAGCGCAGACGCCGGAGCCTGAGTCGCAGCCGCAGGAGCGCTCGGCCGCCCCCGCCGCGCCCGTCAGCGCCTGGCTCCCGCCCGCCGGAGACGCCGGCCCGAGGTGGCGCCGGAGCTGCTGGCAGAGGGGCGGCGGGCGGCGGCGGCGGCGGCTACAGGAGGGACTGACAAAGCCCCACGGCACGCCGCTCCCTACTTATAGCACCGGCGGGTCGCCATGGAGACGCACCAGCTCAAACCAGCCACGATCGGTTCCGGCCGGGACACCGCCGGGGGAGGGGCGGGGGCCCGGCGGTGGCCAACCCGGGCCCGCGCGGAGCTGGTGGGGCGCCGGCGGGCCGACGTCAGCCGAGCCGAGCACCGCCTGCCCCACGCGTGGCCCCCGCCCCCGGCTTCGCGCCCCGCCCTCCCCGCCCTGCGGCCGCCTCTCCCCGCCCTCCCCGCCCTGCGGCCGCCTCGCCCCGCCCCGCCCTGCGGCGGTCTCGCCCGCCTGGAACTGGTCCGCGCACGCGCACGACGCCGCAGGCCCCGGCCCCGGCCCGCGGCAGCTGAACGGCAGAGCCTGTAGCTGCACAGCTGTGCTTCCACCTGGCGTTCAGTACCTCGTGCCCGAGAGCGGAAAAGGGAAATCGCGAGCGGAGGACCGATGTGCTGGCCACGTGGGCCCCGCCGGGCCGACTCCGGACCCTGCTGCCGCCCATTCCTCCGGTGCAAGGGACCTGGAAGTGATCCCGGTGCCGCTCTGCTCCCACCAGCTAGGGAGCAGAGGCGCGGGAGGGAAGGGGCGTCCCGGGGGTCGCCAGCACGCTGCGGGCAGGGCTGGCAGCCGCCTCCACGCCCCCGCGCTGGAAGCCTCGTCTTTGTAACATCGAGGTATCCTGTAACTAGATGGGTCCTGGCCTGCGGAGGTAGTTTCCCCTGTGAAGCCAGGGACTCAGCCAGGAGCGTGAGGGGACCCGGATCCTGAGTCTCCAAGCCGCCCACTACCCTCTGCTTTACCGGATGGAACTCATCAGTAACTAGGTATCTTTAAGGGCGGCTCCCTGGCGCGCTCTGAGAGTTACGGAAGTCCCAAAATGCTTTGACCGAAAACGTCTAAACAGTGAATACATAAAGCAAAAAGCCGCGTGGGAAATTCGAGTCCCTAGGAGCGCCCAGGGGACGCCTCTGGAGGTGGACTGCCACTCACTCCAGGCCACGCTGGAATGCCCGCACCAGGGAGGCACTGCACTTGAATTGGGGACACTTTTTTTTTTTTTTTTCATTTTTACCTTTCATTCCCTTTTGGACAATCCAGACAGGATATGTCTCTCCCTAGGGTGGGGATTTCGACTCCTTAGGGTGGGAGTACAGCCGATGAAGAGTTAAGGAGAGGAGTGGGTAGATCTAGATCTAGCCTTGGGTGGGTGGGGGCGGGGTTGGAGGAGCTCAGAGCACTGGCCCAGCGCTGCCCCCAACTTGCTGTGTGCTCTTGGACAAGTTATCTCCCTTCTCTGGGCTTCAGATAACCCAAGGATCCTTACATATCTTTATAGCTACAAAGCCCTGTGAGGTTTTGAAAAACTTCCTTGGTACCCAAAACCAGGTCTGAGGCACAGTCAGTGAATACCTGTTTAATGAATGCATGCATAAATGAATGAATGGATGATCCAGCTCTTCCTGGAGCAGGCACGACTTCCACAGAAACAGAGCAAACGCTAGCCGTAAGCAGAAGTGAGTCTTCTTCCTATGTGAAGGGATGTGGGGGTGGTACGCCCCTATCAACTTTATCTTTACATAGTCCTTGAGCGCCCACCGGGCACCGTGTTCCCCGGACTAGAGGGAGGGAGAGGGGGGTTAGCTCCACCCTTAACAAGCTTAATTCTTGATGAGATTAACCATCAAAACCCATCAGAGAACGTTATAGCTCCAGCGCTGAATGAGACATCTTTGATTCTGTGGTGATGCGGACTTTGTGCCTCTCTGTGAGGAATCACTTTGTTCCAATGACGCAATTTTCCTCACACTCCGGAAGTGTCCTGCACTGCCAGAATCGCCCAGCTTCCCGGCACACCTATCAACCAGTCGTTCCCAGCACTGCCCAGTATGCAGCCTCCAGGCAGAGGGCCTGGATGTCTTGGCAGGTAGGGTTCCCCTAGCAGCCTGGGGGTGGTCAGATAGAAACATTAACTGGAACGTAGAGGCCAGTTCTTGGCTCAGGGAGCCAGGAGGGCTCTGACTGTTGCACATACAAGCCACTCACACTGCTATCGCCCACATACCTTCCTCTCCCGCCAGCCCACCCCAAAGCCCAAACTCCTGCCCGCATGCTGGGAAGGTGAGCCCTTGCCTGGAGAGCCCAGCAGGGGAAATAGAAGGAGGGAAGGAGGCCTGCTCCTTCCCCGGAGCTCTGCTCTGCGGCTGCAGGAAGACCCGCAGAGGCCCTGGGCAGCAGAACTGTGGACAGCAAGGCTGGAGTTGTGAAACCCAACCACTCAGCTGGATTCCAGAAGCTCAGGTGGTGGTGACTAAACCTGGCCTTACTTAAAATGCATGACTTTATTGTCTTTCAATGTATTTTCAGTAAACTTCATCCTCTCCATTACTATTTTCTTTTCTTCGGAAACAAGCAACAGATCTTTGTAAAAAAAATACGTGATGCCACGCACTTAGGAATCACCCTCATGTGGAGATGAGATTTCTTTTTTATTTTTTTTTTCTGAGAGTCTCACTCTGTTGCCCAGGCTGGAGTGCAGTGACGTGATCTCGTCTCACTGCAACCTCTGCCTCCCAGGCTCAAGCGATTCTCATGCCTCGGCCTCCTGAGTAGCTGGGATTACGGGCATGTACCACCGTGCCCAGCTAATTTTTGCATTTTTAGTAGAGATGGGGTTTCGCCATGTTGGCTAGGCTGATCTCAAACTCCTGACCTCAAGTGATCCACCCACCTCGGCCTCCCAAAGTGCTGGGATGACAGGCGTGAGCCACTGTGCCTGGCCAGAGATGAGACTTCTATGTGTGGTGCTAAAAGAGTGAATAAAAACATTAGATACTACACTGGACATGCTTCTAAGAGCTTAGTCATCTCACCTAAGTTCTGGGACCAACTCCCATTTTCTTAGGATTCCTTGGGCCCCCTTACCACCCCCCCGCCGCTCTGCCCCGCTCATTATGAAAGTTTGGACATCACTCTGTCTCTCTGGGTTCCAGACTACCTTTCTGAAAATGGGGTGGTTGGACTGGCTGAAAGCTCAGGTTCTTCTTTCCTTCTAATGTTCTAAGAATCTACTTATTTCACAGAGTTCTGTATAAATCCACTGACCAAGTTTTCTAAACCAAAACCAAAAACATGTCTGATGAAGGAAGTATCTTTTTTCTTCTTTGCTAACTTACATGAAAAGGCTTATAAAGGTATATAGTGATTGCAGACTTAAGCAGTCACCCTTATCATTATTATTATTATTATTTGAGTCAAGAGGCTTGCTCTGTTGCCCAGGCTGGAGTGCAGTGGCGCAATACTGGCTCACTGCAACCTCTGCCTCCCAGTTTCAAGCAATTCTCCTGCCTCAGCCTCCTGAGTAGCTGGGAATCCAGGCGCCCACCACCACATCCAGCTGATTTCTCTATTTTTAGTAGAGATGGGGTTTCACCATGTTGGCCAGGCTGGTCTCAAACTCCTGACCTCAAGTGATCTGCCTGCCTTGGCCTCCCAAAGTGCTGGGATGATAGGCGTGAGCCACCGCGCCTGGCCTCACCCTTATCAAAAAGAAGTAGGTCACATAGAAGACAATAACCAGCAAGCATTTGTGTATCCATTTACTCAGTATTGGAAAGTTTGACATTGAGAGCTTTCTGGAAAATGGGTTTGGGCGCTGCTTACGTGTCCGTGGTTGTACTCTACTTCACCAAACTTCTTCCAGAAGCATAGAAGAGTGGACTGTGGAGTGAGGCTCATGACCTCCAGCCCCATGAGGACTTTGGGAGGTTAGCTTCTGCCCTGGCAAGGGTGCCCTAACTCAGGACACCTGGGTAATGGGGACTAGTCACAGATGCTCTAGTCCCATCTGGATGTTTGGCCAAAAATAGTTTTCCTTAGCTCAGTCACTCACCAGTCCTTTAACCTTGCCCTTTGAATGGTTTTAGGTGTTTCCGAAAAATCCAATCCACCCTCCAAGGTGGAAAGTGTGCCATCTCTGCCCATAATCCAAATGGCGTGCCTGAGGCATAGAAAGCAGCTTTCAGGGAGGCCTTCCTTCCTCTGAGCAATGGTGGCATCATCAGAAAAGTGGAGCTCCTCCAAAAGGATCTGCTGGAAGCAGAGGACGCCCATGTGTAAGTGGAAGTCCCAGGATGTTTGTTTTATAAAGTGTTACATCACGGCCCTACCTTGCCCCAGCCCTGGTGTGGCTCACTGGGAAGCTGCTGGGAAAGGAGCCAAATAGGAACTAGGCCAGGGCCTCCTGGAGCCCAGAAGGGCCCTGGGGGCAGGTCAGTGGGCACACACAGTTGCAGAGAAGAGGGGGCCCTTGTCTGGAGGCTGAGAGTTTGGAAGAGTACTTTTTTTTTTTTTTTTTGAGACACAGTCTTACTCTGTCACCCAGGCTGGAGTGGTGCAGTGGCACAATCTTGGCTCACTGCAGCCTCTGCCTCCTGGGTTCAAGTTATTCTTATGCCTCAGCCTCCTGAGTAGCTGGGACTACAGGCGTGCACCACCACTCCTGGCTAATTTTTTGTATTTTTAGTAGAGACAGGTTTTCGCCATGTTGGCCAGGCTGGTCTCAAATTCCCGACCTCAAATGATCCGCCCGTCTCAGCCTCCCAAAGTGTTGGGATTACAGGTGTGAGCCGCCGCACCCGGCCTGGAGGAGTTCATTTTCATGGGGAAAGTGATGTTTATCATTATTTTGCTTCCCACTTCCTTGTCTTTTTCAGTGGGCAGAAGTCAGAGTCCCATTAAGCCTGTACCGAGTCAGTATTCAGACATGCCATCCGACACGTGGACAGAAGCTTTGCCATCTGCCTACTTGGCTTGTCTGTTTCAAGCCCTTCACTGGTGGCCCTGGGTCCACAGAGTAAAGTCCAAACACCTTAGCCTGGCACCCAGGACCCTCTGAGGCCTGCCCTGCCCACCCTCCCAGCCTCTTTTGCCACTCCAGCTCCCTGAGCCACTGATGTTCCACAGACCCTGCCCCTGCCATCGTAACGTGGGTCACGTGGTGTGGGCACCTTTGTTTCCTGCCTCCATCCTGCCTTCCCCTCCCCGCAACTCTCCCTTTGAAATCAGGACCATGATTTTCTTCTCTCCATATGTTCAGTTTCTAGCCTGGTTCCTGGCTCACAAAGCCATTCAATATTGTCAAGTTGAAACTGGGTTTAGTAGCACCTGTGGGCTATTGGGAACAAAAGAAAGCAAGCGAGGCTGTGCTGAAAAGTGGTCATTTGTGGTTGCTATACGAGTGATTAGCTCAGGAGAATTTCTCCCCACGTGCTATCTAAGATTAGGGGAACAAAAGACCCTGGGTGTTCTTCCTTTAGTCAGTTGTTTGTTGATTCATTCCATACGTGTCTGCTGAGTGCCACCTGTGTGCAAGTGGCAGGCAGGACAAGGGAGGACCCTCTGTGGCTGGGCCGGGTTCCTGGGGACCAGCAGGGAATTGATAAGAGCCAAGAGAAGCCTCGCTTTTACCCAGTGCCTAAGGAAACTGCCTCTTTTGTTTTATTTTCTCCTAAGCGCCTGGTGACTCCCTCTGACCCAACAAGTTGCAGCACCTCTGCTGGGCTTTGCCACTGCCCCATTTTTGCCAGAGCCTCACCCTGGTGGGGCCCCACCTCTGGGAAGCCCCAGCGCCTGCAAGATTTTTTCCTCTCGTGACAGGGAGCAGCATGCGGAGGGCCCTTGCACAACCTGGGTCTTCAGGAAGGTGAGTGCTCTGCCCAGGGGCAGTGTGAGCTCTGCGTCCCTGCCAAGTCAGAGGCGGGACCATCCGAAGGGCCTGTGGCTGGGGTCTGCTACACCGAGCCTTGCGGGCCCTCCAAGGGGTAGGGTACCCTGAGGGCAGTGCTCCCTGTCTCTGTTCTAACAGCTGTGAGCACTTGCTCTGTGCCAGCGCCCCTGCCAGGTGCCAGGGAGAAGGAGGGGAGGCCAAGGAGGTCCCTGTGCTCCAGGAGCTCATGGTCCAGAGGGGAGGCTGCCCCCAGGCTTGTGCTCTCTAGGTTCTGGTCCCTGGGACAGTGGTCACACAGACAAAGGAGGTGGACGCAGCCGAGGGAGCAGGGGCCTGGGTTTGGAAAGGCTCGTCCAGGGCCAGGGAGAGTTAGGGAGGGGCCTGCAGCACCCAGGGCAAGAATAAGACCTGTGGGCACCAAGGGAGGCTCCCGCCCACAAGCCCAGCTTTCCTCTGGGAGAGGACTGAGGGCTGTGAAGGGGAGAGCAGAGGAGGAGTCACTCTGGGGAGCAGCCTCTCACCCCCAGGGGCTGCTACTTCACCCAGCTCCAGCCTCCATCAGTCCATCCAAATCCTGGCTGACAGCAGGGCCCCGCCATCGTAGAAGGCAGGTCGGCCTCCACATGCGGGCACAGAATGTTTCCCTTTGGCATTCCATGCCCTGTATGGCTCAGGGCCCAGGCAGGCAGTTCAGCAGAGGGAATTTAGCAAGAGAACTAGTTACAGAGATGACATGTCTTACAGCTGCAGGAAGCCACTATCACCCAGAGGACTGGGGATGAAAGGGGACGAGGGTCCCCAGCAGCGTGGCAGCCACCTGTGGGCTGTCCCAGAGAAACCCACTGACCACCAAGGGCAAGCAGCTAGTGCTGGGGAGGCTGCGAAGCCAAGAGAGGGAGAGGGAGATGGAGACAGAGAGGAGGGACAGGAGCCAGCTCTCCCCTCCGCCCATCCTCCAGGCTCCCACCAGCACTTCCCAGTCAGAAGCCTGTTGACAAGAGATCCCGGTCAGTGTCATTTTCCAAGGCCAGCCCTGTCCACTCCACCAGAGAAACAGCAGAGGCACAGTGGGAGTGGGGAATGGGTCTGAGAGCGGGCGGGCAAGGGCAGGCTCGGCCCCTTGGCGGTAGGCCCGTCAGAGTCTTCCTTCTGCCTTCTTGTAGGACAGTTTCTAACCAGAGTTCTGGTAAGCACTGGTGACATTTCACATTGGCTTAAGCAATAAGGAAAAGCAGTCATCTCACGTAGCAACGTGGCTTGGGGAAGGGAGTCTCCAGTTTCATGTATTCGGAGCCTCAAGAACAACGTTGAAGACCTGGATTCTTTTCCTGTTTTTGCAGTTCCTTGCCCAGGTGTTGGCCCAGCTCTCTTCATGGTTCCAAGAAGGCTGCCCCAGGAAGGCTTGTGGACAGAGGGAGAAGCATCTCTTCCTCTATGTCTCTTTTTATCTAAGAAACCAGTTTGACCAGCATCCTTCCCCTCGGCTCCCCAGGAGGAATGCACGGATCCCTTCGCCTTCCCCCATCCCTCCATGGTTGACTAAACCCACTAGGATCCACTCTTTTGCGTGGAAATGGGTTCAGGCCTCCCACGAAGAGCATGAAGATGCCCTCTGTTATGGGTTACATTATGTCCCCTGCCCCCGAGACCGTATGTTGAGTCCTAACCCTAGTATTGCAGAACGTGAATTTATTAGGAGATAGGGTCTTTATGGAGGTCATTAAGTTAAATGAGGGTGTTAGGGTGGGCTGGTGTCCTGATATAAAGGGGAAATTTGGGGCTGGGTGTAGTGGCTCACACATATAATCCCAGTGCCTCGAGAGGCCAAGGCAGGAGGATTGCTTGAGGGCAGGAGTTCAAGACCAGCTTGGGTAACATAGGGAGACCGGTATCTATAAAAAAAATTAAAAACAAAAAAATTAGCCGAGTGTGGTGGTGCATGCCTGTAGTCCCAGCTACTCAGGAGGCTGAGGTGGGAGGATCGCTTGAGTCCAGGAATTTGAGGCTGCAGTGAGCCATAAAAAGATGGGGGACGATGGAGACGCACAGGGAAAACACCTTGTGAATGCGGCAGAGATAAGGGTGATGCCTCTACACACCGAGGAACTTCAGAGACAACCAGTAAGTCACTGGGAGCTCGGGGAAGGCACAGCGCAGATGCTCGCTGCCCTCAGAGGGAAGCCAGCCCGCCAACCCCTTGATCTCAGACCTCTGGCCCCTGGAACTGTGAGATGATAGATTTCTGTCGTTTAAGCACAGTGGTGCTGTGTTATAGCAGCCCTAGGGAACCATCCACTATCAGAACAAAAGCAGGGCTGGACTGCTAGAAGAAAGGAGAGGAGAATGGCAGAGGATACCCACCTTGGGGCTGAATCTGAGATCACTCCAGGGCTCCCCAGGTTGTTTTGAAGAATGGAGATGGATTTGTGCAGGGCTCACTGTAGAAGCTCAGTGCAGCATGCGACGCTTATAAGGCTGCAATCCCCAGAGCTCAGTCCCTGAAGAGCGCTGCATTCACAGACATCAGCCAGCAGACAAACCAGTACCTATTGTCCCTGACCCCCAGAATCCAGCAGACATATAAAAGATGGTTGTTAACCCCACTAAGTTTTGGGGTAATTTGTTATGCAGCCATGCAACTGAAAGAAGCAGCTACAATATTTTTATAATGAAATTCTTAGCCAGGACCCTCATAGCCTAGCAAGAAGTTCTGTCTGGAAGAGCCCAGCTTTGGGGTTGGGTATGTCTGGGTTTTAATATGTCAAGAGGGCAGGCCCTGGAGACGGAGCACATGGATTTGAATCCCAGCCTCTCATAGGCAGGTTAATTAATTTCCCTGAATCTCAGTTTCTTCATCTCTCAATGGAGAAAATAATAGAAGCCACCTCACGGGAATTAAATGAGATTATTTACGCACAGCACCAAGGCTGTGGCTACTGTATTTGACCCCTGAAACAGTTAATTTTTCTTGACATCCCTTCCTTGGTATATGTATTAGTCAGGGTTCTCTAGAGGGACAGAACTAATAGGATATCTCTCTCTCTATAGATTTATATAAAGGGGAGTTTATTAAGTATTAACTTACACAATCACAAGGTCCTGCAATAGGTCGTCTGCAGGCTGAGGAGCAAGGAGAGCCAGTTCAAGTCCCAAAACTGAAGAACTTGGAGTCTGATGTTCGAGTCCAGGAAGCATCCAGCACAGGAGAAAGATGGAAGCTGGGAGGCCAGGCCTGACTCTCCTTTTCATGTTTTTCTGCCTGCTTTATATCCGCTGGCAGCTGATTAGGTGGTGCCCACCAGATTAAGGGTGGATCTGCCTTCCCCAGCCCACTGACTCAAATGTTAATCTCTTTTGGCAACACCCTCACAGACACACCCAGGATCAATACTGTCAGTTCAATCAAGTTGACACTCAGTATGAACCATCGCAATACAATAGGATTACTTTCTGTGATAACCTGTGTAAAAATAGGCAGTCATGATTTTCCTGTTGTGTTCTTCAGGTGTAAAACAAAAAATTTTAAAAGAAGAAACTTCAATTTTAAAGATATTATTCAAACTAAGTTAAACATTTTGTGTATAAATTAAAACAATAAATTTTGTTTGCATGTATCAAACAAAAATATTCCATCTTGCAGTTAACATTTTCACTGTTTAAATTTTCAACACCAAAATCCCATGTGTAATGATGGAATTTAACTGGTTAAATGCTGCCTCTTTGCCTTCACAATCACAGTGGTACTGTTTCTTGCAAATGTCATGAGAGTTGGAGATATGTCTTGCTCCTGTTTTGGGCGCAAAGGTGAGGTGGTCAGTTGTTGGTCTGGGACTTTCAGTGCTAAAATCAGAAAAGTCCTGGGTGAACCGGAACAAGTTGGCCCGCCAGCTGAAGGACTGAAAAAACTTTGGACACTTTCCCAATGAACACGTAGCCAAATCTGTGTGAATCAGAGGCCAGCTGTGGAACCAGGAGTTCTCTGAATTAATTTAGGTGCGGAATATGTTTATGAAAGGACAACTAATAAAAACCTGAAGTTCACATATGTATTATTAAAACACCATCATAACCTCAGCAATTGTTTAGAACAAAGGGATCTTTTTCAGGGAGGAGTATTTTATCAGTGACACTGTTTAGAATTGATGGGCATGATGATAATAACAAGCAGAGCAACTTTTAGTCAGTTTTATTATTGTTTTAACATGATCTGCAGACAATGCGTGTCCTTATTGCCTGCACCTGGGGCAGAGAGCGCCCCTGGACCCACCCTTCCTAAACCACCACACCTGGCCTGGAACGCACACCTGGTAAGGGTACATGTTAGCTCTCATTGCAGCCACCCAGGGAGTCTTGGCTAAGTCTTTCCACGTCTCTGAGGCTGGATCTAACGGTTATTTTGTAGGGTTGTTGGATATAGGATTTTGCAGGGTCATGGTTGTAAGACTATCAGTTAAACTATAAAGAACCTAGCGCAAGCCTTGATGTTGGTAGGGGCTCAGTAACTGCACTGCCCCTCCCCTTCCCTGCTTCCCGGCTTCTGCATCAACAGCGTGCTGCTTCCCTCACCTAGACGTCATGCTTAGATCTTTGATGATTGAAATTTGTCTTATCTCGGCCGGGCGTGGTGGCTCACGCCTAAATCCCAGCACTTTGGGAGGCTGAGGCGGGCAGATCACGAGGTCAGGAGATCAAGACCATCCTGGCTAACACGGTGAAACCCCCTCTCTACTAAAAAGAAACAAAAAATTAGCTGGGCCTGGTGGCACGCACCTGTAGTCCCAGCTACTCAGGAGGCTGAGGCAGGAGAATCGCTTGAACCCGGGAGGTGGAGGTTGCGGTGAGCCGAGATCGCACCACTGCATTCCAGCCTGGGTGGCAGAGCGAGACTCCATCTCAAAAAAAAAAAAAAAAAGAAATCTGTCTCATCTCAAATCATGAAGCCCCAGTAACCGCACTGCTTCTGGCCTTCCTGGGAGCTCGTTACCTTGGCCATATCTCGTCTTGTCTGGTCTCTGCTCCTTTGACAAGGTGGACTGTTAGTGTTTAGGTGTGCGTGCTGTCTTGTCACCCCATGAGATTGCATGGTTCATGGACGACGATGTTTTCTCACCGTGCCCACATAGAAACCAAGCTCACGGAAATACAGAGACCACACACACACAGTCTCCAGTAAGGTCCTGATTTCAGATATTTGGCATCCCATTCTATGCAGACTCTCGGTGCTGACTTAAAGTAGGCATGGGATCCTACATGACACTTCAGTGGGGAGAAGATCCTGGTTTGCTTGGTATAGTCAGTCCTGATATAATGATCAGTTATGCTGTTCTGTACTTAACTTTTAATCAACAAGCAAATTATTTTGTTAACTTAAAACATATTTAAAATGCTATTGGATGGGAGAAACATCATCTTTCTCTTCAAAATAACATTAAGCGCCTCTTAAAATACTTTGGAGTGATTGTTGATGTTGTATTTGCTATAGTGAAATTTATCAAGAGAGTGAGGAAATACACGTTCAGATTTTCTTCATCTTTAGGGGTACTTGCACATACTTTAATGTGGTTACTACTTTTGTCTTCCCCACTAGACTGCACTCAGGACTTGGAGTTTTGGGAGGCGGGTTCTGTGTCTACGCCCTCATTGCTGTGTGAGCTGCAGGGTGGGTCTTCAGTAAATGTCCATCAAAAGAAAGATGTCGGAAACTTAATGTCCATTTGAGGTGCAGAAGGAAGGAGTTTTTTTCCTTCTTACAGTCAAATATATGATATAAAATTCCTCTACCCTTTGTCTTTTTTTTTTTTTTTGACAGAGCCTCACTTTCCTGCCCAGGATGGAGTGCAGTGAGTCCATCTCGGCTCACTGCAAACTCCACCTCCTGGGTTCAAGCAGTTCTCCTGCCTCAACCTCCCAAGTAGCTGGGACTATAGGCATGCGCTACCATGTCCAGCTAATTTTCGTATTTTTAGTAGAGACAGGGTTTCACCATGTTGTCCAGGCTGGTCTCGAACTCCTGACCTCAAGTGATCTGCCCGCCTTGGCCTCCCAAAGTGCTGGGATTACAGGTTTGAGCCACTGTGCCCAGACCCCTTTGTGTCTTTTGAAATTCAGTGGGTCCATTCATTCATTGGACAAATATTTGTCCATTCGTTGGACAAATATTCATTAAGCTCTTTATGTAGCAGACTTTCTTGATACTTGGACACTGTAAATTTAGGTTCACATCTTGAATTTCCAGCTGAGTTTGATCACTGTGAATGATCATAGAGTTTCCAGTTGTTTTCTCTTTTCTAACCACACCACGAAGGCGGCTCTGACTTACGCCAAACTATACCAGAGAGGCCGCCATTTCCTCCTCCTCCTCCTCCCCTTTTGAGAGCACCTGTGCCTTCCAGTCTTAGAATATATCTACCCTCGGGCTCAAGTGATTGGATGTGTAGATAAAACCAGACGGGTCAGATTCCCTCAGACTGGATTGTGGTCTGAGGGCGCCCCAGGCACTGGAGCTAACGTGGGAGGCTGGGGATGGAAACCAGTCGTTGGAGTCAGCCACGATGAACGGCGTGCGGGCTGATGCGGGAGCCACACAAGCCCGTATGCACAGAAAAGAATGACATCCACAGCCGAGACAGCAGCAATGAGGGCACATGGGAAGGATAGGGCGCCACCTGGCCCTTCAGAGTCCACTTCCAGCCCAGTCAGGGCAGAACTGCCTCCCTCAGCTTTCACACAATTTCCCCAACTTCTGAGAATTATCTCCCTTTACTTAATTGAGGTCAATTTGGTTCCTGGAAACCAAACATTCCTCAGTAATAACCAGAAACATTTTTCTGGAAGAATAGGATTTGATTTATAATAATCTGCTCATAATTGGCTTTCCAGGACCAATGATACATGCCAATTGCAAAGTAAGAGCCTGCTTGTAATCCCCGCGTGAATCCTCCGTGTGTCCCACCAAGCAGGTTTATTCTAGAACTCATGCCAGGCAGAACAGCTTTAATTCCATGGTGCAGTCACTGGTTCTGCCCCCGCTGGTCTTAGGATGAGATGGCGCACACTGTCCTGAGGTCCAGATTTTCGGACGAGGTCTAGAGAAAGCATCTGTTTCAGTGGCTTCTCTCTGTTCTTCAGGCCTGCGTGGCCCCTGGAGAAGAGACAAAGATCCTCAATCCATTCAGTCTAGCTGTCAGGCTCTCAGTGCCGTGCTCATGGTGGTCTGGCCTTGCCAATTGCTTCCCCAGGCTGTATCTGATGCTCTCTCTCCCATCAACAGCACTTGCTCTCTGGACCCAAGTGTTGATTCTGCAATCATGGAAGTGTTCTGGATCTTCACTGTCTAATACAGCGGCCATGAGCCACGTGTAGTTCTTGAGCACTTGAAATGTGGCCAGGGTGACTAAGAAACTGAATTAATTGTATTTCTATTTTTTTTCTTTTTTTGAGATGGAGTTTTGCTCTTGTTGCCCAGGCTGGAGTGCAATGGCATGATCTCGGCTCACCGCAACCTCCACCTCCCGAGCTCAAGCAATTCTCTGCTTCAGCCTCCTGAGTAGCTGGGATTATAGGCGTGTGCCAGCATGCCCAGCTAATTTTTGTGTTTTTAGTAGAGATGGGGTTTCATCATGTTGGCCAGGCTGGTCTTGAACTCCTGACCTCAGGTGATCCACCCACCTCGGCCTCCCAAAGTGCTGGGATTACAGGCGTGAGCCACCGTGCCCAGCCTATTAATTATATTTCATTTTACTTTGTGCAAACCTAAATAGCCATGCCTAGCTGGTGGCTCTCATATTGGACATTGTAGCTCTAGGTCAAAGTCTTAAACATTGACATTAGGTATACAAATGGCAACCAACGTACCCGACGGCACGTGCATTTTTAACACAACCTGAACTCATTGGGACTGTGGTCCCCTTTCAACCTGGGCCTTTAATAACTGTGTTCTCAGGGCGGGAATCTGGTCCAGGACAGGATATTTCTTGAAAGTCTGCTCACACAGTGCCTCAGAAGCAAGTGGGAGTGTCCCCCTAAGCCATGAACTGTGCATCCTCAGCTTTAACCTCCTTTTGGAAGAAATCACCCCTGTAACCGTCTGGTGAGGTGTCATTCATCGCCAGAGTCTGAGGGCCACCCAATGACATAATTTTAACTTTAAAACAACTTTTTCATGCTGCTGGACAAAGCCTATTCTTCCTATTCATAAAAGCAAGTCCCTGATTGTACTAAATCGGCTCTCATCTATCCTTAGTTTTTGCAAAGCACACACTGACCTGTATGAAGAATCCAGAAAGATGCTGACCTGTGCATTTGAAGCAAAGGGAGGTATGTGTGACACTGTCACACCTCTGTGGACAACTCCCAGTGATGTCACTGAGCATGGCTCACAGAGAGTGGACTTGTGGCCCACTGACTTGAAGGTGGAGACGGCCCCTCATGGCTTAATTGCACACAGCACATGGGCACTTGTACGTAGGCAATGAAAACGCACATGCTCTGATCTGCACTCCAGCCAAGGGCAGCGGCACATGTGTGCGCTGTGGCTCCACGGGGGCAGGCAGAGCAGCGTGCTGGGTGGCAGAGGACCTGGTGCCCAGCCCCAGCTCTGCACACAGGGGTTGTGTGACTTTAGCTGAGTTGTCTCCCTATCTGAACCCTACATTTCCCATCTATAAAATGGGAAGTCAGGGCAACTGATCAGATGAGGTGTAAGGGTCCTTACGACACTGACTTTCTCCAGATGTAAAGGTGAGGCACTGGGAAGAGAAGGGATCCGCCCAGGGAGGGGCGTGGCCATGCTGTGCGGGAGCTCTCACCTCCAGATTGCAAGTGCAGCTGAACTTTTGGCACTTTGCAAACGCCAGCTTCATGACCATCTACATGAAGGAGTAAACTGGTAACAGACGAGCTAGGTGCCAGCAATCTTGGCCAGGGAGAGTCTTTCTCTTCTGAAAAGAGATTAGGTTTTGAGGCAGATAAACTTGGGTTCAAATCCCAGCTTCTCCATTGGACAGTTGCGTGACCTTGGACAAAGCAAACTTCTCTGTGCCTCAGTTTCTTCATGTGTAAAATGAGGATAATTGTACCTGTTCTATTGGGTTGCTACTTCTTTGCTTTTTTCATTTCTCCTTTTAACTAATATAAAATAATAACAACAATAATAATAGGCTGGGGCTGGGCGCAGTGGCTCACGCCTGTAATCCCAGCACTTTGGGAGGCCGAGGTGGGTGGATTGCTTGAGCCCAGGAATTCAAAATCAGCCTTGGCAACATGATGAAAACCTGTCTCTACCAAAAATACAAAAATTAGCCAGTCTCATGACCTGGTCTCAAAATAAATAAATAAATAAATATTAAAAAAAAAATAGGGTGGGTGTGGTGGCTCACGCCTATAATCCCAGCACTTTGGGTGGCCAAGGCAGGAGGATTGCTTGAGCCCAGGAGTTCGAGACCAGACTGGGCAACACAGTGAGTCCCCATCTCTACAAAACTTTTTTTTTTTAAATAGCTAGGCATGGTGGCACGCACCTGTAGTCCTGCCTACTCGGAAGACTGAGGTGGGAGCAGCTTGAAGTTTGAAGCTGCAGTGAGCAATGATTGTGCCACTGCACTCCAGCCTGGGTGACAGAACGAGAACTTGTCTCTTCAATTATTCATCAGAGTTGATATCCAGGTGTTAGGGCCATGCCAGTTGTTTAAATATCAAAATAATTCTGCAGCCCTCCGCATCCCTTGAGACCCTCCCTGCTTCCTTCCCTCCCTCCCTCCCTTCCTCCCTCCCTTCCTCCCTCCCTCCCTCCCTATAATTCAGTAACTAAAGGGCTGCTCCCTGCTTTTCAGGGGGCCTGTGGGACTCAGCATTGGCCAGTGTCTCTGTGGTACCAGTTATTAATTTTTCTTTAATTAATAGACTTTTTAATTTTGGAGCATTTTTAAGTTTCAGAAAAATTGAGCAGAACATTCAGAGTATATACTCTCCTACCCCAATTTCCTCACTGTTTACACCTTGATCAGTGTGGTACATTTGTTACAATTGATGAGCCAATATTGAAATACCAACACATTATTATTAACTAAAGTCCACAGTTGACATTAGAGTTCACTTTCTGCGTCACACAATTGTTAACTATTTTTTGTTTTACCTTTTTTTTGGGGTGGGTGGTGGAGACAGGGTCTTACTCTGTCGCTCAGACTGGAGTGCATTGGTGCCATTTCAGCTCACTGCAGCCTCGACCTCCCGGACTCAAGTGATCCTCCTACCTCAGCCTCCTGAGTAGCTGGGACCAGAGGTTCACACCACCAGGCCCAGCTACTTTATTTATTTTTTGAGTTTTAGTAGAGACCGAGTTTTGCCATGTTGCCCAGGCTGGTCTTGAACCTCTGGGCTCAAGCTATCCTCCCATCTTAACTGTCTTTAATATTGCCCTGTTGTTGATGATGGCTCACGCTGCCTGAGTGGCTGTGTGCCGACATCCACTGCGGTAGGTGCTTTCCCACTTTGTCATTGCATCCCCATGTTTTATTTTATTTTATTTTGACATGATCATTAAACAGCATCATATGTTTTATTTTAATAGTAAGAGAATATGAACATTTTGCTCGGTTGACAAATCTGCTGCCCTGGAATGGACAGTCTTAGATTAACGTAAGAATCACCTAGGGAGCTTTTTAAAATGTGCCAATGCTCAGGCTCACCCAGACGAAGAAAACAGAAATGCTTCGGGGGCTGGAGCCCAGACGCTACTCCTATAGCCCTCGAGGTGACCCGAACCTGGTGCCTGGGATGAAGGCTGCGAGACCCAGGCCTGGGTCCCAGCGGCATCCTGGGGTCTTGGTAGAAACACAGAATCTCAGGCCATACGCCAGAACTTCTGAGCTAGAACCTGAGTTTTGTTTTTTGTTTGTTTTTTGAGACTGGGTCTTGCTCTCTCACCCAGGCTGGAGTGCAGTGGCGTGATCTCAGCTCACTGCAACCTCCACCTCTCAGGCTCAAGCGATTCTCCTGCCTCAGCCTCCTGAGTAGCTGGGACTACAGGCATGAGCCACCACACCTGGCTAATTTTTGTATTTTTTGTAGTGATTTCGCTATGGTGCCCAGGCTGGTCTTGAACTCCTGACCTCAAGTGATCTGCCTGCGTTGGCCTCCCAAAGTGCTGGGATTACAGGCATGAGCCACCGCACCTGGCAGAACCTGAATTTTTTTTTTTTTTTTGAGACGGAGTCTCGCTCTGTCACCCAGGCTGGAGTGCAGTGGCGCAATCTCGGCTCACTGCAAGCTATGCCTCCCGGGTTCATGCCATTCTCCTGCCCCAGCCTCCCAAGTAGCTGGGACTACAGGCACCTGCCACCACGCCCGGCTAATTTTTTGTATTTTTAGTAGAGACAGGGTTTCACCATGTTAGTCAGGATGGTCTCGATCTCCTGACCTCGTGATCCGCCCGCCTCAGCCTCCCAAAGTGCTGGGATTACAGGCATGAGCCACCGCGCCCGACCCAGAACCTGATTTTTGATAAAGGCCCCCATGATCTATGTGCACAAGGGTGCTGGGAAAGCACCGACCTGAAGCAGCATCCTCGGCTTGGAGGTTATAGGCTCCCATGGGAACATGATATGTGACACCCTGTGAACTCTTCCCAGGATTTCCAAGCCTTCCCATGCCTTGGAGCCCATCTGCATAACAGGCAAAGGGCCCTCACTCTAGACCTGTATGTTTTGACCAGGATTGTTAATTGACCAGGATTTACGTGAAAAAAATATGCATGTGCTGTAATATCATCCTCGTATCCCACTATATGTATAGGTACACAGAAGATTTTACTTTGATTTTATTTGACTCCTTGTGAGTTCACCACCATGCTTGGATGGGGAAGGGTACTATTCTGAGGTGGTAGTGGGTTTAAGCATTTGCATACTCTATCATTAATTTTATCATAAATAAAACAGTAATAAAGCCCTGGAAGAACCTGTACCCCAAAGCCATCTGCCTACGCATTCTGTGTTTACTTAGTTATTTGGCATTTACCTAGTGCGTTCCAATTTACAGAATGCTGGCATGTGTTTATCTTCTTTAACCCTTGTAACAACTTTGTGAAGCAGGAGCTATTTCAGGCCGGACGCTGTGGTACACGCCTGCAGTCCCAGCACTTTGGGAGACTGAGGCAAGAGGATTGCTTGAGTCCAGGAGTTTAAGACCAGCCTGGCCACATAATGAGACTCAGTCTATACAAAAAGTAAAAAATTAGCCGGGCGTGGTGGCGTCTGCCTGTAGTCTCAGCTATTCAGGAGGCTGAGATGAGAGGATTGCTTGAGCCCAGGAGGTTGAGGCTGCAATGAGCTATGATCATACCGCTGCACTCCAGCCTGGGCAACAGCAAGACCCTGTCAAACAAACAAACAAAAGAGAACTGTTTCAAAGACAAAGACAAGGAGATGAAAGCTCAAGGAGGCTTTATATGTCTATTGAAATAGCAAGGCAGGAATCCAGGCCTTCTAGTGCTAGGCGATGGCAAATATACTTCTCTAGATCCAAAACTAGAGAAACAGGCGGGCGATGCTCAGTGAATGGCTACAGATTGAACAAACTGAGGGGAGTGAAAAGTCACTCTCTGGTTCCTCGCCTCCTAAGTTCTGGAAAGTTCTTTCAATGGCATTAGCAGAAATGACCAGCCACCAAGACATTTTCTGCCTCCAATGACACCCAACAGTGACTCCTTTCAAGTATGTTGGCCAACTTGCAGACTGGACTCCAGTGTGCTGGGCATTGTGAAGGGGTTCACTGCACCCCTCCCTACCCCATTCCTCCAGGCCAAGGGCCAGAGGGGGCCCCACAGGCTGACGGTCACCAGATTCAAGACTCTGGTGCCGCAGGAGGCTGCTCAAGGGCCCCAAGGCATCTTTTGCCCTCAGCACCAACGCTGGCCCCCAAGATGGCCTTGGCACATGCTGCAGTCGTAGGAGAGAGAACCGACAGCAGGGGTCTCCTAGAGTCATCTGGGCGGGTGTAGCTCTCAGGGCCAGAAGGACCCGTGTGAGAGGTAGGGTGAGAGCAGGTAAGGTCTTTGGTGCCTTCGGTAATCTAGACGCATCTGTACCCACAGGCTGCCGAGGTCACATGAAGCAAGGGTCCCGTTTGTATTCTAGGACCATCATTTTCAATTATTTTTCATGACAAGTGTGTACTGTTTCAAACACATGAGCTGACTTGGTTTCATGGGCTATTTGGGGCCAGTATTTGCCTTTCATCACAGTGTTGCTGGGGTAAAATACATCTCACATTTCAAATGACTGACTTGCAAGCAACATCTTAGAATACAGCCCACCTTTCTTAGTTCTAGAAGTGGGGTGCTGCGGGGTGCCCCGGGGGAGGGGAGGGAAAAGCAGCAGAGGGGCTGCCACCATTGCGGTAACTCTGCCTGTCTCCTGGAAGCAGCGGGACGGGCACCACTTCCATCCAGCAGATGTCAGCGCCATAGCCTATAGCTGGTGGAGGAGTCCGCCCCGTTCACTTCTGTTGCTGGCCGAGTCCCACTTCACTGAGAGTGTCTGTGCCGTTAACCAGAAGGAACACTGGGCGGGAGGGGCGGGTCTTGTCCAGTGCTGTGTCCTCACCTTGCCTGGTGCAGGGCACGCCTCACGTGCCGGGATGGACAATGTGTGTGAGTGAGGTCAAATGCACATAACATTTACTATTTTATATTTATTTATTTATTTATTTATTTTGAAACAGAGTCTCACTGTGTTACCCAGGCTGGAGTGCAGTGGTGCGATCTCAGCTCTCCGCTGCCTCCACCTCCCACGTTCAAGCGATTCTCCTTCCTCAGCCTCCTGAGTAGCTGGGGCTACAGGCGCATGCCACCATGCCCATCTAATTTTTTTATTTTTAGTAGAGATGGGGTTTCACCATGTTGGCCAGGCTGGTCTCAAACTCCTGACCTCAGGTGATGTGCCCACCTTGGCCTCCCAAAGTGCTGGGATTACAGGTGTAAGCCACTGTGCCTGGCCAAAATTTACCATTTTAAAGTGTACCATTCAGCCGGGCATGATGGCTCATGCCTATAATCCCAGCACTTTGGGAGGCTGAGAGGGGCGGATCACCTGAGGTCAGGAGTTTGAGACCAGCCTGACCAACATGGAGAAACCCCGTCTCTACTAAAAATACAAAATTAGCCAGCCGTGGTGGCAGGCGCCTGTAATCCCAGCTACTCAGGAGGCTGAGGCAGGAGAATCGCTTGAACCCGGGAGGCGGAGGTTGCAGTGAGCGGAGATCGAGCCATTGCACTCCAGCCTGGGCAACAAGAGCAAAACTCCATCTGAACATAAATAAATAAATAAATAAAGTGTACCATTTAGTGGCATTCAGTACATTCACAATGTCCTGCAACCAGCACCACTGTTGACTTCCAGAATGTTTTCATCACCCTGAAAGGAAACCTCATAACCATTAAGCATCCTGGTGGTTGTAATAAGGAGCACTCACTTTTTAAAAGTACTATTAATTTTTTGTTTAAGACAGGGTCTTGCCCTGTCACCCAGGCGGGACTACAGTGGTGCGATCGTAGCTTACAGCAGCCTCTAACTCCTGGGCTCAAGCAATCCTCCCACTTCAGCTTCCTGGAGTAGCTGGGACTACAGGCATGCAACACCACACCCAACTAATTTTTTAAAGTTTTTTGTAAAGACAGAGTCTCACTATGTTGCTCAGGCTGGTCTTGAACTCCTGGGCTCAAGCTGTCCTCCCACCTCAACCTCCCAAAGTGCTGGAATTTCAGGTGTGAGCCACAGTGTCAGGCCATAAATGTTATTTTCTAAAATGAGAAGAAACAGCTTTGCCTTAAAGAATGAGCCCACCCCTCTGTTCACCCCCATCACTGGAGAGGGGAGGCCCGGCCCTGTCGGATGTGCTTTGCTGTATTTGGGGCCATTTTTGTAATGTGGCTTGTATTCAGTCCTTCACATTGGATTCTACGGGCCTCATACACACAGGTGTGTGCACACACACACAAACACACCATCCTCATTCTTTTACAGTTGCCCTCTGTGATGGTCTTAAAACTTCTAGGAGGACCCCTGGCAGTGAAGAAGTCTAATTCCCATTTGTGGAGGGATTCCATGCTCCATTGTGGGACATCCTCAAGGTTGTCTAGACACATGGACTTGGCAAATATTTATGCAATTCCGCTGCTGTTGAAATAAGAAAGGCCTGTCTAGGAAGGCAGACAGCCCAAGAAAGGGGAGGACAGGCCCTCGGGGCCAGATTTGGGTGGGATTGGCCAAGGCCAGGCTCAGAAATTCCACCTGGTCAGGGTCTGAGGGACTGGCTCAGACCAACCCAGATCAGGAGGCTGAGAGGACAGCAGACTGATGGGGTGAGGGGGCCCAAGACCAGGGGAGGCCTTGTGCACTCTGGAGCACCAGGTTGGTGGCCAGCCCCTGGCTCCTGGTGGCAGGGCCATCTGCCTGGTAGAAGTACCCAGAAGTCTGCAGCGGTAGCGGCATGTACCTTTTCCCCCTATGGGGCAAGGTCACCTGGAGAGGGGGCTGGACAGGCCACCTCTGGGCAAAGTTAGCACATGGGACATGCTTTCCCTGTCGTGCCCACAGTCCAGTGAGGGGAAGGAAAGGGCTGAGGGCTTGTCCTGCAGGCAGTGTCCCAGACAACCAGTCTAAGAGGCCTGGTGGCCGGGCTGGCTCCAACACCCCCAGCTAATGTCATTTCAGGGCTGAGCTGCAGGCAGTATGTGGGGGCCTGTGCTCCAGGCCCCAGTGCTAGGGGCGCATTCTTAGGGCCTGAAAGGAAGAGCGGATGGAGGAGCATGAAAGAACACAGGAGCCTGCAGGTGAGCTGGCGTCCAAGAACCTGTTCGAACTGAAATGTGCTTGTGCCGCCATTCCCATTTTTAAAGAGAGAATCCAACAGAAAAATGTGTTGATTCCTTTCAGATTTGCCATGCCTGAGAAACACCGTTCATTCAGGCCATGGGACTGCACCCAAGTTCTTGCCCCTCTCTCAGCGGCACTGGGAAGGGACACTTCATTCCCCAAGGCTGCGCTTGCAATGCTAACGCTGTCAGGGGCAGAAGAGAATCCTGGGAGATCCAGGCTTGCAGGCTTGGAGGCAGGAAGCACCTTAAAGTTCAACACTCCACTTTAGCAGGATCTGAAAGAGACAAGCATGACATATCCACAGTGGGGTAACCCCAGCTAATCCTCTGTCTCTCCGAGCTGTCACATAGCAGGAGCAGCTGTAGTGACTGCTCTTGGGTGTTGTCATGACCTGGGTGAAGGAGAGCCGCAGTCCCAGCCAGGATTTTGGCAAAAGCAACAGAGGAAAGAATTGGATAGCACTGGTGCTCCTCAGTCGGCTCTGCTAGGACAGAATGCAGGCAGCTGGCGGGACAGGAATGGCAGAGCAGATGGGGACCCTGATGGAGCCCTTGCCACGTGTGGGGCTCTGTGCAGTGGGATTTCGTGTTCGTTAACTCATTTGATCCTTGCCACAGCTCCTTTTACTAATGAGGAAACTGAGGCAGGGAGAGGTTGGAACTTGCCCAAGATTAACCACAATGGGTACAGAACCAGAGTTCAAATCCAGGCTTGTCTGACTTCAACAGTCATGTCGGAGGAAAGAGCAAAGCATCCGGAGCCGCTTCAGTGTCTCCAGGTCAAGGGAAGGAGCTTTGCTGGTGGTGGTGAGGCTGTTGAGTAAGACAAGGAGAGCCATCAGCAAGGGGTCTCTCAGGGGCAACTGTGCCCCGTTCTGGAACCGCGCACACTCTCCTAGGAGAGTCGCCTATTAATCCATGCACCCAACAACAGAAACTATTAGCTCAGCCTGGCTCACGGTTAAAATGGAAGCCCTTCACTCACTTACCAACGTCCTCTGGAAATGCCATTGTAGGATTAATAAGCCTTCCTGCAACACAACCGGGTACCAGGTGTCAGCTGGCTGAGTGACAAGAGCATCAACTTCAAGCCAGAACATGGTTGGAATCCTAGTTCTCCTGTGTGACCCCAAATATGCCACTTCACTTTCAGAGCCTCCATTTTCCTCATCTGTAAAATGGGGATAACAACAGTCACTCATAGGGTTGTCTTAAGAATGTATTTCGAGGAGACAGCACAGGCAAAAAAAAGCCACGAGCCCCGTGCTCGGCACACAGCAGATGCTTGGTTGAGTCCAAGTATGAGGGAAGTGAGAGTTTTCCAAGCGAGAGGGTTGAGGAGCAGAAGCATTCTGACCTGAGAAATGGGTGTGCAGGCTTTGCTCAGCTCACATGAAGATAAGCCAGTACCAGGGTGAAACTTCTGAGTCAGCTCGGATAACTCCCCATAACGCCTGTAAGCCGTACAACATGTATTTAACACAGACGCTGCAACTGATTGAGGTCTCCCTGTCAATCACGTCCTGGGGAGGGGCGGGGAAACCAGCAGGGCGGCCCCCGTGGGGCCAAGCCAGGCCTGAGACAGTCGACTTGCGGTCTTGTTCAGACTTAGCTACTAACTGCTTTGGGGCCTTCGGCAAATTACTTAACTTCTCAGTGTCTCACTCCCCTTATCTGTAAAATGGGGATAATAATATTTACCTACCTCAGGGGGCTTGTTGCAAGAATTAATTAAAGTTTATGAAGTGCTTTGAGATTCCCAGATAAAAGGCCCTGCAAAAGTACAAAGGATTATTATCACAAGCCAGTAAGCTATAAAACATAATTTCACAGGAAAAGGCAAAATTTTAATTTCTATACAAGCAGAAACAGAGGCAGATATAGTCATAGAAAGTTTTTTTTAAGTCTAGAAGATAATTTACATAATTTTTAAAAATTATAACATATTTTCTCCTTGCCAATAATCAATGCAGCTTGATAATTACAGATTTCAGTGGTAGGCCAGCAAAGGGTCATAACGTGTCTCTTTGTGCCAGGCCTGTGTTAGGGACTCTCCTTGAGTTAGCCCTTGGAGTCCCACAGCAGCCCTGGGAGGCAAGTATCAGCACCCCAGCATCATGCGAGGGGAGAGAAAGGCCAGCCCTGGAACCTTGGAGGAGCTCTAGAGCTTTCCAGCTCTGAGGAATGCTTGGTGACCTTCTAATTCCCCTTGGCAGGGCATCTTTAAGCAGATTTGAGTTGTAACCACAAGGGGTAACCTAGAGAAAGGCTGGATCAGGCTGTTTGAAAGGAAAAATGAGCTGCTGCTATCTGCATTCTAGTTCATGTTTGAACACCTGTCTCCCCAAGAAAGCCCCCCTTCCTCCATCTCTAGGCTTCTTTCTTCACAAGAAAAAAGGAAAGATCGTCTCCATCTGCCTGTGAACTATGTAGGGAGACTCAATTACCTTCTTTAAAAAATATTAATAGATGATAGATATCTATCTATCTATTTAGATAGAT
The DNA here is from genome assembly GCF_000001405.40 of Homo sapiens. NCBI lineage: Eukaryota > Metazoa > Chordata > Mammalia > Primates > Hominidae > Homo > Homo sapiens. The sequence goes on from NC_000002.12 coordinate 10,472,456, forward strand.
GGAGCTTTAAAGATGAGAAGCCCTTTATATGGGAAGTTTTGTATGGCTAGTCCCTTTCATGTCCCCTGGAAGCCTTTCCACAGGTTTAATTAGGTGCCAGGGATGGGTAGAGCAAGCCCATACCTTTAGGATGGTTCTAAGGGGGACAGAGAGGCAGCGTGAGTGACCACGGGCTTGGGGTGAAGGCCTAGGTTGTTTCACTCTGGGGTTTGGGGTGGACACTAGAACTGAGCTCCTAGGCAATGCATGCAAAGCACCTGATACTGGGGGAGAAATGATTTTTATTTTTATATATTTTTTGAGAATGAGTCTTTCGTTGTCTCCCAGGCTGGAGTGCAGTAGCGCCATTGCAGCTCACTGCAACCTCCCCCTTCCAGGCTCAAGCCATCCTCCTACCTCAGCCTCTCGAGTAGCTGGGACCCCAGGTGCACGCCACCATGCCCAGCTAATTTTTTTGTATTTTTAGTAGAAACAGGGTTTCACATGTTGGCCAGGCTAGTCTCAAACTCCTGAGCTCAAGCGATCTTCCTGCCTTGGTCTCCCAAAGTGCTGGCATTACAGGCATGAGCCACCGTTTCTGGCCCAAAAAATGATTTGTATTATTCTTTTGTATATTAGATGGACAGAGAAATGGAAGAATACAGGGTGGGCAGAATAGTCTATAATTTCCCAGCTTGTCTGAAAAATTTCAAAAGTACATTTGGATTAGAAAATTATAACATGAAATGAATGGGCACCAATGGGTAAGTAAAAGGCATCTTTGTCTGGCTCATTCTGGGATCCATGTATCTGGGGAGAGGCTCCTGCTCTACTGGGGACGTGCAGAGGCAAACCTGAAAGTGGGGTCCTCAGAGAGCAGATGCCTGAAGCAAGCGCGGGGGTCCCAGCCCACCTGAGTTGCTTCCTCTGAGCTACAGAAGCTAAAGAGCCAGTAGCCCCAGTCACTTTTCTCCATGTGGAAGACATTGGTTCAGATCTCAGTTTTGCCACTTGCTGTCTGTGACTGCAGGATTTTTAAAATTTATCTTCTTATCTGGAAAACAAGAACCTCCCCCCAGGGTGTCCTGAGGACTCATGGGTCAGTGCTTAGCCAGCCTCCCAGGTGTGGAAATCCCCAGCCCCGGGAGGACCTGCCTCACCTCTGCTTGGGGCCAGCACCTTGCCGTGTGCTTTTTCTGTCTTATTTCATGAATTCTTCACTGTGAGATAGGAGATAAAATGTCAAGATCTTAATTTGACCTTCAACTTTGAAGAAATACTTTTCTACTAAATTCCCTTTTTATGAAAAAAGAGAGAAAGATAAAATCTGTAACAGGATAGAATACATCGATGCAATCTGTCCCTCCATATTCCAAGTACTCCAAGCAATCTCTGCTAGGATCTGTGCAGGAAACACGAGCTTTGCAAACACCTGGCAACAAGAGGCTTTTTTTTTTTTTTTTTTTTTGAGACGGAGTCTCGCTCTGTCGTCCAGGCTGGAGTGCAGTGGCGCGATCTCGGCTCACTGCAAGCTCCGCCTCCTGGATTCACACCATTCTCCTGCCTCAGCCTCCCGAGTAGCTGGGACTACAGGTGCCCGCCACCATGCCCGGCTAATTTTTTGTATTTTTAGTAGAGATGGGGTTTCACCGTGTTAGCCAGGATGGTCTCGATCTCCTAACCTCATGATCCGACCGCCTCGGCCTCCCAAAGTGCTGGGATTATAGGCGTGAGCCACGGCGCCCGGCCGCAACAAAGAGCCTTGAGCGGCTCCAACATCTCCCACCAGTGCCGGCATTCCTGGGCAGGTGACAAAGAGCCAGGGAGGGACAAACAGCCTGAGACCAGGCCAGCGGGGTTGTGAACTTCCCCCCCAGTACGGGCACCCAGAGTTGGTGCCGCACTCCACACCCACAACCTCTGCAGGGACAGGCCACCCGGAGCTGCTGACACAGATGTGCCAGAGAGAGGGAACCCGTGTTCCTCGACTCCAGGAATATGAGGATCAAAATAACCACATTTTAGCATCGGAAAGGGCTTTAAACATTTTTAATTTCTTATTTTTGGAGAGATGGAGTCTCACCATGTTGCCTAGGCTGGTCTTGAACTCCTGAGCTCAGGGCTTCCCAAAGTGCTGGGATTACAGACGTGAGCCACCGCACCCGGCCTGGAAGGGCTTTTGAGATGGTATCATTTTACAGAAGAGAAAAACGGTCTCGGAGAGGCCTAAGTGCTTTCTTAAGAGGGTACCGAAGCCGAGGACTGGCTTGCTCCCTGGGCCTGGCTGCTCAAGGTCCTTTCCCACTGGCTCTGCTTTTGATGGCCCCCCAGACCCTCCGTTTTTTCTTCTGCAAAACCAGTGTTGACCAGAAGCCAAAGTGATCATCAGCATAGAAATCCTGGCTGAGGAGCCTCTCAGGAGGCCACAGAGGAGGATCCCTCAACTGAGGGAGAGGGAAAGGCAGCCGCCTGGTGGGGCCAGAGGGCAGGGCCTCTCCTCTTTGGGGTCTGTGTTGGGAGGAAGGGGTTCCCCAGGAGAGTGCATGATCTTTCTTCCACCCTCTTGCTTCCCATGCGCTGGCCTTCGGCTGACTGGTCTTCTACCTTTATGCAGCTGCGTCCTAAATATGCCACATCAGAAGGAACAGGGGCTGCCGTTTGGATCTCCGTTGTGTGCAGGAAGTGCGCCTGTCCCACTGTCACGCAACCTCTCCCAGTCCTGCAATGACATCTGTAGAACGGAGTCCCTCTTCCACAGAGGGGGACCCAGAGGCTCACGGCGGTCAGGCGGCTCACCCAAGGCCACACAGTAAGGCCTCGGCGGTCTCCTGGCTCCACACTCACGGTCTCCCCACACCCACTCTCGGCAGCCCCTCTGGGGAGTGCCTAGAGGTTCCGTCACCTCTGCGTGGGGGCTGGGGGTCCAGCGGGAACTGTGTGCCAGCCACTGGACGCTTGTCTGTGAAGGGGGCTGATGGACCTAAGGGCTGCTCAGGGCATTTCTAGCTCTCATTCTCAGGGCTGGCCACGGGGGAGGGGGGGCTGTGTGAGGTCCCCAGGGAACCCTACCCCCGGCCCAGGGCGGGGAGGGCTGCACACATGTGGCTCAGCCAGCAGCCTTGGAAAGACCTGTCCTCCCCGTGGACCTGGAGACCAGGGTTCATCCGAGCACAGTGGCAGGAGGCCTGGGCCGGGCCTGAGGCCTCGTAGACCCCAGGCGTGCTGTGCGCAGTGGACAGGATGAGTCTCGATGGGCCTCGGGGTTCTCACTGCCGCAAGGAGAGGGCTGTGGGTGCTTGATTTCAGAAAAGACAAAAATCTCCGCATTTGGGCACGAAAGAGACCGCCGAGATCTCCAGTGCTGCCGCTGGTTTCGTTTGGAAGAACATTTTCTTGCTTAAAAAGCAACCCCATGTCTGAACATGCCTGTCCCTTCATGCTGATATACTCGGTTCTGGAAGCCGAGGGTCGCCGATCTGGTGCGCAGTTAACAGACCTACACCCAGCTTGTGCCGGTCTAACAAGCCACGCCAGAGGGGAAGCTGCCCGGGGCCTCCCAGGGCCCCTCCCTGAAGGAATTGTACTCACGTTCCCATCCCAGCCTTCTGGGCTTTGGCCTCGCCACACCGACTGAGCCACAGTTAATAATTCCACAGCATCTGTGAACCTAAGGACTCGTTTAATCCTCCCGAGACCTTGTGAGGGGAGGCTTGTTAATCCTGTTTCCTCAGGCGAGCGGGATGCTGAATGACCAGCCCTGGACATGCTGGGCAATGGTAGGGCTGGAGGTTGGGTCTGGCTTGACTGGCCCCAAGGGTCACACTGTTGCCCTGAGCCCAGGCACCTGTGAGAGAGCATGGCAGCCTCTGGCTCTTTCTAAGTGGGCAAGACAGGCTTTGAATGAACTGAATTATGCCAACCGTTGAAGGGCTTGGTAGCAGGTTAGACTCTCATACCCTGGGAAGGCCCTCCTCCTGAAGGGAGAAGCGCAGACACAGTACCGTAGCTGCCATGTGCAAGCCCTACTGTGTGGGGGCACCACCCACGTGATTTCATGGACTGCCCGCTGTAGAAATGGGATTGGCACTCTTCATACTTTGTGGTGGAGATGCCGAGGCTCTGAGAGATGAAATGGCCTTTGTGAGTGACATAGCCTGGATTCAAAGCCCGGGAGACACAACTCAAAATGGGCTGGGATACTGCAAATTAGTCACTAAGAATTGGAATTTAAGGCTGGGCTCGGTGGCTCATGCTTGCAATCCCAGCACTTTGGGAGATCGAGGCGGGTGGATCTTCTGAGGTCAGGAGTTCGAGACCAGCCTGGCAACCCTGTCTCTACTAAAAATGCTAAATAGGCGGAGGCTACAGTGAGCCGCTTTCATGCCACTGCACTCCAGCCTGGGCAGCAGAGTGAAACTCCCGCTCAAAAAAAAAAAAAAAAAAAAAAAGAATTGCAGTTTTTAAATCTCCCTCTTATCACTACAGGGTGGGAAAGAGACAGGTGCTGGCCGGAGAAGGGAAACCTTTTCTGAATTGAAGCTATTGGTACCATGTTTTGTTCAGACCCAAAAAAAGACAAGTTGTTGGTCTAGCCTAGTAGTTCTCAACTGGGGTGATCTGGCAATGTCTGAGGATCTTTTTGGTTGTCATGGTGGGGAGAAGGTGTGCGCTCCTGCGTCTGGTGGGTGGAGGCCAGGGCTGCTGCCACACGTCTCATAAGGTGAGGACAGGCCCCACAGCAAGGAACAATCCAGCCCACGGTGTCAACAGTGCTAAACAGTGCACCTCCATCTCCCTCAGACGTCTTTGCTGTTATTTCCTGTTCCCCTGGTGCCGCCTACACAAATTTCATTCATTCATTCACTCTTTCATTCCTTCATCCATTCATCTCTTCAATACTTATCAATAACTATGGTGTGGTACACAATGGGCCCAGGTCGCACCTTAAGGAGCTCACATTTGGAGAGTGGGGAGGAGAGAAAGAAAAGCAAGCAAAGCATGGGTGCCCGGGCCTGGCAGCACAGGGGCAGACAGGACGCGTGGTTCAGCCTGGGGAAAGGGAAGCCTTCCTGGGTGAGTTGACACTGCCCCTGGGACTAGAAGGATGAGTAGATCCCACAGAAAAGAAGTCGTGTGATGTGCAAACATTCAGAAGAGGGAGAGGGCCTCCCCTCTGAGCCTGCTCTCTTCCTGCCAGGCTGTGGCCTGGAACAGGCTCCCTCCCACACTCAGTTTTCAACGGAAGGGCAGAGGCCACCTGCTCTTCAAGCTTTGCAGAGGTCTCCATTGGCAGTGGAGCCAGAGCACGTATAGGGGAGGTGTCTCTTTCATCTCCCCAGGAGGGTCGGCCGTGTTGGGAACACCCCGTGATGCTAATTATTCAAATGGGCTTGTCCTCTGAGAAGCCGCTCTCTGAACTTCAAACATTTTGACCAGTACTAATTGAGCAGCAAAGCATCCAGGAGATTAGATCTGCCCCAAACCAATTAGTTTAACTCTGGAGAAGTTTACCAAACATTTTTCTGTGATCAAAGACTCTTTTTTTTGCAGAGGGTGTGATGCTCCACCCATCTGTCTTCCTTTGCCACGGGTGGACAGACGGCAGAGGAGAAGCGTGTCTCTCCTCTGCAGGTGGCCCTGGTGTCATGGGGTTAAAAGTCTGCGTTTTCAACATTCTCACAATGGCTGTGAGGACCCCCTGTTGTTTCTGTGACTTGGTGCAGAGATAAGAAAGGTCTTGGGGCTTTGAGGGAGGTGGTGCCTGAGACCCCCCTCAGGCACTGAGAGACATAATCCCAAGGCCCGGGGGGGTTCCATGGAAGGAAGGATGGCAAGGCCCTTCGCATGACCGTGTTGCCTAGGCTGGGTCAGCTGCATGATGGCCGTCGTTTGAGTCACTCACCATTCGCTAAGTGGCCTCACCAGTGCCAGGTGCCGGGGATGTCACAGATGAGGGAGAGGCCACCTAGGGCCTCCAGGAGCTGGTGTCCAGTGGGTGGGAGGCACAGCAGCACACGCAGTCATGGTGCAGTGTGGCCACGGCCCTGTGTGCTGCTGAGGGGCCCTGAGCCTGCGCCCTGTCCCTCCTCCGAACGTTTGTACATCATACGACTTTTTTGTGGGATCTATTCGTCCTTTGAGTCCCAGTGGCGGTGTCAACCCACCCTGGAAGCCCTCCCTGTCTCCAGGCTGAATCGGGTGTTCTGTCTGCCTGATGCTGGGGCACCCGTCCTTCATTTGCTTTTCTTTCTCCCCTCTCCCCTCCCCAAAGGTGAACTTCTTAAGGTGGGACCTGGGCCTGTTGTCTGTGTATCCCCCCACAGAAGAGGTCCGATAAATATCGAATAGATGGAGGAATAAAGGAATGGAATTGTGCGGGCAGCATAGGGGGAACAGGAAGTAATGGCTCAGCTGCCTGAGGGAGATGAAGGTGCGTCCCTCAGCTGACGCTTTGTGGTGACTGTGTCTGCTGACACCACTCTAGAATATTCTCTCCCTAGAACAATGCTGACAGGCATACAATCAAATAGATGGATATTCCCTCCCCACCATGAAAGACTCATTTCATGGGAACAAGTCCGCACAGCAGCATGTGGGTGTGCACCCCACACACCAACCCCACCAAAACCCACAGTGTGCATGCCCATGTCTCCCCGCCCACCAGTGACGGGGCGTGCTCGGCCCCCCTTCCTCATGACAGCTGGTGACCCCGCTGCCCTTCCGGCTTTGTAATGGCAGAAACACAAGGACCAGAGAGGGAAGAGGAGAAGGCAAATGTTTATTGACGTGAGTACAGGCGCTCCTACCGCAAGAGAGGAAACACTAGCGCTGCGATTATAAAGGTCATATACCTTGCACCTGTGGAATATTCTCCTGGAAGTTTCAATTCAGAAAATAACTAAAAATTTTTTATGAACAGAAAAATGGAGGTTGCCTTCCCCTTGAGGTAGTAGAAATGCATTTCTCTGGTTACGGACGAGATGAATTTAGAGCCAACAGCAATAGTCACACAAATGGCTTCAGGCAGGGTCTCGGCCACCTCTTGGTTAAAGTTGCTACTTGAAGTTTTCTGTAAGAACAGTCACGATTTAGTAATTCTGGAGCCCCCGACCCCACTCAGTTCGGCCTCAGCAGATATGCTCATTTGAAAACACGCATCAGCTGCCATTTTGCTTCAAGATGACCAAATGCCCCACAAATTAGCCCTGTCATGTATCATGATCCCCTTTAGTAGCATAAAGGGATCCTACATCCATCAACTCCTGTGCAGGTTATCGGGGAACAGAGAGAACGAGATAAACATGAATGTGAAGCAGTGCTGTTGAACCCATGCGTCACCTTGCGTGGTCAATGAATGAGCATTGACGCACTTTTCAATAATCATAATGTTTACAAGTACTTGCTAAGTACCAGACACTGTGCTAAGTGCCTGAGATACCTCACTCAGCATAGACTTAGGAGGTGTGTGTTATGGTCACCAGCTAACAAATGAGAAAATGAAATGAAGTGTTCATTGGCCGGGGCCATGACAGAGCTTGTAAGCCCAGAGCTGAGATGGGGCCCCAGTGGCCCACATATCTAAGTGGTGCGATGCACGGCACAGAGCAGACTATAGAGGCATCTGCATTATTATTACATTTGTATTATTATTTTGAGACAGGGTTTCATTCTGTCACTCAGGCTGAAGTGCAGTGGTGTGATCATAGCTCACTGAAACCTTGAACTCCTGGGCTCAAACAATACTCCCACCTCAGCCTCCTGAATAGCTGAGACTATAGGTGCATGCTATCATGCCTGGCTAGTTTTCTTTTCTTTTCTTTTCTTTTCTTTTCTCTTCTCTTCTCTTCTTTTTCCCTCCCTCCCTTCCTTCCTTCCTTCCTCTTTCTCTCTCTTTCCTTCCTTCCTTTCTTCCTTCCCTCCCTCCCTCTCTCTTTCTTTCTCTTTCTCCTTCCTTCCTTTCTCTCTCTTTCTCCCTCTTTTCTTCCTTTCTCCGTTTCTTTCTTTTTCTTTCTCTCTCTCTCCTTCCTTTCTTCCTTCCTTCCTTTCTTCCTCTTTCTTTCTCCCTTTCTTTTCTCTCTCTCTCCTTTCTTTCTCTTTCTTTCTCTTTCCTTCCATCTCTTTCTTTCTTTCTCTCTTTCTTTTCTCTCTTTTTCTCTCCTTCCTTCCTTCCTTTCTTCCTTTCTCTCTCTTTCTCTCTTTCTTTCTCTCTCCTTCCTTCCGTCCTTTCTTTATCTCTTTCTCTTTCTTTCTTTCTCTCTTTATCTCTCTTTCTCTTTCTTTTTTTCTCTTTCTCCTTCTTTCCTTCTCTTTCTTTTTCTACCTTTATTTCTTTCTCTCTTCCTCTCTCTTTCTTTCTTTTTCTCCTTCTCTCTTTCTGTCTTTTCTCTCTCTCTCTCTTTCTTTCTTTTTCTCTCTCTCCTTCCTTCCTTCCTTCTCTCTCTCTTTCCCTCCCTCCACCCTCCCTCCCTCTCTCTCTTTCTCCCTTTCTTTCTTTCTCTCTCTCTCTTTCTCTCTTTCTTTCTTTTGTAGAGACAGGGTCTCACTGTGTTGCCCAGCCTAGTCTCCTAGTCTCTAGTAATCCTCCATGCCTGGCTAATTTATTTTCTTTCTGTCCCTTCCTTCTTTTCTTTCCTTCTTTCTTTGGTTTGTTCATTCTTGAGACAGGGTCTCACTATGTTGCCCAGGCTGGTCTCCTGGCCTCTAGTGATTCTCCCACCTTGGCCTCTTGAAGTGCTGGGATCTTCAGTGGGAACCCCCACACCAGGCCTGCATCTTCATTGGTACTGCTGTTATTCAGCACCAGAAAAGATCTGTGCCTCTTTGAGGAGGGACACATCAGAGGCACATGGCCCTTCACTCTCCAGGGGTCACAGGGGAATCTTGACCACCCTGGGCACGGAAGTCAGGTTGTCAATCATTAGCCCAAATAGGAAGAGGGACAAGGGCTCCTGGGCACAACACACTCATCCCATGCAGTCTTCCCCAGCTCACTGAAGACCTGTGACCTGTGGCCTGAGTTGTTGACTTGCCTGGCCCTTATTGATCTGATGCTTTTGTGCACAGGTGAGCTCCTCCCTTTCCTTCCAGCCCCCCTGTTGGAGGATGAGAGACCACATAGACGCAGACCCCAAACAGGTGAGTGACGCCAAGCCTAGAGCAGCCAAGTTCAGCTCAGCCCAGAAGGAAGATGCCACTGAGCCCAGCTCACATCACTAACACACAGAATCATGAGTGAACATGACAACTGTCGGAAGCCACTGAGTTTTGGGAGTATTTGTAACCTACCAATAGATAACTGGGGCACAGGGCAAGCTCATAGGAACAAAGCCCAGTCATGGAACTGAAGCTGGGGGCTGGGGAGCTGGCGGGGTTACGGAGCCATTCTCTTTGTCTCTCTCCGGGGATGCATGGTGGCTGTCAACAGCACCACTGCCCCTTCTCTTAGGCCACTCTCAGCAATCTTGCTGCCTCAGCCCTAACTCCACGTGGCCATTCAGCGCAAGAGCTCACCATTACCAAATGACTGGCCCTTGGGTCTCCTTGACTGACACGCACCCTGAACCCAGTTGGCCCAGCTCAGCTGCCGTGATGAGCTACCTGATGCCGGTGGGCACTTTGGGCAGGAGGCATTATGGGGAAGCTCTCCAGGAAAGGGCTTGTGCCAGGGCAGGTAGTGGAACACGGTATTCCATCACTCATATGAGGGAGGATGTAAGGATAGGAAACCTGAAGTGCCTTTCTTATACACTCAACACCACTCTTCTGACACCAGATGTGTGAGTTTTTTTTTTCCCACACACCAAGCAATTCTTCAACAGACCCCAACTGGGTTTCTATAATGCCACTCAGTTCTGACACTGTCGCCTGGAGGTAGCGTCGGATCCCACAGGCGAAGGGCTCCGTCCCACAAGGCTGTCCCCTCTTCAGACGCCAATCACAAGCCCTGGTGTATGACTCGTGTTCCTGACTGACTGGCTGTACATTGGGGGTTCCACAGTCCCCCTCCTCAGGTTTGACTAATTTGCTAGGATGGCTCACAGATCTCAGGGAAATGCTTACATTTACTGATTTATTATAAAGGGTGTCACAGGTGATACAGGTGAGCAGCCAGAGGGAAAGGATGCGTGACACACGCCTGTGGGAAGAGGTGTGGAGCTTCCATGCCCTCTGTGGGCACACGCCCCGCCCTCTAACGCCCCCCATGTGTTCAGCAATCCAGAGACTCTCCGAGCCCCAGAGTTCTGGGGTTTTCATGGCAGTTTCAACATAAGCATGATTGATTATTAACCTGGCTTCCAGCTCCTCTCTTTCTCTGGTGAATGCGGGATGGAGCTGAAAGCTCCAAGCCTCTCATCAGGGCTTGGGATTTCCAGTGACCGTTCTCCTGGCCAGGAGTCCACCAAGAGTCACTTCATTAGAAAAAAAAAAAAAGTTCCTATCATCCAGGAAATTCCAAGGGATTTAGGAGCTCTGTGTCAGGCACCAGGATCAAAGACCGAATATTAGAACCAAAGATTCTCCGAGCACCCCTATCTACAAAGGTTTCAGGAGCTCTGTCTCAAAAACCGGGGCAGAGACCAAATGTTAGAACAAAAAATTCTCCTAGCACACTTCTTGCTCAAGAAATTACAAGGTTTTTAGGAGCTCTGTGCCAGGGACTGGGGGCAGAGATCAACATATATGTTTTTTATTATGTCAGAGAGGACATGGTGAGATTTTCACGTGATAGGATTTTCCTGTCTCTGAAGACGTAAAACAGGAGTAATTTTGCTTACTAGCTCTGAGTCACTTTAAGCACAAGTGATAAACGTGTGTCTTATCACACGCTTTGGATAAAAGCAGATAAAATTTTGGATAAAATTGGATAATTTTATTCAATTCTCTGCCTCTTAAAAAATACTCGGCGAGGTATGGGAGGAATGCCTCCATGCTATATCTTTATTGACACACATGGCAGATCTCACAGGATTCCCCTGGGTCTGGACCAAACACACACAGACCCACTCTTCCCTTTGGTTCATTTTCCTTTTGGGAGTGGTATTTTTTTTTCTTTTCCTGTTTCCACCATCCCTTCATACACCTTCCCACTTCCACATACAGCAGCTTCCCCAAGACATCCATACTAACAACCCCATGTATATGTCTCTTTGCTCATATAATAATATACAAAAATATATATGGTTTTCATCACATCGTTTGCAAAAGTCAGATCATACCTTATACAGTTCTTTGCATCTTAGTTTTCTCAATGAAGTCAACAATCGTAACTCAAATTCATTCTTTTAAATGGCTACATAATTAAGTCTAAGGTGAGAATTACTGTACTTTATTCAACCCTCTCGTTGATAGGTATTCACTTTGTTCCCACAGTTTTCCAGGGCTACAATCCTTGAATATCAAGCCTTATGTATGGATGCTTTTGTGTCTATGTGTTCGTTTCCCAGGAAAAGGATTTTTGCGGATCTGAAGGGTTATTATTCTAACAGGTATTGCCAGATTGACTCTCAATACTCTCAAGTAAGCTGTAACCAGTAAATGAGTACTCATTTCCCCATACCCCAAGAACAAAACATGTTATTGCTGTTTTTAAATTTTGGTAGTTTTACACTTGTAAAGAATCATCTGGGCCAGGTGTGGTGGCTCACGCCTCCAATCCCAGCACTCTGGGAGGCCGAGGCAGGTAGATCACTTGAGGTCAGGAGTTTGAGACCAGCCTGGTCAACATGGTGAAACCCAGTCTCTACTAAAAGTACAAAACTTAGCTGGGTGTGGCAGCCTGCACCTGTAGTCCCAGCTACTCGGGAGGCTGAGGCACGAGAATCGCTTGAATCCAGATGGTGGAGGTTGCAGTGAGCCAAGATTGGGCCACTGCACTCCAGCCTGGGAGACAGAGCAAGATTCAGTCTCAAAAAAAAAAAAAAAAGAAAAAGAAAAAAAAGAAAAATCTGACCACTATTTTAAATTGCAGAGAATCTTTAGAAATTTTTGTTAGTCATTTGGGTTTGCCCTTTGGTGAATTGCTTCTCTAGATCCTTGGCCCGTTTTTTAACTGGGTGATTGTCTCTTACTAATTTGTAAGAGCTCTTTCTTTGCATACAAGACATGAAGCCACTGGCCTCTGAGTTGCAAGTGTTTGTAACTAGCACCTTGTTTATTGTATCTTTTGCTATAAACAATTTTAAATGGCTTAATGTCAACAAATATGTCTGTCTTCAAAAAAAAAAACTTCTGAGTTAAGAGAGTTTTCCCTACCATTAAATTATTAAGTAATCTTTAAAAACAGAAAAAAGGAAAGAAATCTTTACTGTCTTGCTATTGATGTCTTTGTCAAAATCCATCATTTTATAAATTGTAAGATTGAGGACCAAGTAATCTATCTTTTCCCATTAGTGAAAAAGAACATCTTCTTCATGTGTTAGAATCTTAAATGTACTGGGATCTATTTCTGCTTTCTCTGTTTGGTTCTAGAACTAGCTTTCTATTCCAATGCCAACAGTCTGTTACTTTGAATAGAGTGGCTTTCGGGCATGTCTTGATCTGAAAATGCAAATTCCCCCAATGATTCTATTTCAAAAGGTTTTATTTCTTAGGAATTAATTTTCCCCAACAAGCTTTATGATAATTTTATCCAATTCTCTGCCTCTTAAAAAATACTTGGCCAGGTATTAGGGTTTACACTTGTAATCCCAGCACTTTGGGAGGCTGAGGTAAGAGGATTGCTTGAGGCCAGGAGTTTGAGACCAACCCGAGCAACAAAGTGAGAGCCCCATCTCTATAAAATATGTGCATAAAAGAAAAAATATATAATATAATATATATATTAAGTATATAATATATAAATAAAAGAAAAAAGTACTCCATCAGAATTCTATTTGAAGTTGCATTAACTTTATACATTAATTCTAGGAGGGGTACTTTAAGTTAAACATATGCATTCCCATCCAAGCTTTCTCTTCATTCAGTCTGCTTTATGCCATCCAATTAGAGTTTACATAGGACATTATTCTTTCTTGTTACATTTTATTTCTGAACACTTCATAGCTTTGGTTGCTATTGTAAATACACTTTTTTCCATTTTAGTTGCTTATGACTAGAATAGACAGAAGCTGTCAGTATTTGTATAATTTGTCTAATTATCTAGTATCTAGCAATGTCACCAATACTCATTGATAATTTCTAGTTACTTTTACTAATCTCTTGAGTTTTCTAAGTGCATAGTCATATCATCCACAAAAATAGACAAATTTATTTCTTGTTTTCCAAGGTCTCAAAATGGTTTTATAGGCTTTTGATGTTATTGCATTCGCTGGAACCACGACAATATTCAATAATAATAATGGTCATATTATCACCCTTGTACAGTTCCTGATTTAAATGAACTGGTTCTAGAGTTTCACTCTTTAGAAAAATATCCTCTGTTGGTTCTTGGTGAATGCCTTATATTTCCAAATCGTTTCCATAATCTATCATAGAGGTTTTTAAAGAAAAGATGTTACATTTTGTCAAATGTCTTTTAGGCTTAATTGGAGTGTGTGTGTGTGTGTGTGTGTGTGTGTGTGTGTGCGCGCCCACATGCATGTGTGATTTTTCAAAAATTGTTTTCCCTTTGTTTTTGAAGAAGATACTTTTATGCTTGTAAATGTGCACCTGCATATAGTCTGTCACTCATTCTTTCTGATTTTAATTCATGTCTGTGGTTTTTCAAAGACAAAAACTAAGCAAAAGGCTTTTTGCATATGATGGAATAGTGTATTATTGAAAATATTATATATTCAATGACTAGCATCATGGTAAGAGAATCATGAAGTAAGTTAAAGTGAAAAAAACCCCTCAGTATACAAAACCATGTATAGCATCAACCTAGTCTTTAAAACAAGAAATACTCATCTATACATGACAAACCACAGAAAGGAAATACTGTATATAATGTTAATAGAAGTTTGGGTGATTTTTATATTATTACTCATAGTTTTCTGTATTTTCAGAAATTTTCCAATGAACTTGCCGTGCTGTTATAATCAGGAGAAAAAGCACATTTACATTTTGGAATGCCAGTAACAAGAATCTTGAGTCGCTTTTACAGGCACAAAGTGTCCAGGGCTCTCCCAGCACAGCCTGCTTGGAGTTCAGTGGAGGGTTGAGCCTCACAGGCTTTGCACGGCTTGAGGACAGGACCCAGGATTCACCAACATCCCATGGGGCCCGTTATGGGAACCAGCATTACAATATTTTATTTAATCTGAAGTTCCTGTGCTTTCCAGCACCTGCTGCTCCTCCCACCCAGGACAATGCCGCCTAACAATGCTGCTGGAGCCTAGCCAGCACTGGCAGAGCAAAGTCTGAAATGGAGGCTAGGAGACCCACCCAGCCCTGCCTGTGTTCTGTTCATGCTGTGTGACCCTGGGCAAGTCACTTGGCCTCTCTGAGCCTCAAACCCCTTGGTCACAAAATGGGGGGAATCATGCCTGGCCTTCTTCACACATTTGGTTTTGTGGATCAAAATCTAAAAGCAGCCATATAGGTGGGGCTGCTTGAGAAACCACCGAATGTAGTGCAAACCCAGGGGAATTTTCTCACCATGCAGAGGGAGCTCTCTGCTGTCCTCCGAACAATTCGATTGCAAAACAATTCTTATTTAATTGGATTTGTCTGCGTAGGTCAAATAATAATAATTACTGAGAGTGGTAATCGTATCAAGGACAGCTCACCATGCTTCTATTACATAACTCAAGCTTCTCCCTAACGCCCCAATTCAAAAGCCTCTCCCATTTGCCTGTTCGTGACTCAGGATCACCATCAATCCTGTGCTTGCAGAAAGGCCCTCAGCTCCTTCTCCCATGAGGCGAACAAACAGCCGCGATGTTATCCTTGACCTGGTGTTTTCACACCCAACCACAGAGTAAATATGAACAAATTGCTCAACCTTGAAAAGCATCGTCAGTGATCCACATACAGGTATGCCATCAGATTAGGGGCTTTGAAAGGTCAAGGGGAGAATGATGCTGTGGGATTACCTGTTCTTTTAGCTGAAATGCGTTGAAAGCACCTACCTCCACCTGAGGCAGCCCTGGAGGTCCCTGTCTGCCACAACCCCCGATGCCTGGCTTCCCTCTCTGCGCCTGTTCCTGGAGCCAGTTCTTTCCTCCGGCTCCCCAGGGAGAGTTAGCAGGGGGCTCAGGCCCCTCATCTGATTCCGGTTTTCTGGCTGGCCTCACTCCCAGGGCCCCTTGCCCACTTTGGTAAGCAGATCACTGATTAGGCACGGAGCTGTGGGGGCACACACAGTCCATACCCTGGCTGTGCAGCTGCACCAGACACAGGGCATCCTCAGGAGCTGCCTCCAATTCCATCTGCTGAGGCTTTTCAGCTCCAATTCCACCTGCCGAGACTTCTCACCTCCAATTCCACCCACAGAGGCTTCTCACCTCCAGTTCCACCTGCCTAGGCTTCTCACCTCCAAATCTATCCACCAAGGCTTCTCACCTCCAATTCCACCCACAGAGGCTTCTCACCTCCAGTTCCACCCACCGAGGCTTCTCACCTCCAGTTCCACCCACTGAGGCTTCTCACCTCCAATTCCACCCACCGAGGCTTCTCACCTCCAGTTCCACCCACCGAGGCTTCTCACCTCCAGTTCCACTCACCGAGGCTTCTCACCTCCAGTTCCACCTGGTGAGGCCTCTCACCCCCACTTCCATTCATGGAGGCTTCTCACCTCCAGTTCCACCTGCCAAGACTTCTCACCTCCAATTCTATCCACCAACGCTTCTCACCTCCAGTTCCACCTACCGAGGCTTCTCACCTCCAATTCCACCCACCGAGGCTTCTCACCTCCAGTTCCACCCACCGAGGCTTCTCACCTCCAGTTCCACCCACCGAGGCTTCTCACCTCCAGTTCCACCCACCGAGGCTTCTCACCTCCAGTTCCACCCGCCGAGGCTTCTCACCTCCAGTTCCACCTGCTGAGGCCTCTCACCCCCACTTCCATTCATGGAGGCTTCTCATCTCCATTTCCACCTGCCAAGATTTCTCACCTGCTAGAACCAACAATGACTCTCTGAGGCCTCTAGAGCTGCCTTCACATTTCAGGAGAAAAATGACTGCTTACAACTTTTAAGAGAAATAGAAATTAATCAAGCCACCGACTCAGGAGAAAGGCTTGGTCACTCATCTATTTTGGTCTGCTGAGCTGGAACTCAGGGCCCTTTCCATTGTGGACATTCATGCCCTGTAGTTTGAGAAAATGTTCGTGAACGATTTCGTTGTTTATTTCCTCTCTTGTTTTCTCCTCTTTCTGGAATGCCCTTTTTTAAAAAAGTTGGGCCTCCTGGTGGGACCTTCCATTTCTTGTCTTTTTCCATCTATGCCTTCACTTTACCTTTTTGCTCTACTTCCTAGAATTCTTCAACTCAGTGTTCTAGTCCTTCTGCTGACTGTTTCATTTCTGCTCTCAAGTTTTTAACTCTCAAGAACTGTTTTCTATTTTCTGAATGTTCCTTTTCTATACCATCTGTTTCTTGTTTCGTGGGTGGAATTAGCATTCCTTTCAGAACCCAGTAAGAATGATTCCCCGTGTCCCCCACCCCCACATAGACATTTCCTCAGCTTACCTGTTTGTTTGAGCCTCTGTAGTTCAGGATCTGAGATTCTCAGTTGTCTGCACCTATTAAAGTGTGAGTGCGAAAATGGCAATAGGAATTCCGGAACACGTAGCATCGGCAGGGCTGCCAGGGGATCTTCCTGGGCCATTTATATTGAATATGCCCAACCTTTTTTTTTTTTTTTTTTTTTTTTGAGACGGAGTCTCGCTCTGTCGCCCAGGCTAGAGTGCAGTGGTGCGATCTCGGCTCACTGCAAGCTCCACCTCCCGGGTTCACACCATTCTCCTGCCTCAGCCTCCCGAATAGCTGGGACTACAGGCGCCTGCCACCGCACCCGGCTAATTTTTTTTGTATTTTTAGTAGAGACGGGGTTTCACCGTGTTAGCCAGGATGGTCTCGATCTCCTGACCTCGTGATCCACCCGCCTCGGCCTCCCAAAGTGCTGGGATTATAGGCTTGAGCCACCGCGCCCGGCTTGCCCAACCTTATCTGTATCTTTAGGCCTTTATTTTGGAGCTGGTGGGATTGCAAAAAGCATCTTGGTGTGAAGATGCTTTTTTTTTTTTTTTAATCCTGTTTTAAAACCTGGTCACAGGTTCTCAAATGCCTTCAATAAACATTTGAGAGCAGTTTCACACAGAACAGAATCAGTTTTTGAAAATCAGATTTCTATGGTGCCTGCTCTAAGAAAGTAAGATGCACCCAGAATGCAGGACCAGCACCAGGCTGTGCAGCTGCACCTGCTTTGGAATTTCTGGAAGGTGAGGGCAATCACTCTGGCAACATGCAGGCAGAGAACCAGCCTCACTTTGCATCAATCAGCAGTGAATGTGACATACCCACTGTGGCATCTAGGTAAGCCATAGGGAGCTGGCTGTCTCAGCCAACAAAGATTCCCTGGATGGCCTCTGTGACAGCCTCTAGCAGGACGGCGTGGGCAGAATTTCAGAGGGTTCACAGCTCTTCCAGGGAGCTTGCATGCATTCAGGGTCTGGATCTATTTCACAACATGTCTGATTTCTTCTATTCTGACTGCTCTTGTTTCTATCCACTGGGAAACTTCTGATTACTTCTGTCTCGTGCGATCCAGAGTCTCAGAAACAGCACCCTGATGTTCCCTCGAGTCTCTCGGGTGACTGAGTCATGGTTCTCACTGTTTGCAACTCCTACCAGAAAGTTCTACACATTGCCTGCAGGCTTTGGAAGACACCACCCAAACAAAACGTTTAATTTAAAACTCAGTCCCCAGGAGACGAGAGTAGTGTTGTTATTACTTATCGCTTCTGAAGCGTTCTGGCTCTGAGCCTCTGGGGATTCATAAGGCCAGCAAAGCCCCCATTCAAACATTTAGGGTGGGCGCTGCATCCTGGGTCAGCACAGTTCGAAGCTGACCGTGGAGTAAAGAGAAGAGTGGGTGAAATCTCCAATAATGCACAGAATGCTGGGTTTCCAAAGAGAGAGGGATATTTATTGATTTATTTATTATTCTTAGTTTTGTTTTTTGAGATGGAGTCTCACTCTGTCGCCCAGACTGGAGTACTGTGGCGCAATGTTGGCTTACTGCAACCTTCACCTCCTGGGTTCAAGCGATTCTCCTGCCTCAGCATCCCGAGTAGCTGGGACTACAGGCATGCACCACCATGCCTGGCTAATTTTTTGTATTTTTAGTAGAGATGGGGTTTTACCATGTTGGCCAGGCTGGTCTTTGAATTCCTGACTTCAGGTGATCCACCTACCTTGGCCTCCTGAAGTGCTGGGATTACAGGCATGAGCCACTGAGCCCGGCTGAGAGAGGGATTTTTATTCCCGGGATCTGTCATAAGATCTGCCGTGTCATGGAGCAGTCAGCCTCAAGTGTACTCACAGGCAAAGTTCAGTGTTATCTAGATCCAGAACAAGGAAGTTGCCTTGTTCCACAAACATTAATAGAAGCCCTGGAATTACGCTCCAGAGGTGCAGAGCTGGCTGAGCCTGGGTCACTGCCTCAAATGAGTTCACAGTGTCCTGAGGGAAACAGACAGGGAAATGCCGCATCGGCATGCTGGGGCCAGGAGCAGTGGGTTACCTGAGGCCTGCATGGTGTCTGAAGGGATGGGGGAGCCCCAGGGGGCAGTCGTCTTCCCCCAACATCAAGGCCAGACTCAGAGCTCAGTGCTCAGGGGTTCTTGGCCCCACCCTGTAAGAGAGACATGGACAACAAGGAGCAAGTTCAGAGGAGCAGCTGGAGGCTGAGGGGCTTGTCCCCATGTCCTGCGTGTTCCCTCAGGGAACTACAGTTGTTTTGCTGGAAGGAAAAGGCTGGGAGTGGCAAGAGTGAAAGGGAGAACATTGCTGAAAGAAATTAAACAAGACTTAAATAAAGAGGAAGACACCCCATGCTTACGGATTGGAAGACTTAATTGTTAATCTGGCAATACTTCCTAAATTGATCTACAAATTCATTGTACTCTCTATCAAAATCAGGATGGCCCTTTTACAGAAATTGACCAAACTGATTCTGAAATTCATATGGAAATTCAAAGGCCTCAAAATAACCAACACAATATTGGTAAAGAAGAGCAAAGTTGGAGGACTCACAGTTCCCAATTTTAAAACCTACTACAAAGTGATTATAATCAAGACAGTCTGGTACTGGCTTAAATATAGGCATATAGATCAATGGAATAGAATTGAGAATCCAGAAATAAACTCATATGTGTATGAACAATTGATTTTCAACAAGACTGCCAAGACAACTTAATGGGGAAAAGAACAGTCTTCAAGAAATGTTGCTGAGGCAACTGAATAGCCACACACAAAAGAATGAAGTTGGACCCCTACCTCACACCATATTTTAAAAATTCAAAAAAAGATAAAAAATTTTTAAATGTTAGAGCTAAAACTATAAAACTCTTAGAAGAAAACTTAGGTATAAATCTATGTGATCTTAGATTAAGTGATAGCTTACATTTAAGATGTAATACTGGCCAGGCATGATGGCTCACACCTGTAATCCCAGCACTTTGGGAGGCCAAGGTGGGTGGATTGCCTGAGGTTAGGTGTTTGAGACCAGCCTGGCCAACATGGTGAAACCTCTCTCTACTAAAAATACAAAAATTAGCTGGGCGTGGTGGTGAACCCTTGTAATCCCAGCTACTGAGGAGGCTGAGGCAGGAGACAGGTGTGAGCCACTGCACTTGGCCAAAAATGCCATTCTTAAAAACACAGGTTCACACAAAAATGTGTACACAAACATCCACAGCAGCATTATTGATAATAGCCAAGATGTAAAAGCAACTCAAATGTCCATCAACTGATTAATGCATTAAAAAATGTGGTCGATCAATCCAATGGAATATTATTTGGCAATGAAAAGGAATGAAGTACTGATACTTGCTACAACATGGATAAACCTTGAAAATATTATGCTGAGCAAAAGAAGCCAGACACAAAAGGCCACATATTTTGTGATTCCATTTGTATGAAATGTCCAGAATAGGCAAATCTATAGACCAGGAGGTAGGTCACTGGTTTCCAGGAGCTGGGGTGGAGGTAGTGGTGAGGAGTTTCTTTTGGGGGCGATGAAAATATCTGGAATCACATCATGGTGATGGTTGCAGCACCTTGTGAATATATTCTAAAGCCATGGACCGGTACCCATTAAAAGCACTTTTATGGTATATAAATTATATCTCAATTGACAAGGACAGTGAGAGGGAGAAGCAGCAGCACTGGCTTTGTGTTGAAACACCTGGAGGACTGGCAGGTAGATGAGGAACCTGCGGCTCTGTAGGCTCCATCAAAACTCTTGGGTATGGAAAATCCTTCCTTAGAATAAGAAGCTGCTGGCTCGGCACGGTGGCTCACACCAGTAATCCCAGCACTTTGGGAGGCCAAGGTGGGTGGATTGCCTGAGGTCAGGAGTTTGATACCAGCCTGGCCAATATAGTGAAACCCCATCTCTACTAAAAATACAAAAAATTATCTGGGCATGATGGCAGGCACCTATAATCCCAGCTACTTAGGAGGCTGAGGCAGGAGAATCGCTTGAACCCAGGAGGTGGAGGTTGCAGTGAGCTGAGATCGTGCCATTGCACTCCAGCCTGGGCAACAAGAGGGAAGCTCTGTCTCAAAAAAAGAAAAAAAAAAAAAGCTGCTATGAGACAGCACTAGCTACTTCCAGTGGCAGTGAGTTCCACATCGCTGGGAGTATTTAACAAAGCAGAGATTGTGCCACTGCCCAGGAGAGCTACTGGAGAGATTGTTCACACACAGGCTTTGGAAGGCAGGATTGACTAGATGACTATGAGTCCTTTCTGACCCTAAAACCCTGTAATTTTACAATGGATTCAGAGACACACTCATGAGCGTATAGTAGGTGCTCAGTCAAGGATTTGCTGACCCAGCTGATCATGAATGATCCTCCTAGGCCTAAGTCTTGTGCCGCCTCCCAGGTGCCAAGCCCTTTAACCACAAGGAAGCAGGTGTCTCATCCCTGGCAACAACTCTGTCCATTAGGAGGCAAGCCTGCCTTTCCCTGGGCTGACATTTCCATACCCAAACATCAACAACCAAATATGAGAACTGGCCCTTGGAGAGCCTGGCCCTGCGTGGGAACCACCAGTCACAGTTCCAGGAGCCTCAGCGCTTCTCGCCCCCGGCCCTGTGCCACCTCTCCCCGGAAGCCTCTGCCTCAGCAGCCCCTACCCTTTGCATGCCTCACTGGCTGGCTATTTACACAACTTGGGCGATGACGCTGGGGCCAGGCTCATGCCGGGGCGGCAGCTTTCTGCATGCCACATCCTGGAGCGAGGGGAACCCCCCGAGAGGATGGTTACTCAACAGCACCTGTAAACCGTCCCACTGATTCACCCATAAGCCATCCAGGGAGGCAGTGAGGCTGAGCCAGCTTTGCTTTTGCAGAATGAGGGACTGTGCTGTGGACTCAAGCTGTCTCTAGAACACACACACGTCACAAATGAGACCCTTAGAGCTGGCTACAATCCAAAGTAGATGAGTCCAGCTTCTAACAGCGTGCAGGCTGCCACGGTGAGAGTCACGGAGACCGACCCTTGGCACAATAAGACTGTGGACTGAGGCCAGTGCCTGTGGACTGAGGCTGGTGCTGTCTAAGAGTCACCCTCCCTTCCGTACATGTGTACCTTACCACCACGCAATGGCCCTCCGTGAGTGGCCGTGCCCCCCGCTCAGCAATGACCTAGCAAGGAAACTGAGGCTCACAGAGGTGACGTGTCTGTTCTAAGTTCGTGAATGCCAACTTAGAATTGGTGGAGCTGGGAACAGAACCCAGGTCTTCGGACCTGATGTTGGCCACATGGGTGGGCCCCACAGTCAGGACAAGAGGGGTGGGGGCTCTGCAGAAGGATGGGGCTGTGGGTGGACAGCCAGGGCCTTTTCCAGACGTGGGCCATGGAAGTCCAGCAGCTGGATCAAAACCCCATGAGCTGAGCCTGCCCCTATGGATCACAGGTCACAGACATGTCTTCGGAAGCCAGTCGGGGAGGCCAGGGCTGGGGCGGGCCAGGACCAATCCACACCAGAGGCACAACAGCAGTTCCCAAGGAAGAGCAGTCGAGGGCAAGGGCCAGCCAGGCTGGGGTAAAACCCCACCAGGGTTGCATCCACTTAGCTGCTGGGGAAGGGGCCCAACTGGCCACAGAGCCTTGCAGGTGGGCCAGGTGAGGGGCAGGCCGCAGGAGGGAGCTGCTTCCCCACCTGGGAGCCCAGCACTGGCGTTCCCTGCTTGTCCCACATCTGCGTCATCAGTCACCGTGGTTAACAAGGCTCCCCGTGCCTGCCACATGCCGGTCACGGAAGGGCAAGAGGGATGGGATTTGCCCACTGTCCTCCAGAGGGGTTTCCTCTGGGTGCAGAGTTAGGCAAAGTCAGCCTCCCCGCTATGGGTGGGGATATTCCCTCCCTGCTTCCTTCCTTCTTTCCCTCCCTCCCTCTCCCTCCCTCCCTCTCCCTCCCTCCCTCTCTCTCTCCCTCCTTCCCTCCCTCCTTCCTTCCCTCCCTCCCTCCCTCCTTCCTTCCTTCTTTCCTTCCTTCCTTCTCTCCCTCCATCCCTCCTTCCCTCACTTCCGCCCTCCTTCCTCCCTTCCTTCTTTTCTTCCTTCTGTCCTTTAGAGTATTATCCTTCTGCGTGTCTTGACCACAATTTCTTACCCATCTGTCTGTTGATGGGCATTTAGGTTGTTTCTAGTTGGGGCTACTGCAAATAAAACTTCTGGGAACATCCGTGTACCAGTCTTTGCATGGACATAAGCTTTCATGTCTTGGTAAACACTCGGGAGTGGAATGTGGCTGGGTTATAGGCCAGGTGTAGATTGGACCTGACTGTTCTCCAGAGCGGTTATACCTCTCCACACCCGCCAGCAGCGGCTGAGGGCTCCAGTTGCTCTCCATCCTCACCTACACTTGATATGCTCGGCCCTTTGAAGCTGAGTGTGCTTCTGTTTCAGTCACTCCCTGCACACTCTGAGGAAGCCGTCTTACCCTGTGCTGCACGTGAAGATGCGGAGTCTTCGTTTGCTCATCCTGCACAAGCCACCGGGGATCCCCGCACTCCCAGACCCTCCAGCTCCTGCTCACAGCCCACTCCTCAGTGCTTTGCCCTTTCCTATATCTTATCTTCTCATCGGCTTTACCCCTCTGCCGGTAAACTCAGCCCATCCTAAATAAGCCCTCCCTGGGCAGCACCTCCGGCGATGGCTCTGCTGCCAGATCTGCTGAGCAAACGCCCTGTGCCCCGGCCCCATCCTGCAGGCACGCCCGCCTCCTGACCCTCTCTTCCATGCTGCTTCCACGGTGTGGCTCTCCCCTTCCCATCCCACCCCCCTTTATGATGGGGTGCCGTTGACTGCCCTCTGTTCCTCTGTCAAGGTTCTTCTTGAATGACCCACTTGCTCCCCGGCTGTCACCTCCACGTTCACAACCCGAACCCCCATTTCCAGCCATGGCTGAACCTTGCACATCAGCCTCCTGGAAAGTCCTGACAGCAGGTCCCCGGGAGCTTTGCTTTCAGCCCTTCAGCCTTGGGGGTGCATCCTACATTTTCCCTCCCTACATTCAGATTCTGCAAATCGAACTGGGGGTTGGTCCAGAGTCCTGCTCCCACCTCCATCTGATCCCACCCTAGTCCTGCCAATTTCACTTTCTGAATCTTATCCGACCTCCCGGCCCACCCAACCCTGGTCCCCACGCTGTGAAATGAACTTTCTTTTCTTTTCTTTTCTTTTTTTTGAGACGAAGTCTTGCTCTCTCCGGCCCAGGCCAGAGTGTAATGGCATGATCTCGGCTCACTGCAAACTCCGCCTCCCAGGTTCAAGCAATTCTCCTGCCTCAGCCTCCTGAGCAGCTGGGATTACAGGCACCTGCCACCACGCCCAGCTAATTTTTGTATTTTTTTTTAGTAGAAACAGGGTTTCACCGTGTTGGCCAGGCCGGTCAAACTCCTGACCTCAGGCAATCCACCTGCCTCGGCCTCCCAAAGTGCTGGGATTATAGGCGTGAGCCACCGCGCCCGACAAAATGAACTTACTAAAGCACGAGTCTGACCGCAAGCCATTCTGTCACCTGTTTGAGCCTCCTGGGGCTCTTTCTCAGCCCCCAAGTGAATGCCTAGCTACATAGGCTGGCATTACTACCACCTGCTACCTGCCACCTGCCACCCACCCACCTTTGTCATCTGCCACCTCTGGCGTCACACGGCACCCTGAGTCCAGAACTTCTCAGGCCGTGTGCAAGTGCCAGGGGGCTCCACTCTGAAATGTCCCTCCTGCCTCTATGCTTGCCTGCCCTGACCTTGGCTTCAGACCATGCAGACACCCTCCCTCTCGGAAGACCCCTCTTTTGAGCTTATCTCCAAAAGAGATGTTATGCATCCCCCTCACATTGAACCGGAAGCATTGTGCAGGGCTGGGCCCCCCCTTGCCCTCAGTTTTGATTTCCCAGCCTGGCAGAGAATAAGTCCTCATTAAGATTGCTGTGAAACCTGCCCCACTTTGGCCAGTGAGTGAGGGCATGTCCAGAGTCAATCGGTCTGCCTCGCAGACACCATGATTTTATTTAACTGTTTTGTTATGGAAATGTCAAACGTACACAACGTAAACAGTAAACACAAACAAAGAGCAAATAGTATAATGAACCCGCATGCTTCCCACCCAGCTTTAATAACCTTCACGCTTTGCCACTTTTGTTTCATCTTTCCCACCAGTAATCCCCCAACCGGTGATCCTCAACTCATTTAGTATGTTTATACTTCAAAGATTATGCTGTTTCTTTCTCTTCTCCATGCTGCCATGTATCATTGCAAAGAGCATTGGCAGTGGCTTTGACCACTAGTAAATGAAAAGAACAGGGCTGGGTGTGGTAGCTCACACCTGTAATCCCAGCACTTTGGGAGGCTGAGGCAGGAGGATCACTTGAACCCGGGAGTTCGAGATCAGCTAGGACAATGTAGTGAGACCCTGTCTCTACTAAATAAGAAAGAAATAAATAAAAACATAGAACAGTCCAACATTACGAAAGCGATTGCACTATTTTATTATTAATTTCTTATTCTGCATCAAGCATGTGGCACTGAGGGCTTCATAAGCATTATCTTAAGACACTGCCAGAAGTAGGTGTCATTATTATTCCCATTTTACAGCAGCTAAAACTGAGGCTCAGACACTAGGAAATGTGTCCAGAGTCTCTGCTAGTAGGTGGCAGAGCTGTTTAACTGCACGGCCCGCAGGTGTCATTTAACCAGTGACGGTCTGAGGCTGATCTTGGGCACCTGGCGCTGGTCGTAGGAGCCCGTGGATGCCGAGCACCCTGGGCCACCTCACTTTGGGAGACGGTGAGGCTGTGCACACCACATTCCCTGCAATGATCCTGCTAAGAACAGGAGCCCAAGGTGCCAGCCGGCCACGGCAAGACAGGGCCCGCCAGCTGTTTGGAAGAGGCGGCAACAATGAGTCACCGCGCACACGGGCCGTGCCGGGGCCGGGCCGGGGCGTTGTCTGGGTGGGTGACAGGCAGCCGGGTGTGTGGGCTGTGATGTAACAGGCCTGCTGCAGCTGCTGGGTGGCAGGCGACTCACTCTCCTCCTCTGTCATGGCTTTGAATCGCCTCTGCTGCGGGAGGGGCATGGAGACAGCACAGCTCCTCCCCCAGCCCACGGCCAAGACAGCCGGCCAGGTCCAGAGGCCCACCAGCCACTCCTCGACCTCCACGCGCAGTCACCTGCCCTTCATCTTCACCTTGGACCTAGGGGGGACGAGTGGGGGGCGCGTGTACTGCAGTGGATGCTCCTGGCATAGAGCTTGGTGTAGAGAGAGAAGGAAATTCAAGACAGACCCAGGTCCCCAGTGCCTGAGGAAGGGCAAATGCAGCAGGAGTTGCTTCTTTTGACCTAAGAAGGAGAAGGAGGTAAAATGAGAAAGTGATCCTTTGTTGAGTACCTATGGGGTCGCAGGTGCAGTGTTAAGTCTCATGACAGCCCAGTAAGATGGGCATCATTCATTCATTCATCCATTCATTCAAATATTTCTAAGCACTTCTGGCCAGGCATGGTGGCTCATGAGTGTAATCCCAGCACTTTGGGAGGCTGAGGTGGGAGAATCACTTGAGGTCAGGAGTTCGGGACCAGCCTGGCCAACATGGTGAAACCTCATCTCTACCAAACATACAAAACTTAACCGGGCGTGGTGGCACATGCTTGTAATCCCAGCTATTCAGGAGGCTGAGGCAGGAGAATCACTTGAATTCCGGAAGCAGAGGTTGCAGTGAGCCGAGATCTTGCCACTGTACTCCAGCCTGGGCAACCAAGAGAGACTCCATCTCAAAACAAGAAAAACAAACAAAAAAACCCCAAATATTTCTGAGCACTTCCTTGGTCCCTCCACTGTTATTATCCTTGTTTTACAGGTAAGGAAACTGAGGCTCAAACAGACCATTTGACTCCCCCAAGCAAGGCTGGATCTAGCTCTTACAGTTGCTTTGTGTGAATTTGAAGGCACGCCTCTGGGAAGATGCAGCCCCCGACCAGGGCACACAGCTTAGCAAGTGGGGAGTCCCTGGCCAGACACCCCTAGCTACGTTCCTGACCAATGGCTGGTAGACGGTACCACCTGGCCCTTGGCGTCCTAACCACGCACTCTCTCTCCCAGGCCATACATACTCCCTCTACCAGCAAAGGTCTCACAGGGTGAGGTCACCTTCATGGGGTGTTTGATAAACTCTATGAACTAAAATAGATGTTTCTCGTCTTAAAAGGAGGCCGGAAAAGCTCTTAGGAAACGGTGAGTGAGCCAAGAGCCCAGGAGAACTGTGAGCTGGAGCCAATGGCCTGATCAAACTCAGTGGATGGAACGGGTAGGAGGCTGGTCCTGCACTGTGCGGGGGGAGGGCTGGGCGGGCAGCACTCAAGGTGGAAGCCACTCCTCCAGTCGGCCACGTGAGTCCTGATTTCTAGTACTTGAAATGTTCTGCGGAAAAGGATAACCATTGTTCTAGGTACTGGCGTACACTGCTAAGGGTAGATTTTAAATTTTCCAGCAAGAGCCGTTGAGAAGTGAAAGAGTCTGCCTTACATGTAGTGAGGTTGCCGTCATGGGAGGTATTTAAGCAAGGGCTGGCTAGCCACCTGTTCAGGCCAAGTTAGTCTGGATTGCATAATGGCTAGGGGACTTTCCAGGGATAAAACTCAGGATTCTGATTTGTTTGACAAACCCATTAGGTTACTGCATTAAGCCACTATATTAACATCCTGTAACATGCAAAGGAAATCACCGTATTCAGTTCTTAAGTGCGTCCAGGAGCCCAGAGGGCCAGCCAGACCCTGAAGAAGGAAGTGAAGGATGGAGTGAGGCAGTTCTGCAGCTCAGGAAAGAAGCCAGTGCTCCCAGGAGTTGTCACCCCACTCCAGCTGGTTTGCATGGGAGCCGCAGGCAATTCCTTGGCCCTGGCCAAGCTTCCAGCCACTCTGGCCACCCCATGGCTCCAGGCAGTGAGCACAGAGTCTGCGGCAGAAGTGGAAGGGCAGCCAGCCGGTCTGTGGCTGGAGAGTACCAGCTCGTCTGCACTGGTCGTTACAATAGGGTCATGCTTCCGCACCAGCGGGCAGAGCTGCCGCTGCCCAGCCTCCAAGATTCTGCAACTAGAGGAGGCCTGGGACCAGGGGTCTCTCTGATACTGGCCTGACAATCAGCAGGCTCATCACTGTAAGCAAAAACCCCTCGAGGGGGCTGAACACCTGTACAGATGTACACCGGTGTGTGCGGATGGACGGCCTTCTTTCTGGCCACCCAGTCTCCCCTGGCCTGGGCCGATGTGGAGGACACAGGTGAATGTGGCAGGGCCCAGTGTGCATCCAGGCCTAGGTGGGGACTCTGGCCGCTCTGTTTAGGAACCACCATGGGGACCTTGGGTGCATCGTGCCCCCATCAGCACACGTGAACAGTAGCATCACAAGTGCAGGACTGGCATGAGGGTGCTCAGCTGCTGGGTTCCAATCCTGGTGGTGCAGCCTCGGCCATATCACTTAACTTCAGCGTGCCTCAGTTTCCCCAGCTGTAATGTGGAGTGGCACTTCTCTCATAGGGTTGCCGTGAACCTTAAATGAGATAGTTCCTGTGATGAGCTCAGGAGCGCCAAGCACAGAGCTCAATAAAAGTTAATTATTATTATTTGGCACGGGACCTGTTCGCTATTAGATGCTCAATTAACTTTCCTCTCCTACCCAGCCCCGGGGACTCACGAGCCCGGGAGGGAGCCAGGCCTGTATGGTGAGCACCTCATTAGTCACAGCCCTGAGTGGAGACTCCAAACCTCTGAGTGGAGACTCTTCCCTCCCTCCAGGGCAGCAACGTTTCTGTCTCCGAGTCCCCACAGACCTGGCAGAGCCCCAGCCCCAACAAGTCAACGCCTCCTTCCTTCCTCCCAGCTCTTCTGTTGTGTCTGTGACAAACACACAGAGACGCCAGGGAGCACCTCCCCACCTTGGCTCCCTTCTCCTGCGGGTGCCTCCCGGTCCCTCCTCCCCTGCCCGAGGTCTGAAGGTGGGAATCTCCAACGCCCCTCTTTTACCAGGTAGAAGATGCTGCAGGGCGAGGGCTGAGTTGCACAGGACAGGCCTGGCCCCCATCCACTTTCCTGCTCACCCTCCCACTTCTGTGCGGTCCCCTGGTCTTCCAGGACCGGAGGCTGTAGGTTGGGCATGGCCAGCAAGGGCTGCATCCGGGCCAGTGGGGAGGTGGGACTTGAGGCCCTCGGGACTTCAGGCTGTCTCCGACTCTCTCGCTGGAGTCTGGGTGGGGAATTGGAAGTTAGGACAGGCACAGGCTATATTTTTGCCCCACTTGAAGGGTTGCCTGGGAGGGTTGGCGGTGGGGCTTGCCCCCCAACAAAACAGCTGAGACCCTGCTGTCGAAGGAACAGCTGCTGGCGGCTGGTACCTACCAGGCAGGGAGCCCCAGCTGTAACATTAGGGGCTTTGACACCCCCAGGAGGTGGTGGGAAGAAGACTGGGACCCTCCATGGGCACAGCTGGCCTACAAGCTGTAGACAAGAGCCTCCACAAGACCCCAGGCCTGCCCTCCACCCCGATGGCCCCGGGGCTCCTCCTGGCTCTGCAGGAAGAGGACTGGGCAGACCTAGGACAGGGGCAGGGCCTCTGATTCTGGCTTCTGTGTCTTCTTGCCACAGGGAAGGATTTGGCTCCTCTAGTCACAGGTGAGTTCCCTCGGCTCCCCCCAGTGCACCTGCCCTGATCCGCCTCCTCCCACCCCCACCACGTGGTGGAAGTGGACACCTGTGCTGGACTCCTCAGGCACCTGCCCCGGCAGCCAGCCTCCTTCCCTCCACTGGGCCTGTGGACACGATCATGCAGAAGCTTCTCCCCAGCTCTGACCCCTCCTCCACCAGCCTTTCCTCCCCTTCCTGCTACCCAGCCTTCTCCCTCAGTGGCAGTGGCACCAAGCCATCCAGCGGACCTTGCTCAGATCTCGCCCCACTCTGCCTAACTCACTCAGCAGCCCATGTCAGCCCCTTGCCTCCACTGCCCCCTTAATTATTGATGTCCCCAGAGATAAACCCAGGCACTCTCAGGGTATCAAATGCCACCTGGACACAGTGACACCAAGTATGGCTCTTTCCAGACCTCTCCATACCCTGCCCAAGCTCTTGACCCGTGAATCCATGTATGGTCATTCAGCGAATGCCCCACATCTCACCTGCAGCTACACTGGGAGGGGTCCGCAGGCACCGCCTTTTCAAGCCCCCTTTAGGGACTTGTGCTTGCACTCCAGGACCTTCAGGCCACCCCGCCGCCACGCCCCCCTCCACCCCCAACACCTGACGGGCCTCTGAGTCCTGTCGTCCCACCAATCTCTCCCGGATTCGGCCTCCTTTCTCTCTGCCCTAGTTCAGGCTTCTCCATTTCATGCCTGTCCTCGGTTCAGCCCCTCGCAGCCTACAGAAGAATCTTGAATGTGCAGAACCACCTTTCAAGCCTGGCTTCTGTGTCTTCTTGCCACAGGCAAGGATTTTGCTCCTCCAGCCACAGTCCGTGGCGTAAGGTCCAGTTCCTCGGCAGGCCTCAGCTCCAGCAGCCTGGCCCGGCCTCCATGGCATCTCTCCCCCTCCTCCTTTAAGCCCTGAATGTCTGCCTCTCAACACCACCTCTGGGCACAGGCTGCACTCTCTGCCTGGGATGCCGTTTCTGCCTGGCTGGCCTGCCTGGAGAGCTCCTCTTTGCTCCTGAAATCCCCTCCTCCTACAGCTCTGCAAGACCAGTGGGTCACTGTCTCCTATGCTCCCGCTGTCCCCAAGCTTCTCTCCACCGAGACACATGTCTTAGCACTAGAGTCTCTTCCCTCACTGTTCCAGGGCCCTTTGAGGTGGCAGCGTGTCTGCCCCTGCTCCATGTCCCCCAGCCCTGAGCATGACCCAGCACACAGGTCAACTGTGATTGATAGCCTAGAGCCTCAACTGCAGAGAGAATTGGGGGGTCCAGAGAAGGAACCAGGGGTCAGGCAGCAGGAAGAATTCCACCCCTCACAATTAGGAGCCTGAGAACTTGGGCAAACCTGCCCAGGACAGCTGTTAGCATTCAGATTAATTAGTGAACTCTGTCAAGCACTTTGAACATGAAACGTGCTACATAAACGCTAAGTATTATTATTAAAAAGTAAGAAGTTCTCTAATATGCCAGACTGGAGAGCCCCAGACTAGTCTAAATAAAATGAAAGAATACAGAAAATGAAGCAATTAAAAGGTGTTATTTCAGGAGTTGCAAAAAGATGAAAGTACCAAACGGCTGCATTTTGTGCTGGCTTTTGTGAGCATCTCCCCTGCCTGTCCTCTGCCTCAGCTGCCTCTGTCTGAGGTCTGGTTCCCATGGTGGCAGGGGGACTATGAGGTGGCCTGTTAGGGCCAGGGCTCTGGGGGTCTGGGAAGAGCCAGGGAACCAAGGGACAGAGAACGTGCGATTGGAAGTGGCTGGTCTAGAGAGACTGCTGGGCTTGGAGGCTGACGGGCTGGTTGGAGTCTCTATACCAGTTGTGTAGCCGCCCCTCAGAGCCTCATTTTCCCCGCATGTAAAACTGAAGGGCAGGTGCAGGTCTACACTTTGCACAACTTGCCAGAGAATTCCAAACAGAGGTAGCGGAAGGCGGTGGAAAGAGGTGGCGTCAGGCCTCCGTCCTTATGAGCTAGGTGACCCCACCTAGGACAGGTACTCCCTCCGAGCCTCAGTTTCTTCATCTGCAAAATGGGGCTACTATCATGCCCCTCACATAATTGCTGTGGCTAAGAGATAACAATGAGCTCCTGAAGCACAGGGAGACTGTTCACTGCAGCCCGCACACGATGGCTGGAGATACGCTTCAAGCGTGAATGCTGACACCATTTCGGATTTCTCTTTTCCCTTTCTAGAGCTCTCTCCTGGAGACAAAGACCAGGGTTCAAACCCCAGGCCTCCCTTACAGGCTCTCCCAACTGCTTGTAAAAATGAGATAAAAACTCCCGCCACAGGGCCGGGCACGGTGGCGCACGCCTGTAATCCCAGCACTTTGGGAGACCAAGGCAGGTATACGAGGCCAGGACTTTGCGATCAGCCTGGGCAACATGATGAAACCCTGTCTCTACCAAAAATACAAAAATTAGCTGGGCATAGTGGTGCACGCCTGTGATCCCAGCTACTCGGGAGGCTG
Source organism: Homo sapiens (assembly GCF_000001405.40). Lineage (NCBI taxonomy): Eukaryota > Metazoa > Chordata > Mammalia > Primates > Hominidae > Homo > Homo sapiens. Next base: position 10,504,236 of record NC_000002.12, read on the forward strand.
AGGCAGGAGAATCGCTTGAACCCAGGGGGCAGAGGCTGCAGAGAGCCGAGATCGTGCCACTGCACTCCAGCATGGATGACAGAGTGAGACTCTGTCTCAAAAAAAAAAAAAAAAAAAGAAGCAAAAACAAAAAACAAAACAACTTCCACCTCAGAGCTCTGCTGCCCAAGGGGTAACAAGAAGCTTCAAGGTGAATGATGTGGTGAAATAAATGTTTGCTTTTCCTCCCTCAGCTGAAAGAGGTCAGGGGCGCCCCGTGCGTGTTTTGTCGAGGCTGAGCTGAGGGTCTGAGACTCCACCTCTTCATGGCCTCTTGCCCCAGAGCCTCCTTGGAGAGAGGAGCTCCCCCAGGCACGTCTTGAGGAACACACCCGGTGGGACCCAGGCATGGGCCAGTCTAAGAGGGGACCAAAGGGAATGAGAAGCCAGCACGAGGCAAAATTCCTCCGCCTCAGACAACAGCACCGAAGAAATGATTTCTCTGAGTCCGGGGAACCTGAGTCTGGGGCTCCACGCTGAGCAGATTTGCCTCAGGACTCTGAGCCTTGGTTTGCTTGTCTGTAAAACGGACGCTTTGGACTAGACGCTGTTTGGGTTCACCCAGACCCTAACCTCATCTGTAGTTTGCCTCAATCTCTAGCTCAGATGGCCAGAGTCCTGGGGTGGCTGGGCCCATGTTTACCTCCCTTTCTGGCCAGTATAGGTTTTCGGAAGTGTTTCCAGAACACGGGGTCCCAGGTTGGTCACTAGAGCCTCTGTTGCTGCAGAAGGTGGCTTTCTCCCAGGAGTGCTCACGGGGCACCCCTGGAGTCTCCAACAGTCAGCTGAGATGGGACTGGGGGTCACACAGGGAAGGGCCGCCAGGACGGGAGCGCTGAGCTCCTCCAGCAGCTGCTCCCTGACAGGCTCCTGGAAACCTGTGCCTCAGCCTGGACTCCTGCCTTGGGCCTTTTCACTAGGGCCCCATGGGGCTGCGGCCTCCTGCCTGGACCCCGCCTGAGAGGTGCTCGGGTTTCTCTTGCCTGTCCTCCCTGGAGGTGGACAATGGGTTGGGCCTGGCCTTCACTCCTCCTTACGGAGGGGGCTCAGGTTGGAGCACACGGGTCGTCACTGTCCCTCCCATTAGCACTTGCTGGGAGGCAGGCCAGCAGGAGTCCTCTTACAGAACAAATGGGGAAACCAAGGTTCAGTGAGGTGGCTGATTGGCCCTTGGACCTCTGAAGTGGACCCTTCCCCTTGGAGAGCACCTGCCCCCAGCCCACTCCAGGTCTGAGGCTCCTGGCCACCCACCCCTGCAGGGTGCCTGTGGCTGTGGGCCTCCTGGGAGGCCAGAGGGGGCCATTTGTGAGCAAAACTTCCAGGCCGGGCCCCTGGGCTCACTAGGACACTGCAGAACAGCTGCCACACACAGCCACGAAGCTATGCAGGAGAGGGCTGTGCACGGTCCCACTGGCCTGGCCTCTCCATCTCAAGCTTTGCCTGTACCTGGGCAAGCCTGTCAAGAGACACACAGGTCACCTTCATGGCCCCCCAGTGGGTCCCCTTTTTAAAAGGAAGAAAAATGGGCAGAATTTCTAAGTAGCAGATTTCACTGGGGGATTTTAAGTGATACTCTGTGAATGAGACTCTTTCACAGAACTTCTGGTTTGAATTATCACATTTAGATCCAAGAGCTCAAGGAAACTGAGGCTGTGTGGCTGCTAGGGATCACCTGCTCTAGTAATTCCAAAACCAGGAATGGGGTAGTCATGAAAATACAGATTCTGAGCCCTGCCACGGGCCCCTAACTGAGAATCTCTGGGGTTCTCTGGGGTTAGGACAAGGAACTTGGCCTTGTAACAGAAGTCCCAGAAGGGCCAGGAGCAGTGGCTCACACTTGTCATCCCAGCACTGTGGGAGATTGAGGTGGGTGGATCACCTGAGGTTAAGCGTTCGAGACCAGCCTGGCCAACATGGTGAAACCCCATCTCTACTTAAAAAAAAAAAACAATCAGCCAGGTGTGGTGGCGCAAGCCTGTAATCCCAGCGCACTGTAATCCCAGTGAATCTCCTGAGGCAGGAGAATTACTTGAACCTGGGAGGCGGAGGTTACAGGGAGCTGAGATCAAGCCACTGCACTCTGGCCTGGGCGACAGAGCGAGACTCCGTCTCAAAAAAAAAAAGTTCCAGAAGGGGGACTGTCAGGTCACTGGTTCCTGAGGACTGCTCATCTAGTCCGAGGCCTGCGCCTTATAGAGCAGCCCATAGCCCGTGCAGAGCGCAGAGCTGATGTCCCATAGCCCGTGCAGAGTGCAGAGCTGATGTCCTGTAGCCTGTGCAGAGCGCAGAGCTGATGTCCAGCGTGGCTTCTGTCACCATCATGCTATGATTTCTGCACCTGCACCCCTCCTGCCACACTCCCCTGCACTCAGGGGATCCATGGCATTGCTGGGGCTGGCCCACAGGCCCGGCTTGACTCCAGAGGTGCCCAACACCATGAAATTGCATAGTCCTTAGACATTTACTGGCGACCTACTGTATGTTTTGGGCCCTGCCCATGGCCAGGGAGTCAGAGGAGGCTTCTCTTACAGAAGTAGCCCAGAAGGGTCTTGCTGAGCAGACAGAACTTTACGGCCGCTGAGTTCTGGTTGTTCTGGGAATAGTGAGGTAGAGCTATGGACAGGGAGAAATGCTTCTAAATGTCCTCTATAGTGAGAGTCTGGTTTGGTTACTGCATGTAGCAATTACTAATATTTGTTGAATACAAGAAAGAATGAACAAAGCTGGAAGGGTAAGTTGGAGGCAGGTCATGGAAGGTTGTGGAACACCAAGCCGAAGAGCTTGAACTTCGTTCCATGCAGACAATGAAGAGCTCTGGGGTATGGGGTGAACCAACCTCATCTGTGCTTTGGGAAGATCACACTGGCGGTTGCAGTGTGGTGCACGACAGTGTGTGCTGAATGGAATGAGTGACACAGGTCCCCCGACCCTGTGGGAACCCTGTGGCTCCCAGGGGCCCAGGAACCAAACTCAAGGTTTTCACCAGCAGGGGCTGAGGCCGGCACCATTGGCTTCAACTTGGTAGAGCACAGGGCTGACACACAGCGGTCTCCAGGACCCAGAGACCGCCTGGGAAAGGGCATCTTTCACCTTCGCTGCACCTGTTCCCAGCTGAAAGCAGCTTGAGGGGCTTGTCCCCAGACTCAGCCCTGCTGGAGCCTCCAGGGGCCCCACTGTCACTGGGCCCCAGAAAACCTGGGCCAAGACTTCCATTTCAAACATCCATCGAGCAAGTGCAGTCAAATAAACGCCCTCACACCAGCCAGTGGGAGCGCAGAGTGGTAAAGTCCTTCTAGAAAGCAATTAGTGTTTACATGCATTCACCCAGGAAACCTGGTTTTCAAGACATCAATCTAATGAAATAATTAGATATAGATTTAGGGATAAAGATGTTCATGTAGGCATTGTTTATGATAATGAGGAACTAGGAAACTATCCAGATGTTTAACAATAGGGCAACGGCTAAGTAAGTTGTATTCTTCAATATGATGCAATGTTAAACACTTACAAAACTGGGTTTTAAGGAGTATTTAATGTTGTGGGAAAAGCTTTAGGATAATTTTTTTTTCTTTTTGAGACAGGGTCTTGTTCTGTCCCCCAGGCTGGAGTGCAGTGGCATGATCTCTGCTCACTGCAACCTCCACCTCCCAGGCTCAAGCGATCCTCCCACCTCAGCCTCCCGAATAGCTGGGACTACAAGCATGTGCCACCACACCCGGCTAATTTTTGTATCTTATTTGTAGAGACAGGGTTTTGCCATGTTGCCCAGGCTGGTCTCAAAGTCCTGAAAGAAAGAGATGGGCTAAATAGACTTGTAACATGTTAAAAAAAAAAAAAACTGTATTAGTAATTTTATAACTTCCCACAAAGAAAAGTCTAGGCCCAGATAGCTTCACTGGTATATTCTGGCAAACATTAATGAAGAAACAAAACCAATACTTCACAAACTCTTTCAGAAAATAGTAGAGAAAGAATCACTTACCAACTCATTCTATGAAGTCAGTATTACCCTGATACCAAAACCAGGTAAGGCTACTACAAGAAAATAAAACTACAGAATATCTCTTATGACTATAGATGCAAAAATCCTCCACAAAATGCTAGCAAACTCAATCCAACAACATGTAAAAGAATTATACATCATGACCAATTGGGATTTATCCCAAGAATGCAAGAAAATCAATTAATGTAATATACCATATAGAGTAAAGAACAAAAACCACATGGTCATCCCAACAGACACAGGAAAATGCATTTGACAAAACTGAATGCCCATTCATTACAAAAACTCCCAACAACTTAGTAATAGAAGGAAACTTCCTCAACTTAAAAAAAAAGGTTTACTGAAAACCTCTAACTAACACCATTTTTCACAGCAAAAGACTGAGTGCTTTCTCCCTAAGATTGGTAACAAGGCAAGGATATTCACTCTCTCCACCTCTATTCAGCATTCTACTGGAAGTTCTGGACTGTACAAACAGGCAAGTAAAAGCAAATGAATAGGATTGGAAAGAAAGAAGCCAAACTGCCTTAATTAGCAGACGACATGATTTTGTATGTAGAAAATCCTAAAGAATACCCACACATGTACACACGCACACATATGCACAAACTACTAGAAGTAGCAAACAGGTTTAGCAAGGTCATGGGTTATAGATCAATATACAAAAATCAGGCTGGGCACGGTGGCTCATGCCTATAATCCCAGCACTTTGGAGGCAGAGGCGAGTGAATTGTTTGAGCTCAGAAGTTTGAGACCAGGCTGGGCAACATAGTGAAACCCTGTCTCTACAAAAAATACAAAAATTAGCCAGGTGTGCTGGCGGGTACCTGTGGTAGCAGCTAGTCAGGAGGCTGAGGTGGGAGGATTGCTTGAGCCTGGGAAAGTGGAGGTTACAGTGAGCCAAGATCATGCCACTGCACTCCATTCTGGGGAATAGAATGAGGCCCTATCTCAAACAAACAAACAAAACCAAAACCCAAAATTAATTAACAAGCCAAAAATAAAATAATAAAGCAATTTAACTCACAATGGCATCAAAAGAATAAAACACTTAGGAATAAATTAAACATAGAAGCATCATACTTGTCCACCAAACACTATAAAACATCCCTGAGAGAAACTAAAGGTTTAAATAAGTGAGGATATATTCCATGTTCATGGATTGGAAGACTCAATATGGTTATGATGGCAGTTCTCCTCAAAGTGATCTGTAGATACATTGCGATCATTATAAAAATCTCAGCAAGCATTTTTGCAGAAATTGACAAGCTAATTCTATAATGTATATGAAAATGCAAAAAACCCAGAAGAGCCAAAACAATTTTGAAAAAGAAGAAAAGAGTAGGAGAATTCACACTTCCTAATTTCAAAATTTATTGTAAATCTATTGTAATAAAGACAGTGTAGTACCGGCATAAAGATATGTATGTGTGTGTGTATATGTATACACATACATAAATATATATATGGAACTGGATTAAGAGTTCAGAAATAAAACCTTACATTTATGGTTAATTGCTTTTGAACAGAAGTACTGAGGCTATTCCATGGAGAAAAAGAATAGCTTTTTAACAAATGATGCTGGAATAATTGTATACCCACATGCCAAAAGAAGCATTCAGATCCTTACCTCACACCTTATAAAGAAATTAACTTATAATAGATCCTAGACCTAAGTGCAAGACCTTAAACTATAAAACTTTTAGGAAAAAACATAGAATACAATCTTTATGACCTTGAGTTAGGCAAAGAGTTCTCAGATACCAAAAGTGCAAGTGGTAAAAGGAAAAAATTGATAAATTGGACTTCATCAAGATGAAAACCTTTTGTGCTTCAAAAGACAACATTAGGAGAATGGAAAGACAAGCCACAGACTAGTAGAAAATTTTTATAAAACATATACCTGATGAAGGACTTCTACCCAGAATATATGAAGAACTCTTACAACTCAATAAGACGACATACAACCCAATTTTAAAAATAGGCAAAATATTTGAATAGGCATTTTACCAAAAATACAAATAAATGGCTAATACACATATGATCAAAACCACTAGTCATCAGGGAAATGCATCTTAAAACCGCAGTGAGATACCACCTCACGCTACCTAGAATGTCCATAATCAAAATCGTACAGCAACCTCGAAAAAAATGGTTTGTCGGTTTCTTAAAAACTCAAGTGTAATTTTCCCATACAACCCAGGAATTCCCCCCTGCCCACCCCCCTGGGAAACTACCCAATGGAAATGAAAAGGTCTGGCAATACAAAAAGTTGTAAACAGATTGTTATAGCAGTATTGTTCATAACAACCAAAACATCCAAATGTTCATCAACCGATGAGTATATAAACAAAATGTGATATATGTAGATGTACCCTAGAATTGTATTCAAGAAGAAAAAGGAAGAAACTGATACATGTGACAACATGGATGAACCTCGACAAACACTATAGTGAGTGAAATATGCCAGACACAGAAGACTTCATATGATATGAAATGTCTGGAAAGGCCAAAGCTCTAGAGACAGTAAGCAGGTCAGTGGCTGCCTAGGGCTTATGGGAACAGAGATGGACTGCAGGTGGGAAGGAGGGATCTTTTTGGGATGATGGAAATGTTCTAAAACTGCATTGTGGTGATGGTTACATAACTGTAAATTTGCCAAAAATCATTAAATTATGCACTTAAAACAAGTGAATTTTTCACTAGATGGAAATTATACTTCATTAACCGTATTAAAACTGTATTCATCCTGCTCTAGAATTGATGGTCTCAGATGATGAATAAGGGTGGATAAATAGGGACACTTAAATTGGGAGCCTTTCTTACAACGTTGATGGTTGTTTGTGTGTGTGTTTGTTTTTTTCCCCAAGTTTCAATCTCCACTGAAATGCCACACCAATGCTTGGATTTATAAGGTGGCCTAGACCAATGTGTGGGTTTTTTCTTTTCTGTTTTAAAACTTCCCTTGAGAAAATAAATGGTAATGGAGAGAACTATTTAACAAGGTCCTGGTTTCTCTTGCAACACAGTAGCTAAACTTGTGTGCCTTTATGTGCATTTGTGTAGGAATCAGCTTGGTAGATGGTATCTTTCCCCATCATGGGCAATATTAGCACCTGCAGAGAAATGACACCTTGATCTCAGTTTCAAGCCCATCTCCCACCAGTCCTAGGCCCTGTTCAGCCAAGCAGGGCTGTTGGTTTATGTGTGCTGCAGCAGCGGGCATAATGAATAATTTACCCAGTGGACAAAAGGTGTATACCAAGTGAATTTAAATAATTGGTGTGGATTGGCTAGCAGCTAGAAGTGAGCTGTTAAAGAGAGATATGGAAGATTGAAAGTTTTGTTTTATTTTAAGCCTATTGATTGTAGATAATGAAAAGCTTCATGTCTGCTCTCCTTTCAAATATTTGCATCTAAAACTGTTTTTTCCACTCTCCTACCTTGCCCCTGTTAAAATAGAAATGGGGATTGATCTACATCCCGCTCCTGAATACACGTAAAATTTGTACAAAAATATCTTCTATAAAAATGATTTGTAATCTGTAGACTTAATACTTGGGAGATGGCTTGAGATGTAAAATCCCATCCTTTGGGTTGTGGGTTTTTTGTTTTCTCCAGATAAATCTGATCTTTAAAGTTCAAAACAAAACACCCCCTATTTATCAAATATGTGTGTTTAAAAAGACTGGAAGAAAACGAGAGAAAATAATAGCTTCTATTGTCTTTGGGTAATAAGATCATGTGTGGTTTCCCCTTTATTTTTATTTATTTTCTCCATTTTTTTCCCCTACATTTTCTGAGTGTTCTACAACAGGCCTGCAGTTCTTGGATAATCAGAAAAACAGCGAGAGAGAGAGAGAGAGAGAGAGAGAGAGAGAGAGAGAGAGAGTGTGTGTGTGTGTGTGTGTGTGTGTGTAGCAGCATGCAGATGAGGCGAAACTTGTTTGCTTGCTTTGGTGGGAGAAGTTGTCATTTTAAAGATGCAGGTGCTTCTCTAACAGGAAAAGCAAAGCACATTCCCTTTATCCGGGCAGAACCCCAGAGCTGGCCTCCATAGCTATGCACCTGGGAACAGGCATCTTGTGTTGATGAAGGCTGTCCCTGGAAATATCCCTTGGAATGCAGAATTCACGATTCACAGCAAGAGTGTGGGTGAGCACACAGTGGGAGAAGCCTCTTGGAGGAAAAGGGATGGAGACCTTGACTCCTTCCCTTTCACATTTTTAAGAAAAAATTTGATTGACAATAATATACATCAGAAAAGTGCACAAATCATAAATGAACTCGGTTAAACTAACACCAAGATCAAGGCACAGAACATTCCAGAAGCTACCTTGTGCCCCCGCCCAGTCACTGACTCTCCCAAGAGTAACTTCTCTTCTGACTTTTTATGCCCACCGTTGATCCCTTTTTACTGTTTTTAAATTTCATATATATATGAAGTATGTTCATATATATATATGAAGTATGTTCATATATATATATGAAGTATGTTCATATATATATATGAAGTATGTTCATATATATATATGAAGTATGTTCATATATATATGAAGTATGTTCATATATATATATGAAGTATGTTCATATATATATGAAGTATGTTCATATATATATGAAGTATGTTCATATATATATATGAAGTATGTTCATATATATATGAAGTATGTTCATATATATATATGAAGTATGTTCATATATATATATGAAGTATGTTCATATATATATGAAGTATGTTCATATATATATATGAAGTATGTTCATATATATATATGAACAAGTGTGTTAATCAAAAGCCTGCAGTATGTTCTTTGCGTCCATTTCTTTTGCTCAATATTATGTTTGTGGGATGTACACATGCTGTCACAAGAAACAGTGGCTTGTCCACTCTCATTACTGTATATGATCTTTTGGTGATTAAACTTCAATTTCTTCCTTTATTCACTGCTGGTAGATCTTTGTATTCACAGGAGTTTTGACTCCTGTGAATATTCCCCCACATTTGTGTGCACACACATCCACCCTTGTTGGGCATGCACCTAGGGACGAAATTGCTGGGCTCGGGGTGCAGCATGGATTTAGCTTCAGTACATACTGCCGAATGGTTGCCCAAAATGATTGTACCACTCTCACCCACCAGCTTCAGGCTATGACAGTTTTGCCTCTCCACACCTGGATGCAGAGGCACTGGCTCTTTTGGACTGAGGCCCCAAGTCTTGTGGTCAATTGCACTTATGCATACTCAATGGCTCATTTGAATATGTTAATATTAAAAAGGAGATGTGGCTGGGGAAGAGGGTCATACCAGTAATGTATATACATAAGTGAATTACTTTTCAGACCATCAGAAAGAATAATGTGTTTTCAGCCAGGTGCAGTGGCTCACGCTTGTAATCCCAGCACTTTGGGAGGCCGAGGTGGGCGATCACTTGAGGTCAGGAGTTCGAGACCAGCCTTGCCAACATGGTGAAAACTGTCTCTATTACTAACAAAAAATTAGCCAGGCATGGTGGTGGGTGCCTATAATCCCAGCTACTCGGGAGGGTAAGGCAGGAGAATCACTGGAACCTGGGAGGCAGATGTTGCAGTGAGCCGAGATCATGCCACTGCACTCCAGCCTGGGCAACAGAGCAAGACTCTGTCTCAAAAAAAAAAAAAAAAAAAAAAAAGAATAGTGTGTTTTCATGCTGCTCAGTTGGAACTTCCTGAGGAAGAGATAACCCTTCCTACCCACCCACCAAGTGAATAAGCTGCTTTGAAAAATATTATTCTGGGTGAGTTTCCACTCCACAGTATAGGCCAGAGTAGCAGATTGCTGAGACACCACCCACAAAGTGCTCCACATCAGTGTTAAATAAAAGGTTGTTTCTGGAACTTCCCACTTGGTCTCAGATGGTCAATTTAAAGCATAATCTGCCAAAGGAGTAACAGGTAGATGTAAGCCTTGCTCTCCACTGAACAAATAGGTCTTCTCTCACTTCAATGCTTCTACTTTACTGCTAGGGGAAACCGATATCCAGTGCTCAGCCACTTCACGCACTGTGGAAGTGCCACTCTATAGATGTGAGGGCCCACCTCTACTTGCTCTTTCCTCTTCCATGTGACAGCCACCACCTGGTGCCCCACCTTTCTCTTGCGCCACCAAGGCAGTCAAAAGGCTGGAGGACGCCTTCTTGCCTGGTGGAAAGAGGGTAGGCCTTCACATGGTTTTGCCTGGGATGAGTCCTGCCTCTGTCACTTCCTACTAACTGTAAGACTCTGGGCAAGTTCTGAATCCCCCTAGCCTTTGTTCTGGCCTCAGGGAAATTAGGATAGTGCCCATCTCCTAGAGTTTACAAGGATGAACCTGTGTAATGAATCTCCAGTCCATGTGTCTTTTGGGAACACAGTAGGCACTCAATAATACTTGCTATTTGTACATTTCAAGTCATCTTCTCTTTTAGGTGCAGGTGCAGAACCCACCTATTCAAACGGTCTAGAGACAGAGTGTGGGGCTGCGGCCCAGCCCTTGTTGAAAATTTACATCACTTGCAAAGCTCCATTGTGAAATACCGAAACATCGATGTGGAAGAAAGGAAGACAAAGCCCAGACTCTGAATCAACTGGTAGGTGTCTGCGTTTCAGCGGCTCCGCAGGAGGGTGGGCCCAGTGACTCACCATAGCGATCCTTTTACTTTTACTAGTGACCAATCTGAGTTTTTTCATTACACGGCAATGATTCACCATTTGCTGTCATGGTTATGTAATTGAGGCTGTTTTTATCTGTTGGGGTGTCTGCATCTGTATTTCTATGTCACCGCTGGGAAGCTTTGGAGAATTTTCTTTTTTAAACAACCTGATACATGCCATAACAAACCATTGTTGAAATACCATCCCTTGAGAATGAAATCACCTGCCTCCTCATTCTCTAGGAAGTGAGTGGCTGAATGGGGACTAATCCCTAGAATTGGAGCCAGGAGATCACAACCTAGGCCTGGCCTTGTCACACAGACTCTCCCAGTGTCTCTTACTTTCTCTGGCCTCAGTTATTCCATCTTAACATGAGGTGAACTGTATCAAACCTAAGTTTTGATATTCAAAAGATGTATAATTTTGAATTTTTCTCAATGAGCCTTTCTGCCAAACAAGATTTTTAGAGTATTTCCTATGAAATCCCAAGCATGTGGCAATTCTAAGGTAGATATGGAGACTAAGTTACAAGGTAGGGTGGGAAAAAACAATGGATTTATGCCAGACTTTTTGAAAAAAATCTCACCTTGGAGGAATGGGTTTTCCATCATTTGTCCATCCCTCCTATGTTATATATAATAAACAGAAGGAGGTTAAAAATGCGCTGGTACCTCCACCATCATTCTGTTTATGGTACCAACAGACCTAGATCAGGCCAGAAGGAGTGGGCCTCACAGAGCCCATTATTGCACTTATACTTGCTTTGCTCATCCCCTGCAAGAGCTCAGAGCTCCATGTTCCAGGATTGGATGAGTAATATCAGCCCCTTGGACACACCATTGGGTCACCCTGCCAGTAAGAGACAGATTTGTGATAGCCACTCAGTTCGAACATTTTTTTCACTTTTATTTTTATTTTTTGTCCTTGGCATTTGTTGAGCTTCTTTAATGTATGGATTGACATCTTTTGGTTCATTCCAAAAAATTATCAGACATTATCTCTTTAAATAATAATTTTGCCCCCATCTCCCTTGCTTCTCCTTCTGGAATACCCCCTAAATGTATTTAGACCTTCTCACTCTATCCTCCTCTTTTTCATGATTTTCATCTTTCTGTTGTTCTGTGCTATCATTTGGATAATTTTTTCTGACCCATCTTCCAGTTCACTAATTCTCTCTTTGCCTATATCTAATTTCCTATTAAATCCACCTATTAAATTTAAAGTTTCAGTTATTATATTTTTCATTTTTATAAGAAAGATCTATTTGATTTTCGAAAAACCTGCCAAATCAGTTTTTTCATAGTTCTCTGTTTCCTGCAAATATCTTTAAGCTTGTATTGTTTTTTCAACATAACAATTGTATAATTTCTTTCCTATTATTTCATTATATGAAATATTTGGGAGTAGTTTAGCTGTTTGTTTTTTCTGCTTATTCATGCTCATGTTGCCTTATTTCCTTGTGTGCTTCCTTATTTTTCACTAAGTGCTGCTTGCTTTCTTTTCTTTTTTCTTTTTTTTGAGATGGAGTCTCACTCTATCACCAGGCTGAAGTGCAGTGGCGCAATCTTGACTCACTGAAACCTCCGCCTCCTGGGTTCAAGCGATTCTCCTGCCTCAGCCTCCCGAGTAGCTGAAACTACGGGCATGCTCCACTACACCCAGCTAATTTTTGTATTTTTAGTAGAGACGGGGGCTTCACCATGTTGGCCAGGATGGTCTCAATCTCTTGACCTCGTGATCCACCCGCCTCGGCCTCCCGAAATGCTAGGATTACAGGCATAAGCCACCATGGCCAGCCTGCTTACTTTCTTGAGATATTACTTGATGATAATTCTTTGAGATCTCGGATGAATGTGACATCTGCCTGAAAGAATTTGCACTTGCATCTGCCATGCACCTAGGGACACTTCCACTCCAAGATCACCTTCATCTGAATTTGTTCCTGGAAAATTTCTGGGCCATTCAGGGGGTGTGAATTTGGGTACCAGTCTGCACAAGGGTCAGTGTTTGGATACAGCTTCACAGAGATGAGCTTTTCTCCCGCTCTCCTCAGTGCCAAGAAACATTTCCTTGTTATTTCTAAAGGGGGGTTTGAGGGAGAGAATGCAAAAATTTACTTCGGGTTCATGCTAATCCTGGGTGTGTAACCCTTTAGAGTTCTAGCATAATGGGCTAAAGATCTTCTGGTTGGTTCTCAGCCTTACATGGATTCTGGGATTGGGATTCTGATTCTCGGCTTGAAATTCTGACAGGTGAATTTTCTTCTAAGCACAGTGATTAATCTATTGGCAGTGCACTAAATCTTGGAAAATTGTGGAAGGAGACAAGTCTCCTTGAAATGAAACATGACATTCTTCTTGCTACATCAGATATGGTTGGTTCTTGCTCAGGTTAAACAACCTGAAGCCATAAAAACTACAAAACCAACTTTCGAGAATTTTAGCGGTTTTAAATGTACAGGATGAATCAGTTAGGAATGCTTTCCACTACAAGTAGTAGCAATGTGACAAATAGAAGCTTATTTTTCTTACATAACAAGAAGTCTAAAGATAGACAGTTGGTGGTATTGGTTCACCTGCTCAGGAATGCCCTAGCGGGCAGGGGAGGGTCAAAGCTCTTTGCATGTTTCTTATCTGGGATTCTAACGCTTCCTCATGCTTATCGCCTCATAGTTACATAATGGCCACCATAATGTTAGGCATTATGTCCATGTTTAAGACAGGAAAAAGAGGAAAGAGCACCAGTCACATCTGTCCCTTTTATAGGGAGGCCAATGGTTCCCCAAAGGCCTCCCAGCAGACCCCTCACAATGTATCTCATTGTCCAAGACTCAGTCACATGCCTGTTGCCGGCTGTGGGAAGGCTTGAGGAACAGGTGGCAAAATGGAATCAGACTGTCACGGTCAGTTCAGACCATTCGCGGTGCTCCCCTTGGACACTGGACACAGTCAGGAGCATGCTGGAAAGGCAGAGGGGAGACTGGCTGTGGAAAGCAACCCAGAGCCATGAGCTTGGAGCTTGCTGTGCCCACTGCCCACTTTCCAGCAAAGCAGCACAAAGTCAACATACAGAAAAAGCCTGCCTTGTTGGGAGCCTCCAGAAAGTGGGCTTCAAAGTGGAAGGACAGGTTTCCTGACAGAACACACACCACACGTGCACACACACACCACACACATATACACCACACACCACACACAGGACACACACATACACCACACACATACTACACACACACCACACACACGACATACACATACACAACACACAACACAGACACACTACACACACACCACACACATATACTACACACACACCACACACACACACCACACACACACGACACACACATACACCACACACACCAGACACACTACACACACACCACACACATATACTACACACACACCACACACGCATACACCACACACACACGACACACACATACACCACACACACCACAGACACACTACACACACACCACACACATATACTACACACACACCACACACACACCACATCACACACACATACACCACACAGACCCACATACATACCACACACATACACACCACACACACCATACACACACAGGCACCACATACACACCACACCACACACACGCCACACACTACACACACAGTACACACACATATACCATACAGATACCAAATACACATACCACATACCACACACCACACATACCACATACCACACACACATACACAATACATATCACACACACACAGACACCACACACACATATACCACATACATACCACACAGACACCACATACACATACTTCACACACACAATGACACACACACACACAGAATGCCTGGGAGAGAAGGCGCCCTTCACAGAAGGTCCCTCTCGGATGTGGATCAGGCCAGGGGAGTCCAGCCGAGGTCAGGGCAGAGAGGGCACGCAGGCCCAGGCCAGGCCTCTGGGTGAGGATGCCCATCAGCTTTTCCTCTTTCAGTGCCAGAACGAGGTGTGGGGAGTGGCACTGGGATCAGGGGATGTCCTCCCTAATTATGATCCCTTCAGAAAGTCATGCTCGCAGTATTTCACTCTCAGCGTGAGCATCAGAGGGCCAGGGTCCAAGAGGGTGCACTTGCCCCACTCTGAAGGTGAGGCTTCGGAGGTCTTGGTGGCCGTCCCACCCTCTGGGTCGGTACCATAACTCGGCCTGTCTTTGGCTGGATCTCTAGCTGGGCCTGCCTCTTAGACCTGAATGTGGAAGCCTGGCCACACACACCAGTGCCCCGCTGCCTCCATGTTCCCACCACGGGCAAAACACTGCTGTTCTTCAGTTCCAGGGGTTGGCGAGTGACAGACTGGGCTTCCCGAGGTGGGTGCCTGACGGGGCGTGGACAGCAGAAATCCATCCCTGCACGGCCTTCTAGGGAGGAAGGAGCAGGCTTTTTCCATGCTGCCCGGAAGGGTTTTCTTTTCTTTTCTCTTATGTGCACTCCCCAGACCTAAGGCCCTCGCACCTGCTATTATTCCTCTGCCTAAGATGTTACCCCCAGAGACAACGTGGTGTCGATCTGTCTACAGAGCCTTCAGATCTCAGGTCCTTACGGTCTCCCGGCCGGGCTCTCGTGTTATCTGCTCCCAGAGCAAGCCGCACTTCTCCTCCCCAGCACTGTGAATTACCTTCCAAATGCTTCTTCACTACCCCGCTTTCCCATCAGATTGGAACCTGCATAAGGCCTGGAACTCCAACTGTTTCATTGACTGCTATATTATCAGTGTCTGGCACATACATAGCAGGCTCTGAACACACATTTGTTGAATGAATAAAGGAATGGAAAACCTAAATCCACAAATGGAAGACTGCATCAGGACACGTGAAACTGCTCATGATACAATGTTAAGATACAGATAGATAGAAAAATAAATATATATTCTAAAGAAGTAAAGGAGAAGGCATACAATTATATATATGATATGATAGAATTTCAGGAAACAAGCCCACAGGAAAATACTGGGAGTAAGATGGAAAGAAATAAAATATTAACCAAAATCAATTTTAATATTTTTGTAACTTTCTGTAATTGCTAAATGCTATGTAATCTTTTTTTTTTTTTTTTGCCTTCAACATGAAAAAGATGTGTGACTCCTTCAATGGACGGAGGCCAGAAGGCAAGAAGACTCTGGATAAGCATGGGGAACACTGGCTCCTGGTCAGAGCCGCCCTGGGCAGAGGGCACATCCAGTTGATGAGGATACCGCAGGGGGGCTGGGAGCCCATGGGGCAGCAGCCGTGAGGGGCACGGACGCCTAGAAAGGTCGATGGCTGCAGTGACCTAGCTGGTCCCCAGGGCACTGAGATTCATCTGAACAGCAGGTCCCAGTCAGTTGCTGACCAGGGGCCCGAATCCTGGGCATCCGCTCTGGGCACACCTCCTTGGCATATGTGGGGCATCTTATTTACCCAAAGCAGGTGTGTTCATTTAGGACCACCTGCATGTTCACAGGAGCACTCCCTGCAGGTGGCCTTTGGTATTTCACCTGGATATCCGTCTGCTTGAGCTGCTGTAACCAAATACCACAGACAGGCTGGGTGGCTTCAGCAACCGAGATCTATTTCTCACCATTCTGGAGGCTGGAAGTCTGAGGTTGAGATGCCGGTGGCTTCTGTTTCTGATGAGGGCCCATTTCCCGGCCTGCAGACGGCCACCTTCTCACTGTGTCCTCACATGACAGAGAGGGACAGCCTGAGTCTCTCTTCCTCTTCTTAGAAGGACACTAGTCCCCTCGTGGGGGCCCCACCCTCATGACTGCCCCTAAACCTAATCACCCCCCAAAGGCCCCATCTCCAAACATCATCACACTGGGGATCAGGGCTTCCACATGAACCCTGGGAGGCAGAGGCGGGCTCTGTGTTTTAGCCAGCCCCTGGGGGGCAGAAGAGGAGACCCTGACAGTGTGGACTCCCTGGGGTGGGAAGGAGTGGGCTGAGGACGGTGAATGTAGACGGACTTCTGGGAAGTCTCTAAGAGAAAAGAAAGTGAGAGATTGATGGGGGTGGGCGCCGTGGGATCAGGGGAAGGGTTTTGGGGTTTTGGTCTCATATTTGTTTTGAGGCAGGGATGTGCGAGCTAGGCCTGGGGAGACAGTGAGCAGGAGAGATGGAGCCCAGTCCAGGCTGGGGCAAGGGGAGGGTAGGGCTGAGGCCAGGAGGGGAGGCTGGAGGGAGGGAGGGAGGGAGATCTGACCGGGAGCCTCCATATCCTCCGAGAAGTGGAGGGTGTTGTGGACCGACTGCGGCTCCTGAAATGCCTGGGTTCAGCCCTAACCCCAGTGTGACTGTATAGGTAATTAAGGGTAAGTAAGGTCGTAAGCGTAAGGCCCTGATCTGATGGGGACCTCAGCCTTATCAGAGGGGCAAGGGGACTGTCCCTCCACCTCTGCCAGCCAAGAAGAGAGGCCTTGCAGAATGGACCCTAGGGGCCTCCTGACCTCAGACTTCCAGCTGAACCATGAGAACAAGCAGGAGTGCCTGCTGCTGAAGCCGTCCAGCCTGTGACGTTTCGTCACCATGAAAGCCAGGTGGGAAGAGGAGCTGCGGAGGGGCCGGGTGCTCCCTGAGGGGCGGGGTCAGGCTCCCAAGCTTCTCCGAGGACCCAGACCCAGGCGCTGGACAGCACCTCCCAGAAGCGAGCTCAGGCCCCTGCTGCCGTGATGGGAAAGACATAGGGTGGGCCTGATGTGGGGTGGGTTTTGTGGACCCAGGGGGCAGAAAACGGGGTGCAGGGGGACAGGGGAGGCCGGAGGAACCCTGGGGTCAGGCTGGAGAGATAAAGAAGGCCCCACTGTTGGGGGCTGGGCCCCTCTGAGAGGGGATGTCAGGAGTTGTGGGGCTTGAGGGTAGGTCAGAGAAACCTGAGGGGCAGCTGTCTGGGCATGACTGAGGGTTGTGGTCTGTCCCCTGGGGATGAGGGGGTCACCAGTGGGCATTGAAGATTCGCAAGGCTGTGACTGGGTGTGGGGGAGGGGCGGCTCTGAGCAAGCGGCCATGGGAGTGGAGTGGGGGGTGGGGAGCAGTCAGGGGGCGGCCAGCGGAGCTGGTAGAGGGGGTTTTAGTCAAAGGGGGACCCCCTTGAAGACACATCCGGCCTCCCACGAAGCCTGGGGCCCCTCCCCATTCCAGCAGTTGCCTTCTAAGTCTCAGCCTCATGATCCCACACAGGCCTGCAGCCCCAGCCCTACACCCTGCCGAGTGTCCTTTCCCTCAAGGCCCTATCTGGGGTGCCAGTTACCTCCGCCTACCTCTCCCGCTCTCCTCCAACTGACAGGTCCAGCCTCAGGGCGTCCTTCTGTCCACCTGGAGCCCTCATCCCCAGACACCACATGGAGACTCTCTACTGCCACCAGCTTCTCCTGGCTGGTCCCTTCCAGGCAGTGGGGCCCCGACCCTGCTCAGCTCCCCCACCCTGCTCAGCTCCCCCACCCTGCTCAGCTCCCCCACCCTGCTCAGCTCCCCCACCCTGCTCAGCTCCCCCACTCTGCTCAGCCCTCCCACCCTGCTCAGCTCCCCCAGCCTGCTCAGCCTCCTCAGCCCTCCAGCCTCCTCAGTCCCCGCCAGCCTCCTCAGCACCCCCAGTCTCCTCAGCTCCCACAGCCTCCTCAGCACCCCCAGCCCACTCAGCACCCCCAGTCTCCTCAGCTCCCACAGCCTCCTCAGCCCTCCAGCCTCCTCAGCACCCCAAGCCTCCTCAGCCCCCCAGCCTCCTCAGCACCCTTCAGCCTGCTCAGCCTCCTTAGTCCCTGCCAGCCTCCTCAGCCCCCCAGCCTCCTCAGCCCCCCAGCCTCTTCAGCACCCCCAGTCTGCTCAGCCCCATCTCACTCCTGGCACCATCTGCTCACTTGATGTTTTCACTGTGGGGCTGCCCCCGTTGGAGTGAACTCGCCACCACCCACCACCAGGGCCTTTCTCTGTCTGCATCCCGGATGTCTCATGGGTGCCTATGGGGCTCGCCATCACCTGCTGAGTGAAGGCGGTGTGGATGGAAGATGAGCGAGCCAGCATGGACAGCCGGTGGTCTGTGGGGACTGAGGAATAAGAAGGTGACAGTGGGCAGGCTCTGTCAGGGAGGAAGGACCAGAGAGCCACAGAGGCTGGCAGGGGCAGCAGAGGGCAGTGGGCTGGGGTCGGGGATCCATGTGCAGGGACCGATGGGAGGGCTGGGGCAGGCGCACCCAGGAGACTCTGACTTGCCCTCCGAGTGGAGGGCAGCAGCTACAAGGGGAGCAGAAGGAGGGCCCCACGCCCTGGGCAGCCTGGGCAGAGGAGCAGAGGCAGCCGCAGGTGCTGGCCTCGGGGCGAGGGCAGAGGCACAGTGGAAGGGTCAGATCCTGCAAGGATGTCTGTGAGGGCCACCTGGCAGGCCCTTGTGCTTCCCATGCTGGTGAGTCCTCGTGCCAAGTGCAGGCAATGCCCCAGAGGTGGCAGCTCATCATGGGCCTTGTGGCAGCCCCGTGGCCATCCGGCCCAGGGGGCAGGATGCAAAATCCTGCCGCCAGGAGTTGGACTGGCATGGGCTGGAGCCCGGCTGGCTGTGTGATCCTCAACTGCACGCCTGGGTGACCTCACTTGTTTCTGCTGTGAGGACTAAGCTCAAACGCAATGACTTTGAATAAGTGAAGGTGCTCCCTGACGGTTCTGGGTGAGCTGGTGGTGGGGGTTCCCTCTGGAGGCACAGGTGGGACCGGCTCCGTGCCTGTGCTGGGCACACAGTGGGCAGGGCGCACCTCCCCGCTGAGGCCACATCGCTTCTTCCTCCCTTCCTTGGTGACATCACCAACTCCTCTCTTCCATCACAGCTCCCTCTGCCCTCCTTTATAAGGACAGCTGTGATTCCACTCAGGGTCCATCCATATAATCCCAGGTCATCTTCCAATCTCAGGACCCTCAACTGTGTCACCTCTGCAGATCCCTCGGCTGCCGGCCTCTCGGCTCCTGAGACCGTGGCCCAACATGGCACATGGGGACTCAGGGAAAGGGCCTTTCAGGAGCTCTCTAGGGTGGTGTGGGGGGCCAGACGGAGGTGGGGGGACTGAGGGGCTGCTCCCCAGGAAGTCGTCCCCAACTGAGCCCTGTTGGGGAGCCTGTGGCCGAGGTAAATTTGTCCTGAGCCCCAGGCAGCCTGGTCTCCAGCCACGTGGTCAAGCCAGGGCCTGGGGTTCTGGAAACTCCAATGGGACCCTTTGGGCTGTGGCAGGAGGGTTGTCTCAGGGAAACAGGGCGATGGGGCTGGAGGCAAAATCCATTTTTGTAGGGCTTTAAGTGGCAAATTGAGGAGTTGAAACTGAGGGGTTTGGAAACCAATGGGGATTTTTAAATGAAGACATTTTAGGAGGGTACATCAGGCAGGGGGCCTCAGAAGGGACTGGAAGGGGAATGCCAGAGGCAGGGAGACCTTAAGGGCTGCTGCGATGTAGGCGAGAGTTGCCAAGGGCTGAGGGCAGCCATGGTGGAGGAGCAGCAGCTGGAGGGTGTGGCGGCCTGGCAGGAGACACAGTGATGGGGGGCCTGGGTGGGGGGGCATGTGCAAGGTGTGAGTGCAGGCCCAGCAGAGGCCTGGCAGGAGACACAGACGGGGTGGCTCCGGGTGGGGTGCAAGGTGTGAGTGCAGGTGCAGCACTCACTTTGCCTCTGGACCTCAGATGCCGGGACCTTGGTCTGTTCAATAATGGGGCAGGACCGGGTGATCACCAAGGTCCCTGAAAGTTCGGAGTTGTTGCTTTTGCCCCTGTATTAGCCCATTCTTGCATTGCTACAAAGTAATACCTGAGACTGGGTAATTTATAAAGAAAACAGGTTTATTTGGATCCCAGTTCTGCAGGCTGAACAGAAAGTGTGGCGCCGACATCTGCTTCTGGTGAGGCTTCAGGAAGTTTCCAATCATGGTGGAAGGGGAGCCAGAGAAAGAGAGGGCAGAAGCACCACACTCTTAAACAACCATATTTCCCGTGGACTCCCAGAGTGAGAACACACTCACGTGGGAAGGGAAGCCATTCATGAGGGATCCACCTGCATGATTCAGCACCTCCCACCAGGCCCCGCTTCCAACATTGGGATCACATTTCAACATGAGATCTGGAGGGGACACACATCCAAACCACATCAGCCCCATTTGCTGAGAAGCGACCACGTGCCAGGCCCAGTGCAGCCTCCTCGTGTGCACGCCTCGTTTAGATGGGACCACAGCCCTGCCAGGTGAACAGTGTTACCCGATTTACAGATGAGCAGACCGAGGACCAGAGAAGCCCCGGCAGCTGCTCCAGCTGGTGATGGAGTGTTTGGGGCCGAGATTCACACTCCGTGCAGGACACCACGGTCTACTTGTGCTCGTGTCTCTGAATGTGAGAGAGGGAGAGACATCCCAGGGCAGCGGGACCAGGGCAAGAGGGAGCAGAGGGAGTTCCAGCTTCCCTGGCACCAGCGTTTCCCAGCCGCCCTGCATCTTGGCTTCACGGAAGGAGCCCTTCTGCGAGGCCCACCTCTTCTCCCTCCCTGCAAATGCCGTGGGTCAAGGCCAGCTCGGTCTTGTTTCAAGAAGTAAAGCAATAATGCTCCTCCGAAGCTGACTGGGGGGAGCAGCAGCAGTGCAGCAGGTGGAGCTGCGAAAGGGGAGCTCTCGGGGTCCTAGACAAGCACCCCGAGTCTGGGGTCTCCAGGTGAGCCCCTGCAAGGCCAGCCTTGGACTAGTGGCACGTGGGGCGAGTTTTATTCTTCCTTCACAAGCGGTCACCAGGGCTGGCAAAATGTTGCACCACAAGGCTGCTGGCCAGCTAGGTGTCCTCCACTCACCAGACTCTCGGAATTTGCGAGGTCCTCCGTTGCTAATAACAATAGGCCTGATTTGTTGAGAGCCCGCCTGTGCCAGCCTGCGCCTCACACAATTATTATCTGCGTTTTGCGCCAGTGAAAGCTGTGGCTGTGAGAAGTCAGAGTCGCATGGAGAATACGTGGAGCTGTGGGATTTGAACCTTGGACAGTGCCAGGGCAGTGCCCTGGCCCTCTGCCCTGCAGGAGCCCCTCGGCTGCCAGTAGCCTGAGATGCCTGCTGCCGGGCACCATGGCCTGCCACTGACAGTTCCGGATGGAGAACTGACTTGAGTTTGTGTCTCTACAGATCCAGAGACGCGACCTGTCCAAGCTTTCCACTGGAGAGAGGAACGCTGAGGCTGGGTCCGTGCTGGGGCTGGGTCCGTGCTGAGGCTCACAGTCAAACGGTACCACCTGCATCGGTGCTTTCCACACCTGATCTCTCTTGAGCCTCATGACAACTATTATCCACTTGAAGAGGGGGAAACTGAGGCTTAGAAAGCTCAAGCACCCTGCCAAAAGCCATGGGGGGAGCGAGAACTCCCATACAGGACTTCCGGCTCCCCGTCCCGCCTCCTCCCACCATGCCCCAGAACTAGCACCCCCTGAGCACTTGCTTGAGCCACGGTGAGATCCAGAACCCGGCCGGAGCCAGGCTTCGGCCAAGCCGCGGCCACGCTGCCATCTGACAAGCCCGGGGCCTGTCCCAACAAGACTGAGGCCCGTGTGGAGACAACTGCACAGTCGTGACCGGTTGTCCTGACAGACCTGCTAGCACCTCCCGAGGCTGGGAGGGCGCTAAGGGGAGCTGGCCTGCCTGCCCGCCTGCTGCGGGCGGCACCTCCGGCGCCTGAGCTCCCAGTTTGGCCGCTAAAGCTAAATTTTAGCTCCAAGTAAAAATGTGTCTGAGTATAAAGCTTTGAAGATACGGTTTCTTAATGAAAACGCTGAGTGAAGCCAATTAGACTGGCATGGGCAGTAATCACTATAATAAGGGTAATTGAGTTGGATTTATTATAGCTGACGATGGCTCTTTTCCCCTTAAGTCGAGAAAGAAAATAATTTACTGATATTAAAACATGATTGAAGTTTTCCTTCAAACCCTTGGGAAATGGCTCGGTTTCTGGGACTTCATCTCAAACGTGAGGCTGGTGAATAACAAGACAATGGCCACCTTTTTTTTTTTTTTTTTTTTTGAGACGGAGTCTTGCTCTGTCGCCCAGGCTGGAGTGCAGTGGCACAATCTCAGCTCACTGCAACCTCCGCTTCCCAGGTTCAACCAATTCTCCTGCCTCAGCCTCCCGAGTAGCTGGGATTACAGGCATGCGCCACCATGCCCAGCTAATTTTGTACTTTTAGTAGAGATGGGGTTTCACCATATTGGTCAGGCTGGTCTCAAACTCCTGACTTCAGGTGATCTGCCTGCCTCAGCCTCCCAAAGTGCTGGGATTACAGGCGTGAGCCACTACACCTGGCCTATGGCCACCTTTGGTGACTTGATTTTCTCAGGTGGGAGCTCTTCCTTCAGAAGCAAAATTGAATGAACCCGGGAGAACTGGGGAGGAGGCAGCAAGGCCCACGGGGCCAGCGGGACCTGGGGAGTCAGGCACTGTCATTTACTTGTGGGACTTGGATACGGTCCTCAGCCTCTCTGAGCCTAGGTTTCCTCATGTGTAGAATGGGGATCATAATACTGACACTGTAGGGTTGTTGGGGAAATAAAATGAGGCTAAAATACATGAAATTTGATTAAAGAAATTATATGACATGCCTGGCAAGAGGTAGACATGCAATAAATATGAATAACCTTTCCTAATAGCAGGAAGCTATCTGTGGAGAGAGCCCAGGGCTCTGAGAGGCCTGCTGTAGCATATTTTTAAGCAAGATAAAAATGTATTTCTCATTTCAGTAAAAGTCTACCGGTAAACAGTCCGGGGCTGGTGGTGTGGTAAATCTGCGGGGACGCAGGCCCCTTCTCTCCTGCTGCTTCACCATCCTCAGCAGGAAGCTTTCACCTCATGGCCCAATGTGGCTGCCATGCTTCAGCCACTGTGTCCTATTTCCAGCTAGCAGAAGGGAGGAAGGGTTCTCTTTAAAGCACACTTCCTGGGAGTTACATGTAACACACTGGGTTACAGACCTTTGGATAGAATTTGTCGCATGGTCCCACCCAGCAACAAGGAATTCTGAGGAACGTGGTCTTTATTCCAGCAGCCGTGTGTCCAGATAAAATTGATGTCCTATCGCTAAGGACGAAGGGAAGGACTATTGGGGGAAATCAGGCCACCTCTGCCCCACTGTCCCATTTGACAGGTTGCCAGTGGGCTAAAGGGATAATGCACATAAAACTCCTTTTCTTCTTTTTTTGAGGCAGAGTCTTGCTCTGTCGCCCAGGCTGGAGTGCAGTGACACGATCTCAGCTCACTGCAACCTCCGCCTCCAGGTTCAAGCAATTCTCCTGCTTCACCCTCCTGAGTAGCTGGGACAACAGGTGCATGCCACCAAGCCCGGCTAATTTTTTGTATTTTTAGTAGAAACGGGGTTTAACCGTGTTAGTTGGGATGGTCTCAATCTCTTGACCTCGTGATCCACCCGCCTCAGCCTCCCAAAGCGCTGGGTTACAGACGTGAGCCACTGTGCCCGGCCACAAAAAACTCTTTTTTTTTTTTTTTTTGAGATGGAGTCTTGCTCTGTCGCCCAGGCTGGTGTGCAGAGTGCAGCGGCACGATCTTGGCTCACTGCAAGCTGCAAGCTCCGTCTCCTGGGTTCACACCATTCTCCTGCCTCAGCCTCCCGAGTAGCTGGGACTACAGGCACCCACCACCACGCCCGGATAATTTTTGTATTTTTAGTAGAGACGGGGTTTCACCGTGTTAGCCAGGATGGTCATGATCTCCTGACCTCGTGATCTGCCTGCCTCGGCCTCCCAAAGTGCTGGGATTACAGGCGTGAGCCACCGTGCCCGGCTGCCACAAAAAACTCTTAACAGAGAGGCTGCACTAAGGGCTTGGCCAGCTGACCCCTTCACTGTTCTGGTAAACAGTCCTGTGTCCTGGAAGAGTCTCTTCCCCATGAGGCACGGGTGCTTCCAAATACCTTGTGTCTGACCTGCTTGGCCAGCTCAGTGGTGAAAGGTGCGGGATGCAGGGAGGAAGTGGGGTTTTGATTTTGATATGTATTTGGGAGTGGGGATTTACCTTGTGCTCAACACCATGGATAACTTAACCTCCTGAAAAATTTAGGCTTAAAAAAAAGTGGACCAGGCCTGGTGGCTCACACCTGTAATCTCAGCACTTTGGGAGGCTAAGCTGGGAGGATCACTTGAGCCCAGGAGTTCAAGACCAGCCTGGGCAATGTAGTGAGAGACCCCATCTCTACAAAAATAGTTTTTATAAAAATTTTAAAAATTAGCTGGGTGTGGTGGTGCATGCTACCTGGTCCCAGCTACTTGGGAGGCTGAGGAGGGAAGATCACTTGAGCCAGGAAGGTTGAGGCTGCAGAGTGAGCCATGATTGCACCACTGCACTCCAGCCTGGGAGACAGAGCTGGACCCTGTCTCAAAGAAAACAAAAATGAATCAATAATTTTGTTTTTGGATAATGTCTGAATGGGAAAATTCAGAGAACATTATGCTGTTTAAAAAAAAACAAACTCAGGATACAAAACAGTAGGTGGTGTGGCCCCAGTTATGACTACCTTTAAAACTTACTTTTATATGCTGCAAAGAATCCAGAAGATAATCACAAAACATCTACCCAGATGTGTGATTATGAGTGATCTTTGTCTTCTTTATTCAACTTTTTTTGATTTTCCTAGTTTCCCATGAGCATGGATTACTTTCATAATCATAGAAAGCGGGGCAAAGGATATAGATCTGAGTGTTCAGGAAAATAGTATCAAGATGGCCAGGTGAGGCAGGAGAGGGGCCTGCACTTCTTCCTGAGTGGCTTCCAGGATTGGCACAGACCCCCAGGAACTCAACTGCACCTCGAGCCCGCTGGAAAATGAGCACAGCGGCTTCAGGTCATGGGAGGCCCCAGCGGGGGGAACGTGTGAGCTGCCAGGTTCATGGGGAGCCCTGCACTTGGGGCTGAGCTGCCTGTAAGCCAACTGGCAATTTTTTTTTTTTTTGAGACAGAGTCTGCTTTTGTTGCCCAGGCTGGAGTGCAATAGTGTGATCTCGGCTCACTGCAAACTCCACCTCTTGGGTTCAAGCGATTCTCCTGCCTCAGCCTTCCAAAGTAGCTGGAATTACAGGTGCCCACCAACATGCCCGGCTAATTTTTGTATTTTTTAAGTAAAGACGGGGTTTCACCATGTTGGCCTGGCTGGTCTCGAACTCCTGACCTCAGGTGATCTGCCTGCCTCGGCCTCCCAAAGTGCTGGGATTACAGGCGTGAGCCACTGCACCCTGGCATTTTATGTATTTGTTTGAGACAGAGTCTTGCTCTGTCACCCAGGCTGGGGTGCAGTGGTGTGATCTTGGCTCACTGCAATCTCTGCTTCCTGGGCTCAAGTGATTCTCCTGCCTCTTGGGTAGCTGGGATTACAGGTGCATGCCACCGTGCCCAGCTTTTTTTTTGCATTTTAAGTAGAGACGGGGTTTCACCATGTTGACCAGGCTGGTTTCGAACTCCTGACCTCAAGTGACCTGCCTGCCTCAGCCTCCCAAAGTGCTGTGATTACAGGCGTGAGCCACCATGCCCAGCCTCAACTGGCATTTTAAATGGGCTGTTTGGCCCACTGGACGTTGCTGTGAGCAATGTCTCTATTTCTGGAGACCACCACAGCTGCAGCCCTCCTCCTTGAGGCCTTTGCTCTGCCCTCTCCTTTGGGATGGGGTTTCTCATTTATTCTTCCCCCAGGGCCTCTTGGGCAGGGCCTGTAGAGAAGGACGCAGATGGCTTTGCTGGGTGACCTGGAAACTGGGGGAGTGGATGATGCTCAGATGCCAGTCAGGCCAAGAACAAGGAACCAAGGAGGGCCAGGCTCTGGTCCCAGCTCCAGGCCTCAGTCTCCTGACCTGTACAATGGAAGGGTTGGGCTCTGCTTCCAGAGCTCTTCACTGGGACTGCAGGGACTTGGGGTGCCCTGCTACTGACAGGCACCGAGAGGCTGAATGGAGGCTGTGGACACAGAACAGGCTCACCAGCCCGGCTCGCTCAGGGCTGCTCACTCAGCTCCCTTTAATCAGATCTGCTTGCTTGCCCGTTCCCAATCTACTTCTTATCTAAGCGTCTCCAAGCCGCAGGAGCATGCTCCTTCCCAAAGCTGATTCGTGGCCTGAGTCACCTCATGTTCCCTCCCAGATGTGTGACTAGGCCTGGCTCCCCACTGGTGGCCTCAGTGGTGTGTCCCTCAGGGAGGCAGAAAATGGGGTCTCACTGGGGAGTTCTGGGTCTTTGGCTGGAGTTGGGCCGAAGAGGAAGCAGGTTGGTGGGGACAGATCCCAGAGGACCTGGAGTGCAGAGCCACCATGGCTCTGAGAATTATTACTAGAAGAGGCACCTCCCAGGCCAGGTATGGTGGGGCGCACCCATAGTCCCAGCTCTGCTGGAGGCTAAGGTCGGGGCAGGAGGTGGGGGATACTATTTGAGCCCAGGAGCTCAAGAACAGCCTGGGCAACACAGCAAGACCAGATAGAGGGTTTAGATGAAAAGGGTGGGGCCGGCACTCCCAGCAGCCCGCAGAACACCATCCCCTCACTCCCCGCTTGCATCAGCTTGGGAAGATTCTTGCTTGCATGTTTACTATTTTTTCTAATTACAAAAAGAAGGCGGCCTGGTGCGGTGGCTCACGCCTGTAATCCCCGCACTTTGGGAGGCCGAGGCAGGTAGATCACCTGAAGTCAGGAGTTCGAGACCAGGCTGGCCAACATGGCGAAACCCCGTCTCTACTAAAAATACAAAAATTAGCTGGGCGTGGTGGCACTCACCTGTAATCCTAGCTACTCAGGAGGCTGAGGCAGGAGAATTGCTTGAACCCGGAGGAGGAGGTTGCAGTGAGCTGAGATGTCACCATTGCACTCCAGCCTGGGTGACAAGAGTGAAACTCCATCTCAGAAGAAAAAAAAAAAGACAAAAAAAGAATGCTTCAATCACAGGGTTTTTGTTGAGATAATATGATCCCTTCTTGCCAGTTTAAGAAGAGAGATATTTATCACAGGGTACTGGCTGACACATCTGGCTTCTGGTTTGCATGCGATCTAGCCTCCTTGTCCCTTCCCCGTCATCCTTCAGGACTGAGCCCAGGCGGTTCTGCAGCGCAGCTGGGAGCCCATCAGGCAGGTGCTGGCATCAGCTGGTCATACACAGCCGTCCTGAAACCCGGCTCAGATTTCTCCTCCCTGGTCTCCTGGTGTTTTGGGCTGAATTATATCCCCCTGAAAAAGAACCATTTGAAGTCCTAACCCCTAGTACCTCCGAATGCAATTCTCGTTTGGATTAAGCTCATTACAGAAGTAATTTGTTGGGATGAGTTCATACTGGAGTAGGTTGGGCCCCTAATTCCATATGACTGGTGTCCTTAGAAGAAGAGGAGATACAGACATGCAGGGAGACAGAAGCAGGGACGGCAGTGACGCGCCTGTGGCCCAAGGAATGCTGAGGACTGCTGGCCACCACTGGGCACTGAAAGGCAGTGAGGGACTCTCCCTCACAACTTCAGAGGGGGCGTGGCCCTGCTGACACCTTGATTTTGGACTTCAAGCCTCCAGAACTGAGACAATATACATTTCTGTTGTTTAAGACTCCTAGTTTGTGGCACTTTCTGATGACAGCCCTAGGGAATGAAGATACTTGGCCATAGGGACCCTTTGGTAGGACATGAGGGTCAGCTTTGCTGGGCAGCCTGGGAACCTGGGGGTGGGTGGATGGTGCTCACAGGTGCCAGTTAGGCCAAGACCGAGGGGCCGGGGAGGGCGGTGCAGCGAGGGGAGGGGAGTGAGAGCCAGCTTACCTGTGCCTTCAGGACCTTCTCAAGCACAGCCGTGTACATGCCACCTCCCTGATGACTAACTGCGGCCGAGCACACCCAGCCTGTGACTCCCTGGCTCACACAAGGCTCAGTTCGAGATGCATAGCTTGTGATCGTGGTCACTTGGTGTCCCTGTGGTTGATGTTTAGCCTCGGAGATGTTTGTGAAGTGCATAGTTTCTTGCTGATGAGAGTGTGGCTTTGCTCTGTCGCCTGGCACCTGTGCTGTGATGCCTTCACAGGGGCTGGTCTCGGACCCCCCACTGCAGAGCTCCTGGCTCTGCGGGACCATCAGCTCCCAGCTGGTTCTGCTCACCCCTGGGTCCTGCTGCCCGTCTCAGTCACACGCCCACCCTTCCCTTTGAAATCAGAGGGCCCATTTCAATGGCCGTAGATCCTACAGCTGTCCTGGCTTAGGACAGTTACACGCACACTGACTCCAGAATGTTGAAAAACTGTACCATAAAATGGCACTGACTTTGCTATAGTTGCACCATAGTAATAAAATCTGTCCATTCTAAAATTATTCCTTTCTTCCTAAGCCTAATAGCCTCAAATCCATTCTCACATATATTCCCCAAGTTTTTTATTTATTTATTTATTTTATTTTTAGATGGACTCTCATTCTGTTGCCCAGGCTGGAGTGCAGTGGCGCAATCTCGGCTCACTGCAACCTCTGCCTCCCAGGTTAAAGCGATTCTCCTGCCTCAGCCTCGCAAGTAGCTGGGACCACAGGTGTGCACTGCCACACCCTGCTAACTTTTGTATTTCTAGTAGAGACAGGGTTTCACCATGTTGGCCGGGCTGGTCTTGAACTCCTGGCCTCAAGTGATCCACCTCCCTTGGCTTCCCAAAGTGCTGGGATTACAGGTGTGCGCCACCGTGCCTGACATATTCCCCAAGTTTTTGACAAAATACATTGGCAAATATTGCTTTTTGGGAGGCATACTCCTCCTGTCTCCAAAAGTGGGTACTTACCGGCTCCTGCGTCCTGCTGGGTGACAGGTCTAAAGGCAATGGGTGCGCTGTGCACAAGGTCTCCAGCTCACCAGACAGGAAGAAGGGGCTGCTTTCGTTTGCAAAGGCAGCTCTGTGGGCTTTGGGGGTTGGGAATCAGTGAGGTGAACATTCCCGAAGTCCTGGATACAATCCGAAGGCTCCGGCTGGTTGCCAACAATGCCATAGCATTTCAATCAGAGACCTGGAGGGGCTGTGAGTTTGCCCTGTGTTGAAACCAGACTCGGCTCGGGTTGTAAGTTGCATCAGTCCAGAGACTCTGACTACAAGCTCTCTGGCTGGTTCTGTTTCTATGCCTTGAGCCTGCGGTTTTCCTTCTGTAAACCCCCACTGACACTGGGACCTGCTGCCCCACAACCCGCACATGCTTCACCCCATGGCAAGCAGCCAGCCACACCCAGGGCTTCATGGGGCTTCACTCCTGGTGAGCACTGGCCACAGCCCTGTGACTTTCTCCACCACATGCCAAGGAAAGCTCCCATCTTCTAATGCCAGCTGGGCACTGGGCCCTCGCTGCCTGTGAACCCAATAGTAAGGATGGCCCGTCTCAGGTCCTGTCCTCTTGAGGGTTCGATGCCAGCAGTCATTTCTGCTGCAAAAAGCCTGTCTTGCTCAGAGTGACCCTGCTGTAAAGAGCCAGGAGCCAAACTCGATGCCACTAACCAAGAGAAACACCCTTGGGAGACACCGAGGGGATTCTAAAGGAAATCCCTCCTCACCCCACTTAGAATGCAGGGTTGAGACCCCAGTACAGACCTCACAGCTGCCCCATATGACCCAGCATCTGGGTCCCAGGATCCAGGCCCCCAGCACATGGCTGCCACCTCATGCTCTTCTCTTGCGCCTTCTAGGTCCCATTGAGGGCGGAAGCTCACCCCGACATAGGCCGAGGTGGCCTTGGGGTGTAGAGAGCAGGTGGCCTGCCCGACTGGGGATGGGAGTTTGCTTTGTGGAGGAAGGAGAATGGGAGCCAGCCGTTGGGAGCAGGCTGATGTTAGACAGGAGGGAGAGCGAGGACTTCTTGGCAGGGCCTTTCCCACCGCAGGGGGCACCTAGAGGCCCCCACCTGCCACAGGGCGCAGGCCCTCCTCACCCCTCTGTCTGCTGCTTCGGGCTCCACAGCTCCACAGTGCCTCCCGTGTGACTGGGCCAGGGCTTGATCTTCACCTCCTCTGTCATAGATGGTCTGCAGGACAATGATGATTCATTCTTCAACACATGCGTCAGAGCCTGGGACACACGACGCTCAAAGAATGTGACTTCCTTTTTAGGCCCCAGGCCCTCGACCTCCACGACCCACTGCTCTGGGGCTCTGATTCTGCATCTCCCTTTTTCCACGTGGTCCCTGTACTCTGCTCTGGGGGTCTCCAGCCAGGCCCTGCCCTCCTCCCAGCCGCCTGGGAGATTCTTCACTCCCGTTTCTCAGACAGCCCCAAAAGCACCCATTCTGAGTTCAAGCAGGACACCATACAGAAAGAGCTGTCTTTGGAGTTAGGCAGACGTGGGTTCAGGTTCTGGCTCTGTTTCCACTTGCTGGCATTGCCCCTTGGGCAATTAGATCCCTAACCTCTCTGACCTTCCATGGTGTCACCTGTAAAAGAGAGGAGAATGATAGTAATAGGGATTGTTGTGAAAAAGAAATGCAACTGCGCCTGTAAGGTACCAGTCATAATCCTAACAAAAGCCAAGCACCTTGTATGGATTATCTCATTTAATCCTCAAAGCAACTCTGCCCATTGTACAGGTGAAGAAATGAGACTTCAGCAGCTTCTCCTGGTAGAGGCTGGATTCTCACCTGGGCGGTTCGGCCCCAGGACCTCCATTCACAATGACTGCACTGTCATTCCCACATCTAGGTAACACTTCCAATGAGAGAAGTGCTTCCTTTTTCTGTCCTATTGGGCTTTATGTCACTGACGTCGCAGACCCTTCCTGGGTCCCAGTCATGCCCCACCAGGTCCAGGCAGTGCTCGGTGGCAGAAGCCTGGGCAGAGTGCGGAGGGCAGATGGGACCGGCTCCCGCCGCACTTCCAGCGTCTTCCGGCCTCTGTGGCCTGGCTCCAGGCTCTGCCTTGAAGGAGCAGGGCGCTCTTGGTTGCTGGCCTGCACTGGCCCCATGCTGGAATTCACTTGATGTTCTCAATACTCCTGAGAGACACGGAAGGCAGGGACACTATCCCAGCACACATGGGCGAACCCAAGGCTCAGAGAGCTGCAGGGCCCTGCCAAGGTCACACAGCTGGGAAGAACCGAAAGCCCTGCCCGCCCAGGCGTGGTCACTCGGCATCTGCTGGCGTGGGAACCTGAAATGGGTTTCCGCCCAGGCCTTCACACTGGGATCACCCAGGAAGCAGGTTCTCTGACACTAAATCAGGATCTCGGGGGATCCTGTGTATTGGGGCGTTTCAGTGGGTCCTGTGTATTGGGGTGTTTCGGGGGATCCTGTGTATTGGGGTGTTTTGGGGGATCCTGTGTATTGGGGCGTTTCAGTGGGTCCTGTGTATTGGGGTGTTTCGGGGGATCCTGTGTATTGGGGTGTTTTGGGGGATCCTGTGTATTGGGGTGTTTCGGGGGATCCTGTGTATTGGGGTGTTTCGGGGGATCCTGTGTATTGGGGTGTTTCGGGGGGTTCTGTGTATTGGGGTGTTTGGTGGGTCCTGTGTATTGGGGTGCTCGGGCGGGTCCTGTGTATTGGGGTGCTCGGGCGGGTCCTGTGTATTGGGGTGTTTTGAGGGGTCCTGTGTATTGGGGTGTTTCGGCGGGTCCTGTGTATTGGGGTGTTTCGGCGGGTCCTGTGTATTGGGGTGTTTCGGCGGGTCCTGTGTATTGGGGTGTTTGGGCGGGTCCTGTGTATTGGGGTGTTTTGGGGGGTCCTGTGTATTGGGGTGTTTTGGGGGGTCCTGTGTATTGGGGTGTTTGGGTAGATCCTGTGTATTGGGGTGTTTCAGCAGATCCTGTGTATTGGGGTGTTTTTTAGTCTCCCCAGGTGAGTTGAATATGCAGCCAGGATGGGAATGCTGACACCACAGGGAGGAGAAAGGGGGCTGAGTAAGGTTTTCCCCAGAATCCCCATGAACAAGATGATTTCAGAACAAACAGTGCTGGTGGAGGATGCAGGGATGCGTCTGCTGAAACCCGGCCTCGCCTGGGACATTGTCAGCTTGGAAACCGCTGAGTGAAACGAAGCTTACATGTGTGTGGTCAAGGCTGTTGACAAAGACAAAAGAACAAAATATTTACACAGGAAACAACAACCAAAAAAAAAAGAAGAAGAAAGCAAACGTCGTGTCATGGAACTGCTGAGTGCGTTTTTGCTCGAACATCCCCTGGGGAGATTTACTGATTTCTGGAACGCCTCTCCTTTGGGCATCCTGTGACCGCCTTTCAGGAGGAATCTGGATGTACATTTCCTCTGGTCTGTGTGTGTCCTTCACACACACTCAATGAATGTCAAGCCCAGTGGCGGGGAGGGGTCACGGTGTCCCTGTTGTCTGCCCAGACCAGCCTGGCCAATATGGTGAAACCCCATCTCTACTAAAAATACAAAATTAGCCAAGTGTGGTGGTGCGTGCCTGTAATCCCAGCTACTTGGGAGGCTGAGGCAGGAGAATCGCTTGAACCCAGGAGGCAGAGGTTGTAGTGAGCCAAGATGGCGCCACTGCACTCCAGCCTGGGGGAGAGAGTGAGACTCTGTCTCAAAAAAAAAAAAAAAAAAAGGAGGATCTGGCTTCTAGAATGAAACCCCAGAGTACAAAACCAACACCAGTGGCTTAGGGCTACTGAGATTAAGACTGGTGTGGACATCAGAGCAGCTCAGAGATGGAAGGGCTTTGCTCCCCACCATGGTGCACTAGAGGCCGGTGGCGCCTGGCAGACAGATGCAGGGGGAAGTCGCACATAAAACCTGGGTTATGGTACTCGGTACCAGGAACACTCTCCCTGGACCTTAAACCTCAGCGGAAGGATGTGGGCTTTCTGGTGAGTGCTTTGAGAAACCACCATCTGAGCACACAAAGGGCGCTATGATATTCCAAGTTTCCAGAGCCACACAGAGCCACCTACCCGGTGCTGCGTTTCACAGACAGACGCCTGATTGCCCTTTCTGTTTCCCATGACTGTCGTCTTCTGCACGCATCCTTCCCATGTGGGACCTGGCCTGCTCCCAGAGCAGGTGTTTGCCCCACTGAGCGATGCTGCAGAGCCAGGCCTCGAGCCTGCCCGCCAGCCCCGTCGTCGGCTGTTGGGGTGGCATTTTATATTTGGCATCGATATCCCCTG
The DNA here is from genome assembly GCF_000001405.40 of Homo sapiens. NCBI lineage: Eukaryota > Metazoa > Chordata > Mammalia > Primates > Hominidae > Homo > Homo sapiens. The sequence continues at coordinate 10,538,060 of NC_000002.12, forward strand.
GGACTTGGATAGAGAGTCGCCTCCTGTCTGACTATTCTTTGGCTATTAAAAACAGAGCTGGGGACCAGGCGCAGTGGCTCACCCCTGTAATCCCAACACTTTGAGAGGCCAAGGCGGGTGGATTGCCTGAGGTCAGGAGTTCAAGATCAGCCTGGCCAACATGGGGAAAACCTGTCTCTGCTAAAAATACAAAAAAATTAGCCGGGCATGGTGGCGGGCGCCTGTAATCCCAGTTACTAGGGAGGCTGAGGCAGGAGAATCACTTGAACCTGAGAGGCGGAGGTTGCAGTGAGCCGAGATCACAACATTGCACTCCAGCCTGGGCAACAAGAGCGAAACTCCGTCTCAAAACAAAAACAATCAAAAAAGAGCTGAGCCAGGCTGAGTGGCTCACGCCTGTAAGCAGCATGTTTGGAGCATGCAGGAGAGCTGGAGCGTGGGGGAATGTGGTTTTTCAGAATGGAGGGTGGCATCATTTCTTCATTCCTCAGGATGGAGTTGGGGCTGCTGTCCCGGTGTGCCCAGGATTATCCTGGTTTTGGCAAGGGCCTAGCATTCAATCTGGTGGCTTCAGCACCCACCACACCTCCTAGAACCCAGTAAGCTCTTGACGCATGTCTGTGGGATGCATGGAAGAATGAGTCACCCTACCTCAAGAAATGTTGATGACTCTGTTTCCTAAGAGAGTAAGATTGACAAATATTTATCACTCAGATTGGTACTAGTCCCTGCTTGGCAGGTAAGTCAGAAGGTTACTTCTGCACACAAAATACAGGGGAGACTGGGTGCATTGCCTCACACTTGTAGTCCCAACATTTTGGGAGGCCAAGGTGGGAGGATTGCTTGAGCCCAGGAGTTTCAGACCAGCCTGAGCAACATGGCAAGACTCCCATTTCTACAAAAAAAAAAAAAAAAAAAAAATTAATTACCCAGGTGTGGTAGCATGTGCTATAGTCCCAGCTACTTGGGAGGCTGAGGCAGGAGGATCACTGAGCCCAGGAGGCGGAGGCTACAGTGAGCCATGATCTTACCACTACACTCTAGCCTAGGTGACAGAGTGAGACCCTGTTAAAAAAGAAAAAATACAGAGGTGCTCTTGCCCATATTTGTCTCTTCTTAGGATCATGAAACATTTGCCCAGTTAGGTGGATTCATTATGGATATATAGATTATATTATCAGATTTTAATCAAAGTAACTGTTCTAAAATGGAGAAGTGCTTCAAAAAAAAACATAGCAAAAAAGAAAAAAAGTCCTAAAATTGAAAATAATCCTAACATACAAGCCCCAGTGAACAACAGGTGTGGTTTAACAAAAATTCTGATCTTTGTCTCCGGCTCCTGACACAGAACTCCTCAAACACTTGGACTCTCTTGAGTGACTGAACTGTCTTCTTTACGCTAATGAATGATGGGTCTTGGGGAAATGGGGCACTGAGACAGTTTCCGGGTGGGGCTGGACACCAGCAAGACCAAGCCTCGGTTGGAACTTTCAGCACCCCACCCCCCACCTCCAGGAAGGAGAGAGGGGCTGGAGAGTGAGTTGTCACTAATGGCCAGTGACTTCCTCTGTCTTGCCTGCATAGTGAAGCCTCCGCTGAAAACCCCTAAGTGATGGGGTTCGAGGAGATTCCAAGTTAGTGAACGCATCCGCACGCCAACAGGGCAGCACGTCCCAGCTCCACCGGGACGCAGGCTGCCATGACTTGGCCCCTTCTGGCACTCTCCATGTGCCTCTTCACTGGACGGCTTGTTTGTATCCTGTATAAACTGGAATGGCAAGGGGAACACTTCCCTTAGTTCAGAGAGGCGTTCTGGCGAATTAGCGAACCTGAGGGTTGGGGGTGGGGACTCCTGAATTCGAAGTCAGCTGGGCAGAAGTGTAGGTCGGCTGAGGACCCCATTTGTGGCTGGGATCTGAATGAGGCTGTCTTGTGGAACTGAGCCCTTCAACTGTGGAGTCTGATGCTAACTCCAGGTAGATAGTGTCAGAATTGAATTAACTTGTTGAACACCAAGTTGGTGTTAGAGAATTGGAGAACCACACAACAGGTAACCGAGCTGACAAATATCAAGTAAAAGCAATAGAGACCTAATCCAATGTGATGAGAAGTCAGCACCCCTCCCTTTTCTAAACTACCAAGGCTATTGGAAATGTGGATTTATGTATCTATCGTCATTGCTAACAAGAAGCCTCCCTCTAAGTCTACGCTATGCATTGGTATTGGATCACAGCTCAAGATTCCATAAAACTATCTCAATTAGCAAAACATTTACAAAACTCAGCCTTCAGAACCCAAGACAAACCTCAACACTGTTTGTGATGTTTACAGTTCTACTCTTTATGGACTCTTGAGATTTAATGAAAAATGTTTAGAAGCTTCTTTTGAGGTGTTTTTGTTTTGTTTTTGTTTTCGTTTTTTGATGGAGTCTCGCTCTGTCGCGCAGGCTGGAGTGCAGTGGTGCAATCTCCGCTCACTGCAAGCTCTGCCTCCAGGGCTCACGCCATTCTCCAGCCTCAGCCTCCCGAGTAGCTAGGACTACAGGTGCCCGCCACCACGCCCAGCTGATTTTTTGTGTTTTTTTTTTAGTAGAGACGGGGTTTTGCCGCGTTAGCTAGGATGGTCTTGATCTCCTGACCTTGTGATCTGCCCGCCTCAGCCTCCCAAAGTGCTGTGATTACAGGTGTGAGCCACCGTGCCCAGCCTTTAGGTGTTTTTTAAAAAATGTTTATTTGTTTTTTTAAGATAGGGTCTTGCTCTGTCACCCAGGCTGGAGTGCAGTGGCACGATCACAGCTCATTGCAGCCTCGACCTCCAGGGCTCAAGCAATCCTCCCGCCACAGCCTCCCGAGTAGCTGGGACTACAGGTCCTCCCCCTAGCATGCCCAGTTAGCTAATTTTTAATTTTTTGTAGAATGAAGTCTTGCTATGTTGCCCAGGCTGGTCTTGAACTCCTGGGCTCAGGCAATGATCCTACCTTGGCCTCCCAGCGTGCTGGGATTACAGGTATGAGCCACCGTGGCCAGCCCTCTGAGGTGTTTTTTTTGTTTTTGTTTCTGTTTTAATAGAAAAAGTCCAAGAGGCAATACCAGTGGGCAAATGCTTAAATGGATTACAGACTGGAAAGCAAGATGGCAGCAAACCAAGACACATTTTTTTGGTCAACAAATAGTGCTGGAAAATGTGAAGACAACCATTAGAACAAATTATTCAGTGGGAAGTTTGCCACTCAGTTGGATGAAACTACAGATATTGTTACTGTATCTGGGAAAGGTTATGTTTCACAGATGAAGTGCATAAAGAACTCCTTTTTCATGAGCCACCAAAGGAAGGACCTGCCAGAGAAGGCATTTTCTCAACTGTAAATGACTTCTGTAATGAAAACAATGTGTTATCGAAAAACTCTGGGGCCGGGCGCGGTGGCTCACGCCTGTAATCCCAGCACTTTGGGAGGCCGAGGCGGGTGAATCACGAGGTCAGGAGATCGAGACCATCCTGGCTAACACAGTGAAACCCCGTCTCTACTAAAAGTACAAAAAATTAGCCGGGCACGGTGGCGGGTGCCTGTAGTCCCAGCTACTCGGGAGGCTGAGGCAGGAGAATGGCGTGAACCCGGGAGGCGGAGCTTGCCGTGAGCCGAGATTGTGCCACTGCACTCCAGCCTGGGCGACAGAGAGAGACTCCGTCTCAAAAAAAAAAAAAAAAAAAAAAAAAGAAAAAGAAAAACTCTGTAAGCCAGGGGGGCTGCGTTTTACTTGGAATTTAAAAGGAAAAAGGAAGGCAGAATGGGGTTACAAAGAGAGTGAAACAGGGAATTCGTTGCCTTCGTCACTGAGGCAGGTAGGGGAGGAGGCCAGAGAGCAGAGTGACCAGAAGCGGTCAGTTTCATAACGCAAGACCTTTCAACAGCTGAGCATCTTTTCAGTACCTTGCACTGAGACGAGAAGCGAAGGAAATCTTTTGTTCCGCAGAGATTCACTGGTGATCTTGTGACAGAATATTGAAAAGACCCATCGAGCCTTAAACAAACAAACAAAAAGCAAGTGCTCCAATTTTAGCGACCCTTTCTTTCATACGGTGGCTATGCGTGGTAGCAACCTAGCCGACTCTGAGAATGCAGGCACACACTCACACGATCTGCTGGAGACAGTGACATTCTGATAATCCTAAGAAAGTCATTGCTTTATATTGTGCAATTGGGCAGTTTGAACAATGTTTGGAAATGTTATTACTGCTTGATATTTTTAGGGAAGGAGCAATGAACGATTTGTCAACTAAACAACTTTCACATCTTCAGGCTGAAAAAACTTGGGGGCTGGAAAAACTTGTGGACAACAGCAATGACAAACTTGAAAACATAATTCTTTTTTTTTTTTTTTTGAGACAGAGTCGCACTGTCACCCAAGCTGGAGTGCAATGGTGTGTGATCTTGGCTCACTACAACCTCTGTCTCCTGGGTTCAAGCGATTCTCCTGCCTCAGCCTCCCAAGTAGCTGGGATTACAGGCGTGCACCACCACACCTGGCTAATTTTTGTATTTTTTTAGCAGAGATGGGGTTTCACCATGTTGACCAGGCTGGTCTCGAACTCCTGACCTCAAATGATCTGCCCGCTTCGGCCTCCCAAAGTGCTGGGATTACAGGAGTGAGCCACCATGCCCAGCCAAAAAATGTAATTCTTTATCTTGTTTAAAAATCATCCCAATGAGGAGAATTGGTAGATTTTGATCACATTTATTAAAAATATTAAAAACTTCCAGTTACTTTGCAAAAACAATAGATTGACAATAAGGATGATAACAGTTGTCAGATTTTTAAAACAAGCAAACAAAAATGTTTGCATACCAGTGGATTTAAAAGAGAAACCTGGTTTCATGTGGGTGGACAAGGCCCTTCTTCCTTCTGGCTCTCTGTAACTTTGGCTGTGTATTTTCGGCTATGACGTCCATCAAAATCAAGTATTGAAATAACTTAGAACAAGATCTTCAGATCATTAAACCAATTATTAAACCAAGATTTTGTAAGAGAACAAAGCATACCCCATCACCTTGCTTTCACCAACAAAATGTTATTTTTGAGATTATTGAGAGCGAAAGGTTATTTTTGAGCCGTTAATGGAAACCAAAATCACAATCATTTAAAAATATTGTTGATCTAACTTCATAGTAAGTCTTTCTGTTTCCATTTTTTGTGTAAGTTTTATAAGTACATGATATATAAGTACAATAATACATGTGTGGCCGGGTGCAGTGGCTCATGCCTGTGATCCCAGCACTTTGGGAAGCCAAGGTGGGTGGATCATGAGGTCAGGAGTTCGAGACCAGCCTGACCGGCATGGTGAAACCCTGTCTCTACCAAAAATACAAAAAATTAGCCAGGCATAGTGACAGGCACCTGTAATCCCAGATACTTGGGAGGCTGAGGCAGGAGAATCGCTTGGGCCCAGGAGGCGGAGGTTGCAGTGAGCTGAGATCACGCCACTGCACTCCAGCCTGGGTGACAGAGTGAGACTCTGTCTCAAAAATAAATAAATAAATAAATATTAAACTAATAAAAATATATGTGTATAGTTTGCAAAGAAACATACATATCAAAGTTAGCGCTGGGCGCGGTGCTCAAGCCTGTAATCCCAGCACTTTGGGAGGCCGAGGCGGGTGGATCACGAGGTCAGGAGATCGAGACCATCCTGGCTAACACGGGGAAACCCCGTCTCTACTAAAAATACAAAAATATTAGCCAGGTGTACGGCGGGCGCCTGTAGTCCCAGCTACTCGGGAGGCTGAGGCAGGAGAATGGCGTGAACCCGGGAGGCGGAGTTTGCAGTGAGCCAAGATTGTGCCGCTGCACTCTGCACTCCAGCCTGGGCGACAGAGCAAGACTCCGTCTCAAAAAACAACAACAACAGAAAACTAAGTTAGCTCCAAGACTTTTCACTGACAATAACAATAATCTCTATCTTTTCTGCTCCTTTGCAAAGCAACCTTGCCACAATTTCCTTAGGAAATAGTGCCAGCTTTCCCCCTCCCCTTTGAAGCTGGGCTTGTTTTGAGCAATGAAATGCGGTGGGACTAACGCTATGTAGGCTCCAAATTTTGGTCTTAAGATAGAAACAGTTTCTACCTTGGTCACTTGGGAAGCCCATTCTTGCGGTCCAACCACCAAGTTAGGAATATAGGGAGAAAAGGAGAGAAGTCTTACTGTCCCAGCCATTCCTGCAAACACCAGACACAGAGGTGGCACCGTCTTGGTTGTTCCAGCCCCAGCCATCCTGTGATAGCAGCTTCACAAGAGACCCACATCAATACCACGTGGAACCGAAGACCTGCCCAGTGGAGCCCTGCTCAAGTTCCTGACCCGCAGAACGTGAGCAAATACAGTGGTGGCTGTTTTAAACCTCTGAGCTTTGAGGTAGTTGGTTATGTAGCAAGAGGAAACTGAAGCAGACCACTAGCCTACGAGGTGAAGTCCAGACTCCTCGGCGTGCAGCACGCAAGCCACAAAAGACGTCTGTACCTTCCAAACTACAAAAACTTTGACCTATTTTTAAAAATTGTGGTAAAATATACATAACATGGCTGGGTGTGGTGGCTCACGCCTGTAATCCCAGCACTTTGGGAGCCCAAGGTGGGTGAATCACCAGAGGTCAGGAGTTCGAAACTAGCCTGGCCATCATGGCAAAAGCCTGTCTCTACTAAAAACACAAAAATTAGCCGGGCGTGGGTGGTGTGTGCCTGTAATCCCAGCTACTCGGGAGGCTGAGGCAGGAGAATCGCTTGAACCTGGGAGGCAGAGGTTGCAGTGAGCCGAGATCATGTCACTGCACTCCAGCATGGACGACAGAGCAAGACTCTGTCTCAAAAAAAAAAAAAAAAGTATACACACACCCACACACCACACACACACACACACACACACACACACACAACAGTTATCATAAGCATTTTGAAGTGTTGAAGTGTACAGGTCAATGACATTGAGTATGCTGACATTGTTATGCGACCATCACCACCGTCCATCTCCAGAACTATTTCGTTTTGCAAACCTGCAACTCCATGGCCGAGCACGGTGGGTCACACCTGTAATCCCAGCACTTTGGGAGGCCAAGGCAGGCAAATTACCTGAGGTCAGGAGTTTGAGACCAGCCTGGCCAACATGGTGAAACCCTGTCTCTACTAAAAAATACAAAAAATTAGCCAGGGCCGGGTGTGGTGGCTCACGCCTGTAATCCCAGTACTTTGGGAGCCTGAGGTGGGAGGATCACGAGGTCAGGAGATCGAGACCATCCTGGCTAACACGGTGAAATCCCGTCTCTACTAAAAATACAAAAAAAATTAGCCAGGCGTGCTGGCACACACCTGTAATCCCAGCTACTCTGGAGGCTGAGGCAGGAGAATCTCTTGAACCTGGGAGGCAGAGATTGCAGTGAGCCAAGGTCCTGCCATTGCACTCCAGCCTGGGCAACAAGAATGAAACTCCATCTCAAAAAAAATGAAGAAGAAGAAGAAGAAAAAAGCTGCAACTCCATACCCATTAAACAACAACTCCCAATTCCGCCTACCTTCCAGTCCTGCACCCACCTTCTACTTTCTGTCTGTAGCTATGGCTGCTCTAGAAGCTCACAGGAGTGGAATCACAGAGTTTTTGTCCTTTTGTGACTGGAATATTTCACTCGTATCATGTCCTCAAGGTTCAAGGTTCATTCATGGCGTAGAATGTGTCAGAGTTTTTCTTTTTTTTTCTTTCCTGAGAAGGAGTCTTGCCCTGTCACCCAGGCTTGAGTTCAGTGGTGCAGTCTTGGCACACTGCAACCTCCCCTTCCCGGGTTCAAGTGATTCTTCTGCCTCAGCCTCCTGAGTAGCAAGGATTACAGGTACCTGCCATGCCTGGCTAATTTTCTTCTTTCCTTTCTTTCTTTCTTTCTTTCTTTCTTTCTTTCTTTCTTTCTTTCTTTCTTTCTTTCTTTTTTTTTTTTGTGCGTGTGTGCGTGTGTGTGTTTAGTACAGGCGGGGTTTCACCATGTTGGCTAGGCTGGTCTTGAACTCCTGACCTCAGGTGATCCGCCCGCTTTGGCCTCCCAAAGTGCTGGGATTATAGGTGTGAGCCACCATGCCTGGCCCAGAATTTTTCTTTTTAAAGGTTGAATAGGCCAGGCGTGGTGACTCATGCCTATAATCGCAGCACTTTGGGAGGCCAAGGTGGGTGGATCACTTTATGTCAGGAGTTCGAGACCACCTTGGCCAACATGGTGAAACCCCGTCTCTACTAAAAATACAAAAATTAACCGGGCATGGTGGTGGGAGCCTGTAATCCCAGCTACTTGGGAGGCTAAGGCACAAGAATTGCTTGAACCCGGGAGGCAGAGGTTGCAGTGAGCCGAGATCCTGCCGTTGCACTTCGGTCTGGGCGACAGAGTAAGACTGTCTCTAAATAAATAAATAAATGTTGAATAATTATCTATTGGTATCCTCCAAACTTACTAGACGCCACCACAGCCTTTGCTGTTGCAGCCGGTTTGATCTATTGCCCCCCGAATATGCCTTACACGTACCTATCTCTGGTGCTTCGCTTATTCCATTTTCCCCTTTTGGAATGCTCTTCCTTTGTTCTTGGAACAAAGTTCCAAACAAAGTCCTTGTAACAAATTCCCGAGTTCTTGGCATGAACTCGAGCCCTGTTCATGCCATATTGTGCAGCTCAACCCCAACTTCTTTCAGGAAATATTCTTGAATGATGCCTTTACCCCATACCCCAGGCGCAGGCTTTCTCTCTCCTGGGGCCCGCAGATCTTACCGTCTGCACTGAGCGAAGCCTCCCTGCTACTGCTTCCCAGCCATGCGGCGAGCTCTTTGAAGGAAGCCGTGGCGGTATATTTCTCTTGTACCTCTGCTGAGCTCAGTATCAGAATGTGCACACAGCAGGTCCCTGATAAGTAAGTGCAAAAATGCATGAATAATATAATGTGTCCTAAGTCCCCTCCCTTCCAGTACATTCGATTTAACTCAGTAGACACATCCTGCGCCTGCCAGCTCATTCAGCCGCTCAGGGCTGCATCAGCCTGGAGTAGGCACGACTCAGATTTGAAGACTGATAGTCACGAACTCAAATTCCAGCTGGGCCACTCAGGGGCTGGGAGACCTTGGTCAGCCTTAATCTATTCACTCATGAGGAGGAAGATCCTAGGGGCTTTCTAGGGTTGGATGAGAAGCTGTTAGATCCCAGCAGTAAAGTATCTCATCCAGTATTTAGCACTTCAAGGTATGTAGCACACCTGGGGTTAGCGCGGTGGTGAATTTTATGAGTCATCTTGACTAGGTTAAGGGATGCTCAGATAAGCAGCAAAACATTATTCCTGGGTGTGTCAGTGCGGGGGGCGGGGTGGGGGGCATAGTTTTTGAAAGCGATTGGCATTTCCATCAGGGGACCCAGTAAAGAAGATCCGCTCTCTTCCCTGCGGGTGGGCCTCATCCAACCCATCGAGGAAGGCTTCATAGAACAAAGCGGCAGAGGAAAGGCCCATTGTCTCTCTTTTCTCCTGAGCTGGAACATGCATTTCTCCTGCCCTCCGACGTCAGAGCTCCTGGTTCTAGGGCCTTTGGACTCAGCCTGGGACCTCCATCATCAGCTTTCCTGAATCCCCAGTGCAGTGCAGACAGCAGATCTTAGGACATCGTGGCCTATGTAATCACACGCCAGTCCCTCATAATAAATCTCTTTCTACTGCTCTCTATACATCCTGTTGGTTCTGCTTCTCTGGAGAACCCTAATACAGTCAGGCACCGAGACACTGTCCCACGGCGGAAGGCACGCTTCCCCTACCCACCCTACCCTGGAGTTCTCACCAGGAACTAACCCAAAGCTCTGTGGTCAGTAACCTTTTCATATGGAGCTCAGCACAGCAGCTACAGGAGTAAGCTGCGTGTGGAAAGAAAGAAAGACAATCTCATATATCCTTTCATTATTAGACGGCCCCGTGGCCTTGTCCCTGCCCTATAATTGACCTTCGTGACTACCTGGCTTCACCCCCAACTGCGAAAGCACACCTCCGCCCTGCCACTGCCACCCGGGGCCTTATTTCACAGGAAACAAAACCGAAGGCAGGGTTTGGCTCCTGGTCACGTGACAACAAAGGGCTCGTGCTGGGACCTGGGACCACCTCAGGCTCAGAGGAAAGGCATGTCCCAGACCCGTTCCATTCAAAATCTGCGGCTGCCTGTTTTGATTCTGACATTTCCCCCCAAAGCCAAGTCCTTGGAGCAAGTGGAATTTCCAAGTTTTTTTATTGGTGGCCCCTGGTCTGATGACCCGCTCAGGAATCTATTTAAAATGTTTTTCTTTTAAATGACAGGAGTAGGTAAACAGGCTTTGAAAAAATATAAGCAATACAGATGGGTAGTACCAAGAAAAAATAGTGCCTGCCCCTCCCCGCAGCAATGCCTGGAGAGCAGACCCAGGCTAAGGAGAAGTGGCTGCCACTCGTTGAAAAAGAGCCGTCACTTTTTCACTTCTAGATTCTATCCAAGGAAAGCCCACCTTGTGGCTCCCGAAGCCACTGTTCTATTTCATTCCTATCGCTGTGAACTTCCCTGACGAGGGGTGATTCCTTGCTGCTGTGGCTTTCCTTGCTCCAGGCGCCCTCAGTGCTTGCAGCCTGGCCGCGTGTGCGCCTCTGCTGGGATGACCCGGTCCTGTTGCCCCGGGGCCCCATCGGAAGGCCGGCTTTCCCCACCTTGAGCGGCTCGGCATCTGCCGGCTGACCCCAGCCCTTCCTTCCTGGAAGCCCTTCCTTTCTCGGACTCTGACTTGCCACATGGCTTTGCTCAGATGCTCAGTCGGCGGGCAGCAGATGCCTTAAGCAGCCACTGCCGGGTGGATGTCCCATCTGGAAAGATCAGATCTGAGAGGTGATGTCATCCAGACCCAAGATCAGCAGAAACTGGGGCAAAAGCAAGCTCCGCAGCCTTCCAAAGAGTCCCGTCTGGAACCTAAGAGGGAGTTTGCCGATGAGAAAACAGGGCATGTTGGAGACGGCAGGGAGGCATGGTGTAGATTTTGTCACTCCCTGAGTAACAGAATTTGAAAAGATTGGATCAAATCAGATCAAAATGCTTACTCTGTGCTAGATGACAAAAAGAATACAAATAAATGTAAAATATGGACTCCCCCTCCAAGGAAACATAACAGTCTCCCTTCCCGGACAGTGCTGTGATTTGACTATATCAGGTAGGAGATTTAGCAGAAAAATCCAAAGCCCTGTCCTCTCATGTCACAGAGGTTCCTTGTCACCTCCAGCAGTGGCACCGACATCGTAAGGATCAGGCTCCTCCCGGTTTCAGTGTGTCCTCCCTGGGGTGCAGGACCTGTCCTTGCAGCTGCTGGAACTTGGGTCATTACGTTGAAATTCCAGCCGTGGGGACTGGAAGGGATGCTCCGCCCTTGAGGACATGAACTCCTAGAAGTGGCACACACTGCTTCTGCTCACATCTCCTTGTCCAGCACTGAGTGAGTTCAGGGAGGCGTGAAGGCGGCGCTTTCTCCAGGGGCACGTGCTCACTTTTGGGGTACCAGCTGGAAGAAGGGGAGAAGAGGCACGCAGGCATCACAAGCATTTTCAAGCAGCAAATAGTGCACTGTGGTGGGGGTAAAGGAGACACGGACGTCTGGAGGCAGCTGGCATCTGTGAGACACTGGACCGTGCCCGGGTTCTGAGACGGCACATCTGATGAAGGCCACCCAGCCTGTGTGCCCCACTCACAAAGGCGCTCAGGATCTCAGTGCTGGAGGCCCTCCAGGGCCGTGTGTCCCCGCACCTTTTGATTGAATGCACCCCTCCAGAGGCGCTGTCACCCTCCCGGGCAATTTGGCATTCCTGTAATGTACATGGTTCTTTTTCGGCTTGAACTTCAACCTGCTCGAGACTTCTACCCAGGAATAATTAAATGCAGCAACCCAGCCCTGAACTGAGTGCCTGCTCTGTGCCAGGTGGGGAGAATGTGGGGGTCGGCTGAGAAGGGGATCCCATCCTAGGATCCTAGGACCCTTCTAAATCAAGTCACAGAGCGATGCTGACAAACGGAAAATAAGTAGGTCTTTATAGCCCACAAAGTGTGCAGAGAGTGGTGCTGGGCCTCGAGTGACAGTGTGTACAGTGGTGACGGGCAGGCACCCTGAGAGATGGGGACAGTGAGGCTGCAAGGCAGGACTAGTGGGGCAGCTAAGGGACTGGGGCTTGATCTCCAGGGGCACTGGGCCAGAAACCTGCAGCAACTGAACCCCTTTCCCAGCCCCCAGAGGGCGGCCGGATGGTGGGGCCCCATCCCTGCCTGGCCTCCCCGGGCACCACTGTCCACTGTCTGCTTCCATCCCCAAGGCTCTCTGGGCCCTGGGGCAGACCTTGGAACAGGTTACTGTGGACCATGGGGACCCCCAGCACCCCCTGAAAATGCTGTCTTTTGTTCCATCAGACCCAGTAGCTCTCCAGGCTCTCCTGACCCCAGTGTCCCTGTGGAGAGGAGGCCCCAGGCACTGGGGAGCTGGGGCTTGCATCCAGGCCAGTGGCAGGGGGGCCACGCTCCCAGGGCCCGGCCACACCCCCTGGGCAGGCGGCCTGCCACACGCTGCTGGCTTTTTCCATATTTACTCCTGAACTTTCCTTCAAACAATCAAGAGGATGTACCCTCAGCCCAGCTGCCAGGATACACGTGTCCTCAGCCTTTTCCAGGGAGGGAGCTGCTGCCCTGGGGGTGGGGGGTGGGGGCAGTGCTGGGACGGGAAGGAAACCCAGCCCGCTCCATCCAGGAAGCAATAAGCCGCCATCACTGGTTCCACAGCCGCTTGTTCCTCAGTTCGGGAAAGAGGGACATCCAGCACCAGGTGGCAGCGGGTGCTGGGGGCTGCCCCTGCTCCATCCACCAGCACTCAGGCTCCCCATGTTACAGAAGGTGGCTGGTCAGACATGAGCAGGGCAGGAGAGGCACCCCCACCCCCCCAGGAGTGTCCGCGACCATCAAGGGATGGTCAGGCGGTTGGTGACTGTCTCTCTAAAATAATAATGGGGCCGGGTGTGGTGGCTCATGCCTCTAATCCCAGCACTTTGGGAGGCTGAGGCAGGTGATCACTTGAGGCCAGGAGTTCGAGACCAGCCTGGCCAAAATGGTGAAACCCCATCTCTACCGAAAATACAAAAATTAGCTGGGTGTGGTGGTGCATGCCTGTAATCCCAGCTACTCAGGAGGCTGAGGCAGGAGAATTGCTTCAACCCGGGAGGCACAGGTGGCAGTGAGCTGAAATCGCGCCACTGCACTCCAGCCTGGGCAACAGAGACTCCATTTCAAAAAAATAAAATTAAATTAAAAATAACAATAATAATAATAATTGGTTGCAGCCAGCTCCAGGGAAAGGCAGTCTCCTAATAGAAAACACCTGAAGCTGGCCATCAGCAGCTTCCCCATGAGACCTCAGGAGCTGGGCAGGTGGGCTCACACGTGTGCACCGAGAGGTGAAATGGCGGAGTATAAGCGGTATATGACATTCTAGGGACATTCGACTGGCATGGGAAGAACGCCTCAAGGGAGCATGTGTACAGCTCCAGTGCGCACACTGCGCATGCTCCCCTCCCAAGCGCTGGCCGCCACTGTGCATGCGACAGCCCATCCCGAGGGAGGAATCGGGGAGAATGGATGCAAGCCCCCGGCAGGCCACCATACAAAACCCCAAGTCAAAGGTCAAGCGTCGCACTTGTCTTTCGAGTCGCCTGCTGGGCCCGCGTCCAAGTGTACTTTCCTTTCTTTTCATTCCAGCTCTAAAGCTTTTTAATAAACTTTCACTCCTGCCCTAAAACTTGCCCCAGTCTCTCCTGCCTCATGCCCCTCAAATTCGTTCTTCTGAGGAGGTTGCTGCAGCCCTGTATGGATTCGCCGCTAACATCTTCCGCTGCCGTGTGACTCAGATAACTTCCATCGCTAACGTGGAGAGGTCTGTGCCTAAGCGGGGCCAAGTCTGTGATGGGGGCTTCCCATGGGTGGGCTTCGGGCTCTCTCTCTGTTGCTCTCTCTCTCTCTCTCTCTCTCTCGCCAGGACCTTGTTTTCCAGTCTCAATCAGCCATGCGAGGTGCTCCCTTCCACTACCTCTGAGGACACGCAATTGTTGCCAGAACCTAGAGGGCATCACTGTTGAAACTCCCCTGGGCTCGGGGGCTGTAGGCAGAGCAGAAGCCCCTCCTTTAGGCCCCCAAGCTCCACTTCAACAAACCACGTGGCTGTAACCAGGGCTTCCAGGTATGTGAGTTTGCCAGGGCTGCTGTCACATAGCACCACACACCAGGGGCTTAAACAGCAGGCACATCCTGTCTCACAGTTCTGGAGGCCAGAGACCAAGGTGTGGGCAGGGCTGGTTCCTTCTGAGGCTGTGAGGCCTCTGCCTTGGCCTTCTAGTAACTTGGGCTGAGCAGGGGGACAGAGCCGGCCTTGGCTCTTAAAGCCACAGGGCCCTTAAGGTGCCCCACAGGCTGGGGCAGGCACCACATCCAGTCCTGGAGCTGGGGGCCTTCAAATTCAACTTGCATCTGCCACCAGCATGCAGCTCGTCACCTCCCCTTCCCAGCCAAGCAGTGACAATGAAGGCCAAAATCCCTGGGAGCTGATGCCAGGTGGAAAACGCCCTCTAGATGAGGAATTGGGATGTGTGTACAATTCGAGGAATCTGATGAATAATTTGGGAGTCACTGAAGTGGGTAAGTCCACTGTATCCTTCAGCCGCGTCATGCACTGTGGAAGAACGCCGGGTGGGTTTCTTTCTCCTTTTTGATACCCACACTCACTGCCTCCCTCAATAATAAAACTGCATCCATTACAGGCCGAATTCCTGCTCCTGGAGAAGACGGGCACGGATGGGTGCAAGGGGCATTCAGGAAGGGGCTGACCCAGGGGGGCCGGAGACAGACAGCAGGGGCACTCAAGGCGATGCCGACAGGGTTCCCAGGGGCACTGAGGATGGGAGCCTGGCGGGTGAGCACCCAAGCCCAGCAAGGTCTACCCTTCCTCCCCTGGCCTGGAGGCTGTGGACCACCACCACACAGGCCCATGGGCTCAGGGCTCTCGGGCTTGCAACAGGACATGGAGAAAAGACTGAGAAGCCCAGCCCACAGTGGGGGTTTCTGGAATGTTCCCTTGGGAATGGAAGGAACAGGGACCT
Organism: Homo sapiens; assembly: GCF_000001405.40. NCBI lineage: Eukaryota > Metazoa > Chordata > Mammalia > Primates > Hominidae > Homo > Homo sapiens. The sequence goes on from NC_000002.12 coordinate 10,553,249, forward strand.
CTGCAAAGGCTGATTTGATTTTGTTGCCAAGCCTTTTATATAAGCCTTTCTCAGTCCCCCCACAGCCCCCCTACACTTGAATTTCTGCTTCTGGATATGTGTGCACAGATGGATAAAAATCAAACATAGAATGTGATGTCCCTCTCCAGAACATGTAAAGAACTACAATTCCTCAATGACAGCAACAGGAAAAAGCCCAGGCTGGGTGCCGTGGCTCATGCCTGTAATCCCAGCACTTTGGGAGGCTGAGGTGGGTGGGTCACCTGAGGTCAGGAGTTCGAGACCAGCCTGGCCAACATGGCAAAATACCATCTCTACTAAACATACAAAAAATTAGCCAGGTGTGGCGAATGCCTGTAATCCCAGCTACTCGGGAGGCAGAGGCAGGAGAATTGCTTGAACCCGGGAGGCGGAGGTCGCAGTGAGCCGAGATCACGCCACTGCACTCCAGCTTGGGCAACAAGAGAGAAACTCTGTCTCGAAAGAAAGAAAAAAAGTTAAACACAGAATTACCCTATGACCCAGCAGTTTCACGCCCGGGTATATATCCAAAAGAACTGAAAGCAGAGACTCCAACAGAGAGTGCACACCCATGTTCACAGCAGTGTTATTCACAGTCACCAGAAGGTGGAAGCGACCCACTTGTCCCTCCGCAGAGGGACGCATCAGTGCAGTGAGGCCCAGTCACACAGTAGATGCTAGTCAGCCATGGGCAGGCATGAAACTCGAATACCTGTTACCACACCGGTGAACCTCAAGAACACTACGTTAAGTGAAAAAACCAGACACAAAGGGACAAACTCCTCGAAAACACCACGTTAAGTGAAAAAACCAGACACAAAGGGACAGACTCCTCGACAACACCACGTTAAGTGAAAAAACCAGACACAAAGGGACAAACTCCTCGAAAACACCACGTTAAGTGAAAAAACCAGACACAAAGGGACAGACTCCTCGACAACACCACGTTAAGTGAAAAAACCAGACACAAAGGGACAGACTCCTCGACAACACCACGTTAAGTGAAAAAACCAGACACAAAGGGACAGACTCCTCGACAACACTACGCTAAGTGAAAAAACCAGACACAAAGGGACAGACTCCTCGACAACACTACATTAAGTGAAAAAACCAGACACAAAGGGACATGACTCCTCGACAACACTACGCTAAGTGAAAAAACCAGACACAAAGGGACATGACTCCACTGATATGAGGCACCCGGAAGAGGCAAATTCATAGAGAGAAAAGTCCAGTGGCGGTTACCAGGGGCTGGGAGGAGGAGGAAATAGAGAGTGTTTTGTGGGTGCAAAGTTTCAGCAGGGGATAATGAACAAGTTCTGGGGGTGGATGTTGGTGATGGCTGCACAACAATGAATGGATTCCTGCCACTGAGCTGCATGTTTGAAAATGGTTAAAATAAGGCCGGGTGCGGTGGCTCACGCCTGTAATCCCAGCACTTTGGGAGGCCGAGGCGGGTGAATCACCTGAGGTCGGGAGTTCAAGACCAGCCTGACCAACATGAAGAAACCCCATCTCTATTAAAAATACAAAATTAGCCTGGCGTGGTGGTGCATGCCTGTAATCGCAGCTACTCAGGAGGCTGAGGCAGGAGAATTGCTTGAACCTGGGAGGCGGAGGTTATGGTGAGCTGAGATCACGCCATTGCACTCCAGCCTGGGCAACAAAAGCGAAACTCCGTCTTAAAAAAAAAAAAAAGAAAAGAAAATGGTTAAAATAGCAGAGGAATTCTCCCCATGCAAGGGACAGGCCATTTCTCCTTGTCTGATGAAAAGTTCTGCAGATGCCCCAGGTGACAGTGTGATGCTTGTTGAGCAGTGGGCCAGGCCCAGCCTGGGATAGGGTCCCAGTGTTGTGATGGAGGGGAGGCTGGTGTCCAGGACGCCAGGGGCACCCAGTGCTCCTTTGGGTGCTGGCTTCACGCGTGGAAGTCGCGCAAGAGTCACGGAGGTAAATTCAAGTTGAGTCATTTGCAGGATGTGCAGAGCGGGGTGGGCCCTCCAAACTTGGCAACCTTGGAGGAAATGGTTTTATATTTTTTGACTCTCATGTAACCTAGACACTCAGCTGGGACTCTATTTCCTATTTCAAGACTTTTCCAAACAGTTGTGTTTCCAAAGACCTTCCTAAACACACAGCCAGGGGAAGGAACAGGACCTGCTGCTCCAATTCCCTCGGCTCCCAACGCCCCTCAAGTGTTTGCACAGGAAAATGGTAGCGTAGGACACCAGGCGGGCAGGAAGCCGCAGGAATCTCAGAAGCTGCTTTCTGGATTTGACCTCAGGCAATTAAAAAATAGCAAAATAGATGGTGAGTGAAGAGGGTTTATGAGCTGCAGACCCGCAAGGCTCTTGCAGGCACCGAAAGACACAACGGAGAGTCTGCCTGTGCGCACGCAGGCCTAGCAACCAGCATTTGCTCATTGTGCATTCCTGCACTCTCGGGGAACTTAGGGAGCCTCCCGTGGGGCAGGCAGAGGCTGGGAACTAGAGCAGGAAGGCCCGCGGGTCCATCCCATGGTCTCACTCCCTTTCCTCTTGTCCCCTTCCCCTTGGGGCATTCCCAAGGCTGCAGATACCGCTTACCGAGCGGGGCCCTGGCGGGGAGGGATGCGGGCCACAGCCAGATGGGACATCTGGTTGCTCTCTCCCGAAACACCCAACTCATTTCCTTCACCCTGTGTGGCTGCAAGGGCCAGCTGGCCTCCCTCCGGGGGTCCCTCAGCGTAAGCCGGTGGGGAGCTCCGAGGCTTGGTTTCTTCTGTCTCAGCAGACCATTTGCCTTGGTGCCTTATATTGTGTCTTTTTTTTTTTAATGGATTTTAATTTTTCCAACAGTTTTGGATTTACAGAAAAATTGAGAAGATAGTACAGGGAGTTCCCATAAACCCCACATCCAGGTTCCTCCATTATTAACATGGGGCATGAGTCCGGCCCATTTGTTCCGATGAATGGACTGACAGTCATTCTTCAGGTCCACTGTTGGCTCAGATCTCCTCAGTTTTCACCTTAAGTCCTTTTCTGTTCCAGGATCCCCTGCAGAAAGCCACAGGCCATTTAGTCATGGCCTCTTTAGGCCCCTCTGGCTAGGACAGTTCCTTGGGCTTTTTTTTTTTTTTTGTCTCCCTCTTTAGACTGGGAGCTCCTTAAGAGCAAAGGTAAAGCTCGCCCCCGCGAGTCCCCCCATGGTGCCTGACGTCACGCTCTGCCCATCCCAGGCCTCCATGGGTGATGAGAGGCCTGAGTTGAGGCACCAGCCCCAAATGTGTGCGATCACGCCATTGAGCAGGGAGAGATGGGGCTGGGGGGAATTTCACTTGCTTTTGTTACATTTCTGTAACATTTATGTCTTTAAAAATAATCAGCATACGTTTCTCTTCCAATTAGGAAAACTGCAGCAAATCAAGCCGGGAGCTGGGGCCTGGGCAGTTCATGATCTGGCTGGGTTCCCCGCTCAGGCAGTTCACGCGCACAGACCGCCCCCTGGAAGAACTGCGGCTGGAATGAGCAATTCTCCTGAGAAAGCAAAGACACGGACTCACAAGGGAGTTCTGGGCAGAAACGGAGACGGAGATTGGAGTGAAGCGTCCACAAGCCAAGGAGTGCCAAGGAGTGCCAAAGATTGCCAGCAACCCCCAGACGCTGGAGGAGGCCGGGAAGGAGCCTCCCCAGGAGCCTTTGGAGGGAGCAGGGCCCTGCTGACACCTCGATGTCAGACACCTGGCCTCCAGGACGGTGAGAGCGGGTTCTGTTGTTGCGAGCCACCCAGCTCTTGGCACTTGGTTACGCGGGTCACAGGACACCAGTAGAGCCATATCTACTCATTCATTTCAGAAACGTTGTGCCAGTACGTACCAGGCACTTTCAAAGACACCGGGGATACGGAAATAAAGAATAAATGGGATCCTTGCTCTCAGTGGAGTTTCCATTCTAGTAGAGGAAGATGAGCAAAAATAAATAAATGATAACTTCTGTCTGGGCGCGATGGCTCACATCTGTAATCTCAGCACTTTGGGAAGCTGAGGCGTGCAGATTACCTGAGGTCAGGAGTGCGGGACCAGCCTGGCCAACATGGTGAAACCCTGCCTCTACAAAAAATACAAAAATTAGCCAGGTGTACTGGCACACGCCTGTAGTCCCAGCTACTCAGTAGGCTGAGGCAGGAGGATCGCTTGAACCCGGGAGGCGGAGGCTGCAGTGAGCCGAGATTATGCCACCACACTCCAGCGTGGGCGACAGAGTGAGACTCAGTCGCAAAAAAATAATAAAAATAAATAAATGATAAGCTATGACAGCAGGGAGAGCTGTGAGATCCACACAACAGAGGTGTCAGAGAGGGTGTGGGTTCCCTTAGGCTGCCCTTGCCAGGCACTACAAGGTGGGTGGCTGAAAAGGAAGCACCACCAGGCGGCGACTGGGTTCGGCCCATGGGCCATTGTTTGCCGCCCTGCTCTGTATAACAGGTGCCTCTCCTGGGGGCACACAACGGGCCATGCTGATCTCCCTGTTTTGTAGGGGGAAAGTGAGGCAGGAGGTTGCCTGACTGGTCCCTGAGCAACCATGGGCGTGGACACAGGCACGTCTCTCCAGAGTTCTTTCTGGTTGGAGGTGGCTTGTCTTGGTCCATGGACCTGCAGGGCCTGACTTCTGATGGGAAGGAAACTCGTAGCCACTCTGCTGGGGGACAGGGTCTCTGGGCAGAGCGCCAGTGTCTTCTCACCTGTCCCAGAGCCCTGGCCCACAGCCTCCTCCCACCCTACCTGGCTCTGTCCTCCGCTGCACCCAGGCTGCATTTCCAGGAAATGCCTCTCGTTTCCCCACACAGGGAAGGAAGCAGGAGGCCCTGAGCCGGGATCAGCCTCCAGCTCAGCTCCCAGGAAAATGGGTGCACCTCGCCTCACCCCTACCCTTGGGCCCACCCTGGCTGAGGCTCAGATCACCACATGCGCAGCTCTCCTTGGTCCCATGCCGACTGGAGGCCAGAATTCGGGCTGTTTTGAGCTAATACAGATGAGTTTCTTCCCCTCTCTCATGCCCTTCTCCATTCATTCACTTATTCATTAAGCCTGTATTTAGTAAGCACCTGCTGTGCACAGCGCTGTGCTGGGCGGCAGGTGCCTTGATGACGAGGCCTTGCCATGGAGTGTCCACCTCGTGGCCGCCAGGCCCTCCAGGGCACAAGTGTCTTCACAAGACTTAGGCTTTGAAGGAAAATGAGTCCAGTTTGGCGGGACTGTGGGAAAGAGGGGTGCTCCACTCCACGTCCAAGCTGGACAGGAAGACCCCACCCTCCCCAGGAAAACCAGGCAACGGGAGGCTCACCTGACTCCACCTTCACAGTGTGAGGAAACTGAGGCAGGGGCTGAGCGGCAGCTTCCGAGACCCTCCAGCCCCTGGTCCTGCCTTGGCTGCGACTGGGCCTGTGGCACAGCAGGGACACCACAGCCCAATCGTGAGCAGGAACATGGGGATATGTGACCCCCTCAAAGCCCCTCTTAGCAGAGGTGGGGCTCTCAGACCTGAGCAAGATTCTGCTCATGTGGCCCCACACAGACAAGGGGTCCTGCTTCCTGCACTCCAGGAGGTGTGTGAGGTGCCTGTGGTGGGTCCAGCCCTGAGAAGAAGCAACGGCGGAGTGACAGGGTCTTTCCTGTCCAATCAGGACCATGGAGCTAGAGCAGCACCTGAGGAGCTTTGTGTCCTCATCCAGGGCCACAGTCCCCATTGCCCCATTCATTCAGTTGCTGCTGCCTGCCAGAGACTCACATGGAGCCTCTGAACATGGCGTGCCCCACGTCCCACTGACAGCGCTGTGTGTGCTCCTGTTTGTGGAAACCAGGGCAAGGAGGGTGAGTGACTTGTCCACTGTCATGCAGCTGCTGCGCGGTGGGGCTGGGATTGCACCCAGGGACTGACCCAAGCCCCTGCCCAGCCCCAGGACCCCAGATTCTGGGCTGGCCCCTGTGCCTGAGTTTTAGGACCCCCACCACCGCCCCAGCATTGCCACGCTGTCTGCGTTTCTAGGCTGAATTTTGTTCTCATGGAGGGAGGGACCGTCCTACCTCTTATGCACCCACACCCCCATCCTGCTGCCCGGGACAGTGCCAGGCTGCCGGGGGCATTTGATGAGATGTGACGTGTAAAGAATCTGATGGTGCCTGGTACAGAGTCGTTCCTGCAGGATGCTCAGCCTCACCCCTCCCCGCCCATCCCGCCAACATCTCTGGCCCAGTGCAGACCCAGCATAACCATAGATGTGGGTATGGCAGGAGCATTATTCTGGTGGGTCCTGCCCACAGGACAGTCCTCTATCCGCATGACAAGATGCCACCACAGTGGCCTCTACAACGTACAGTAAGCACTCACTGTATGTACAGCAGGAGTAACCGTGCTCTTTGCCATGGCAGAAGGTGGCAGTCGCAGCAGTGTTGGCTGTCATGGCTGCTGGTGAGGCGCTGCGCCTCTGTTACAATGGGAACCAGCAAAATGAAATTTACTTATTGTTGCAAGATAATAGCCAAGCCTTTTAAACATATGCTTTTCAAACAAACTCATCGCCATGGTAACCCTCTTAAAACAAGATGCAACCTGGCTTAAAGACCCTGAGAGCTAATTCTAGTAGTGCTTTGTATTTAGTTACGCCTTTCTTCTGAATTTAATGGACTTCACTCACTAGGCTCCACTAACATCCTCTGAAGTCTTAGGGGACAGATACTATTAAACCCATTTTACAGATGTAGACACCAAGGCACGGACGGGTTAAGTGACTTGGCCACTAACTGAAATCTTCGCCATGAGCAAGTCCGGACCAGACCCAGGTCTTGTTTCCTTCTGTTGTCTTCACTCATCAGACCGTCCTGGACTTTGAAAGCCCATCATCATGAAAGGCTTAGAGTTTCCCACAGCTTGGCCTGGGGAGCCCAGATGCTGCTGCCATTTGCGTGCAGGGAAGGCTGCTGGGCCAGGAGGCTGCAGAGGCGAGCAAAGGGCAAGGAGGAAGTTGTGGCTGAGGTTCCCGGGATGAAAAGATCCCCACGGAGAGCTCCATGGGCTGGGACAGCAATGCAAGGACCCAAGTGCCCCACAACTCACTCTGGTACAGCTGACACCAAGCCACACCCGCCGGATTACAGGGGAATCTTTTACTCCCTGCCAGCCCCAGGGGCCAATGGCGTCTTCCTTGAGCATCCGGGCAAAGCCCTGCCTCGGGCCTTTGCACCAGCCAGTGGTTCTCAGGTGGGGCCCCAGGCCAGCTGCAGCAGCAGCATCTGTGATGTTGGAAATGCAGGTTTTCTGCCCCCACCTCAGACCCACTGAATTAGAAACTCCACCTTACATGCCCTCCAGGGGCTTCTGATGCACCCTGGAGATCTCTGCCTAGAATGTTCCTCCCGGATACCCTGGCCAACTGCCTCCCCTCCTTCCAGGCTTTGCTCACTTCTCACCTTCTCGGAGAGGCCTCTTCTGAGCCAGCCGATTTCTTGCATTCTCAGCCCTGCCCTCCCAGCTCTCCTGCCTGCCCAGTGGCTCGTGTGGCCTGCATTGTGTCTACTGGATGCATCGTCTGTCTCCCCCGTGAAACATAAACTCAAGTAAACGGCTCTTTTTGCTGAGTCAACTGCAGAGTGCTCGATAAGTAGTGCTTGCAGGAACTGTGACTTCTGGCTCAGGTTGATAGACGGGCGAATGAGGAGTAGCAGCAAGTGTTCGGGTGGGTGGGATGGGGTGGATGAGTTTTGCTTTGAGCATGTGGAACTCAAGGTGCCAGCGGCCACCCAGATGAAAGGCCCAGAGGCTATCTGGGAGGCAGCTCTGGGACACTGAAGAGAGGTGACACTATGGAAGGAAGAGTGACAGGCTTAAAGAAGACATCCTGGAGCATGTTAACACCTGCGTGGGTGAGGATGAGGAGTCGGCAGAGACCAAGGAGGCCGAGGACAAGAGGGAAATGGAGGCCGTGTCGAAGCTCCCAGGGAGGCTAGCAAGGCTGGAGATCAGGAGATGAGCTTCCTCTCCCACGAGCTTGAGTGGTGAGTGGAGGGGACTGGAGGTGGGTCCCAGCAAGGAAAGGGGTGATGTGCAGAGGGAAATGGGGACAGAGAAGGGAGCGCCAGGAGAAATCAGAGCAGTTCTGCAGAACCCTGGAAGGCAGACCTAGCAAGGGCAGGAGGAAGCTAGGGAAAGGGCGGGGAGGGAGGTTTTGATTCTCCAAATCTCAACTCACAATGAGATCATCTGAAATGGGAGAGAAGGCAACTCGGGAAATCCAATCAGGTAGGCGTCTCAGCCAGTTCAACTAGAAGATCCCTCAAATCCTGAGAGGCTGAGATTCGTGATTTTGTCCTACATTGGAAAGAAACCTAAGGCTACCAGAAAAATATAGTTGGCCTCCCTCCACCCTACCGCTTTGAAGTTCCATCTGGGTTTACAGAATAGTCACAAACAGGGTCTGCAACTGACAACAGTGAGAGAATAATAACTTCCTCGTGCATTAAGATGTGCATCTGGGACTCCCATTGGGCAGGATGCCCAGGGAGTGGGGAGGGTTCCACCCCCTGCAGGGAGCTGCACACCCGGAGCCCGCACCAGCATGGTGACCTGTGTCCCTCCTGACACTCCTGCCTCAGGCCGTCCTATCTCCAAGGGTAAGGACTGACATTTTCTTAGAAGTTTCCATTCACCCAGTATGTGCTCATGGGGAACAACAGATGTTTTGAGTAGGAGGCAGCATGCTGGCCAAAATAGTTCTTTCAAATATTAACTGTCAGATTTGTTATTGCATTAATTTTGGAAAATGTACACGTTAATAAAAAAAAATTGTAAGATAAAAATTTTCAGGACTGAAAATTTCCCCACGTTCAAAGAGATGTGTAATGTCCTAAATCAAGCTACTATAATTATAAATGGTTAATATAAGGAAACTCCAAATAAAGGCAATTACACTATTTCCCAAGGGGAAGAAAAAAAATTATGCCAACTTGTATATATAAACTTTTTAGGGATGTCAAAGAAATAAGCAAATATTTACTCACGGTATTTATTTATACATACACTTTAAAAATCACGTATTCTAACACTTTGCTGTTTCCTTCCAAAGTTTTGAATAGAATTCAGTTGCTCCAAGACACACATTCATTTACATGTGGGTTTTTTTTCTTTACTAAAATACATTTACTTTTAGTATTCTCAAGTGCAAAAGAGAGTTGAATCTTCTATTGCATATGAAATGGAGACTAGTCTTCCACAAAGAGTAAAATGAAGTTTTGTAATGGCCATCATCTGTAATTGCTTACAATGACAGCATAAACTCTAGGATTTTGTTTTAACTTCATGGCTACATGGGTAAAGTTAGGTTTGAAAATCATTTCAAAAACAAAATTTATCAAACAAAAAACCTGGACAGGTTTTTATTTTTTATTTTTTTGAGATGGAGTTTTGCTCTGTTGCCCAGGCTGGAGTGCAGTGGCGCGATCTTGGCTCACTGCAACCTCTGCCTCCCAGGTTCAGGTGATTCTCCTGCCTCAGTCTCCTGAGTAGCTGGAACTATAGGCACCTGCCACCACATCTGGCTAATTTTTTTGTATTTTTAGTAGAGATGGGGTTTCACCATGTTGACCAGGCTAGTCTTGAACTCCTGGCCTCAAGCGATCTGCCTGTCTCAGCCTCCCAAAGTGCTGGGATTACAGGCGTGAGCCACTGCACCAGGCCCTGGATAGGTTTTTAACACATTGAAAGTTTTCCTTAGAAAGAACCACAAAATCTTTTAAATTTTCCTAAAAAACCCTATAACTATTCCATAAAATATATTTTGTACTTAATTTATGCTGAAAATAGAGCTTTGAAAAAAATAATTAAAAACTCATCTCGTGTCTTCAGTCAAAAAAAATTCTCATAAAACTCCAGCAAAACGTTTCATTACACAATTTATCACATTACAATAGGAAGAATTACACATTTGGGGGACACATTTCAGTATGGGCTTTGTCAACATACTCCTGCAAGAATGCCATCAGTTGATTAGGGTAGTAGGCAGTGATTCTCAACTCGGGGTTGGAGCCCTCATTAGTGGGTGGTGGAACCATAGTAATGGGTGTGAACTTTTTTGGGGGGAGGTGTAAAGGAACTAGAGCAGGACTGGATAGAAAAATAACAGCGTCCTTTGTATGATGCAAGATAACAATTTTCTAATACCTTTGATGTACGTGTATTCTGCACCATGATGTCAAATGGATTTCTTACTGTGGGACAAAGTAAAAAAAACATTGAGGGAGGCTGAAGCACAAGAATCACTTGAACCCGGGAGGCGGAGGTTGCAGTGAGCCAAGATCGCGTCACTGCACCCCAGCCTGGGCGACAGAGTGAGACACTGTCTCAAAAAAAAAAAAAAAAAAAAAAAAAAATTTTGCCAGGCGAGGTGGCCCACGCCTGTAATCCTAGCACTTTGGGAGGCTGAGGCGGGTGGATCACGAGGTCAGGAGATTGAAACCATCTTGGCCAACATGGTGAAACCCTGTCTCTACTAAATATACGAAAACATTAGCTGGGCGTGGTGATGCATGCCTGTAGGCCCAACTACTCGGGAGGCTGAGGCAGGAGAATTACTTGAACCTGGGAAGCAGAGGTTGCAGTGAGCCAAGATTGTGCCACTGCACTCCAACCTGGTGACAGAGTGAGACTCCATCAAAAAAAAAAAAAAAAAAAAAAAAAAAAGAGAAAAAAGAGATAGAATTTTGGAAACCCAGAGAGGCCATAACAGGGAAAAGAAAAAGCAGGCCAGGTGCGGTGGCTCACACTTGTAATCCTAGCACTTTGGGAGGCCAAGGTGGGTAGACTGCCTGAGCTCAGGAGTTCGAGACCAGCCTGGGCAACAACAGTGAAACCCCATCTCTACTAAAATACAAAAAATTAGCTGGTCATGGCAGCGTGTGCCTGTAATCCCAGCTACTCAGGAGGCTGAGACAGGAGAATCACTTGAACCCGGGAGGTGGAGGTTGCAGTGAGCCGAGATTGTGCCACTGTACTCCAGCCTGGGCAACAGAGCGAGACTCCATCTCAAAAAAAAGAAAAAGAAGAAAAAGAAGAAACCGGGTTTCTCAACTCCATGTCCTGTGCTTTTCTGACTCTGCAAGAGCCAAGAGGTGTCTTCCTAGGATGGTCACAGGGAGGTAATTCCCCCAGCATGGAGGGTCTGAGTCAAGGGTAAGCTCTGTGCAAGGTGTATGGCGGGGCGGGAGAAGGTTACCTTGCCCATAACCTTGCTGCTTACTCCGGTGAGAAAAGAGAAGCAATCAGAAGAGCATGTCCACCTGCTCCCCTCACTGCCTCTGCCTACCCACCCGCCTACCTATCTACATTTGCCAAGTACTCCGCCAGCCCTCTCCCTATGATCTGCCGTGTTTCTGTAGGCCTGAGCTCTACATATGCACTACATCCCATTCCCTTTGGCTAGCCGTAGTTTAAAAGTATGTCCACAAATTCCTTCTGAAGTTGCCAAATCTAACAAATAAAAATACAGGTCATACATTAACTTTGAGTTTCAGATAAAGTCATTATTTAGTGTAAGAATTCCCTATGCAATATTTGGAATACACCTATACTAATAAGCCTTTGTTTATCTTTATTTGGATGTCTGGCCACCCTACTTTGTACTTAGTGACTCCCTTCTAACAAATCAGAGTAAGGGATGACATGCAACTTCTAATACTAGGTCACAAAAGACACTGTGGTTCCCATCTTAGTCTCTTGCTCTCTTGGATGGCTTGCTCTGGGGGAAGTCAGCCATGCTGTGAGGACATTCAAGCAGCCCTGTGGAGAGGCCATGTGGCAAGGAACAATGGCCGCCTGCCAAAAGCCATGTGTGGAAGCTTGGAAGAGGGTTCTTCTAGCCCCGGACAAGCTTTTAGATGACTGTACCCTCAGGAGGAACTTGGACAGAATCACCCTGCTAAGCTGGATTCCTGATCGACTGAAACTGTGAGCTAACTTGCTTTTAATTTTTAAACCTCTAAGTAGTGGGTAGTTTGTTATGCAGCGACAGAGCACCACCACACGGACTTCCTGACATCACTCCAGGAGCTGCCCTCTGTCTGGCATCATCGCTTTCAGTCTTTCCTGATCATTCCCAGGGGCACACAGACAGGCTATAATATCTACCCTCTTAAAGAAAGCTCTCTCTTGATCTCAGATGTCCTATTTTCTGTTCCCCTGTATCAGCTGTTGTGCATAATCGCTATTTCTGATTCCTTTTCCCCATTCTCTCCTCAACTATTCCAATTAGGCTTTTCAGCATTCCCAGCCCCTCTCAAACAGCTGCAGTCAAAACATTTAATACCCCTCTTGTATTAAAGCCAGAGTTCAATCTTCAGGCTTCATCAAACTTGACCTAATTATTCATCTAATAAATATTGATAAGTAGCTACGAGGTGCCAGACATTGTTCTAGATGCTGGATACACAGCAATGAGCAAAACGCATCCAAACCCACATCCCTACCCTTACTAGGCTGCTATGGAAGGGAGTGGGGCTGGCGAATCAACCATAAACAAGTAAGCCACTATGAAGATTTATGAATGAAACAATAGGACGTCTGGGGATCAAATATTTCAAAATAATGGGACAATGGGTAGAAGTGAGGATGAAACAGGGTCAGCTACTGTTGACTACTGAAGCAGGTGCTGGGAATATGGAAGCACATTAAATTTGTCTCTACTTTGGTATATGTTAGACATTGTCCATAGTAGTCTTTTTAAAAAGCACATTGCATATCATCTCATCTGCAATCCAGGAGATGGGGTGTGACAATCTAAATAGCGTGGTCATGACCTCATGGGGTGGGTGAGAGAGTGACAGGAGATGGCTGGGGAAGAGCATTCCATGCAGAGGGAATCACAACTACAAAGGCCTTGGCTTAAGAGAATGCCTGAGTGTTCTAGAAATGACAGGGAGGCCAGCATGCAGAGGACGAGCGGACGGAGGGGAGAGCACTGGACAGGCCAGCCGGGGCCACGTGGTGCCTTGTGGGCTGCTATGGGGACATGGACTGTTACTCTGAGTAAGAACATGAACCACAGGGTGTTTCAAAAAGAGAAAAATGAAAAGCATTCAATCTAAAATAAGTCTGCAATTCCAGCTACTTGAGTGGCTGACGTGGGAGGAGCACTGGAGGCCAGGAGTTCAAGACCAGCCTGAGCGACATAGCAAGCCCGTCTCTAAAAACAATAAATAAATAAAAAAAAATAAAATGGCTCATGCCTGTAATCCCAGCACTTTGGGAGGCTGAGGGGGGAGGATCACTTGAGCCCTGGAGGTTGAGGCTGCAACGAGCTGTGATCATGCCACTGCACAGTAGCCCGGGCAACAGAGTGAGAACCTGTCCCCATATAAATAATACGTACATAATAAAATAAGCTGATTCTGGTCAAAACAGAATCCCTCATTACCTCCTCACCCCCAAACTTATTTCTGCTGTGGTTTTTGTGGTACCAGGCAAGGACAGTCCCACCTTTGGCATTGCTAAGGCCAAATATGTCAGAGCTATGCCTGGCTCCTCTCCTCCACATCCTGTCAATCCTACCTGCAAAACCTATTGGGGCTCTACCCTTGTTACCCCTGGGCCAGCCCCATCACCCACCCACGATGCTATGGCGCTTCCCAAGTGATCTCCTGCTTCTGCCCCAGCCCCACGCACCCCACCCTCTCCTGTAGCTGAAGAATAACACGGGGTTATTCGTAAGAGATGGGAAATCCATAGAAATGTCCCAGGAACTTTAATAATTTCAATTGTTGTACCATAAATGGTACTTAAGAGAATGTTATGAAAATTGTTTTTGTTACTTTATAACAAAAATGTTATAAAGTATTTGTTTCTGCTCTTCTGACAAATGAATAAAAAAGATGCTAAAACTCTATTCTAACTGGTGGAGTTAAAACTATCAAGCTCCATATAGTGAAAAAAAGAAAGAAAATGATAACCGAAATGACATTTCCATTGTTTTACTACATACAAATGCTTTGCAAAGTTACTACATTCATTTAAAAAATAACTTGGGTTATACTTACTATAGAAATGATTTTTATGGGTACACATGGTCATAAAGATGGAAATAACTGGCCGGGCATGGTGGCTCATGCCTGTAATCCCAGCACTTTGGGAGGCCGAGGCAGGTGGATCGCCTGAGGTCAAGAGTTCGAGACCAGTCTGGCCAACATGGTGAAACCTTGTTTCTACTAAAAATACAAAAATTAGCTGGGTATGGTGGTGGGTGCCTGTAGTCTCAGCTACTCAGGAGGCTGAGGCAGGAGAATCACTTGAACCCGGGAGGCGGAGGTTGCAGTGAGCTGAGATTGCACCATTGGACTCCAGCCTGGGTGACAGAACGAGACTCTGTCTCAAAAAAAAAAAAAAAAAAAGAAAGAAAAAGAAAAAAAAAGATGGAAATAACAGACACAGGGAACCCCAAAGGCTGGGAGGGTGGTAAGGGTTGAGGAACTGCCTACTGGATGCAGTGTCCACTATTTGGGTAACGGGTGCATTGGAAGCCCACTCCTCACCAGTGTGCAATATGCCCATCTCACAAACAAGCACGTGTCTCCTTGAATGTAAACTTTTTTTGAAAAAAGATTTTAAAAGGTTATTTCTTTAGATTTTTAGGTTGAACTGTATGTAGACAGAGAGTTAAATAAATTATGGGTCAGCCATGTAATGAAATACTCTATACAAAAGAATGAGGTAGATCACCCTACATATTAATATGTATAGACCTGGGAAAATATCTCTAATATATTGTTAGTTACAAAAATCAAGTTCAGGAACAGCATATATAGTGTGATCCCATTTGTATTATTAAAACAGATGTGTCTATCATTGTCTATAGAACAGAAAAATATCTAAAAAACATAACCTTACAGTGTTATGAGTTATCTATAGAAATGGTTTTGTGAGGAGCCATGAAACATGTCCCTTCGATAAAGCAATTCTTTTTCTTTTTTTTTTTCCTTTCTTTTTATTTTTTTTGAGACGGAGTCTCACTCTGTCGCCCAGGCTGGAGTGCGGTGGCGCAATCTCGGCTCACTGCAAGCTCTGCCTCCCAGGTTCACGCCATTCTCCTGCCTCAGTCTCCAGAGTAGCTGGGACTACAGGTGCCTGTCACCACACTCAGCTAATTTTTTGTATTTTTAGTAGAGACAGGGTTTCATTGTGTAATCCCAGCACTCTGGGAGGCCGAGGGGGGCAGATCACGAGGTCAGGAGATCGAGACCATCCTGGCTAACACGAGTAATTCTTTTTCAATGAAACTTTGTGTTCAAGGATAACAAGCACAGAGAAAGAGACATGAGTCGTGAGCAGCCCAGGAGTGATCAAAGTGCGCCCGTGGGAAAAGCCACCACCAGGTGAGGGAACAAGACCAAACAGGATCCCCCATCACGTCCCTCCCAGCCATGTTCCCCCCTCTCTCCAAAGCCACCATTATCCTAACTGCTGAGCACAAACTTGGAAACAAATAAACAAACTTGGGCCTTAGGTCTGGGGTGTCAGAGGCTGAGGGGATCTGGAGCAGGGGAAGGGGAGAAATGGCAGCCCAGGAACCCCCAGCTCAGTCCCGCTGTAAAAGCCATGCCCTCGGGGCCCCATCTGTGAGGAAATGCTTCTCGCACTGGCTCATGAACACCCCCAGCTGTGCGTGCCTGGGACAGAGACCCATGGGAAATGGCCATTTCCTAGGACTAGTGAGTAGTATATCACACACACGGAAAAATTATGGAGTAGAGTATGAAAGCTGAATAAAACTTGGAAACAGGAAACTTCGAAGACATGAAGGATTAGAGCAGGCACGCTGGGAATCAGCCCTGAAGAGGCAGGCCTGCGTTAAGGGCTGAATCGGTAGGAAAACTGGGGCAATGAGGGACGGGTCAGGCCTAGGAGGAGTACCCATATAGCTGTCGTCAGCGGACACTCCTTCTGTGTCCCTCAGACTCAGGGCAGTCCCTCCGCCTGCCCTTCAGCAACTCTCCAGAACAAAAGCCGAGGTCACCTCCCCTGCTCTTGAAAACCCTCAATGGTCAAGAAGCTTTGTCAAATCCTCATGAGCCTTGCACAGTGCCAGGTGCTGTACCTAATGTAAGTGCCTCATTTTACTCTAATAAAAACTAAGTATTAGGCTGATCTACAGGAGGAAATGAGATTCACAGAGATTAAGGCAACAGTCAAAAGACACAGAACTAGTAGGCAACAGACCTGGAATTCGACCCTGTGTCAGGGTGGTTCCAAATGCAAGCTCTTTCTACTAAACTGCCAGCCTCCCAGGTGCCCAGAAGTGATCCTGGCCCTCCTCCTCTACCCTGATGTCCTGACCTCCTGGTGTGCTGACAGTGCTGGGTGAACAGAGAGCACCGCTGCCTGTGGAATCTGGCCCTGCGGAATACCGGCTCCCCACAGAACCAGGAGGCCCTTCAAGAAGGAAGGAAAAGAGGGGCCTGGGAAAGCCAGGAGTAGACGTGACAGACCCTGACGTCAGGAAACAGGCCAAGGGCATAAACACCCAACCCCTGGGGACATTCCAGCCAGCAAAATGTCCCTCTCTAAATTTTTAAAACCCCCCATCCCTGAGGGAGGCAGCGTAGAAACAGAGAAGAGAAGGCAACAGGAAGCTGCAGCCACTTCCTTTGAGAAGAGGTGGACAGTGAGCAAGAGTTTAGGGGGAAAGAAGCTGAAAAAGGACAGTACCGGTCCAGGGGTTGGAACAGCTGGAGGACTCCCTGGTACCACAGCACAAATGGGGCTGGGTGCCCCAGGAACAAGAACATACACACATACCCCACCTTCCACACACCTTTTTTCTGTAAACAGACCTCATTTCTCGGACCACAGAAGTGGACACATGGCTGAGCTGTTCCCTGCCTTGGGAACAAGCCAATCTGCACAGAAGCAGAAGCAGCACAGAGAGCAGAGGCAGGGGGACGGGAAACACATAGGGAAAAGACAGCAGGGGAGGCCTGAAGAGAGAAGGAACAATGGTGAGACAGGAGGAGGAAGGGAGGGAGTAGGGGAAGGAGAGAGAGAGAAAGAGGGAAACAGAGATAGAGTGCGCATGTGCTAGCTGACTGACCGTGGAGCCATGGATCTAGGTGTTCCTGAGGCCAGTTCCATGTCCCAAGCATGGTGATGTAAATTAATGCATTCTGCCTCTCGGCTTATGCTATTCGAAATTAGGCTGTATCATTCACAGTCCAAAGAGTTACTATTTCAGTTGTATATAAAGAACCTTAAAAATCTATAAAGGCACCTCCAAAATCACATCAAAGCTGGAAAAACTAAGGAAACCAAAGTTGGTTCTCTTCTTTCTTTTTTTGAGACGCAGGTCTTGCTCTGTCGTCCAGGCTGGCCTCGACTTCTCAGGCTCAAGCAACCCACCTCAGCCTCAGTAGCTGGGACTACAAGTGCACACCACCGTTTGACTAATGAAAAAAAAATTTTCTTGGAGTCTTTCTCAAAGAAGCTATTCAAATGAAAGTATATTTATTTTTATAAATGTTTCCTCCAGTAAGTTTATGTTTGACTGTACTTAAGAAACAGGAAAAAAAAAAAACCTGTAATTAAACTTGTGCCAAGATTAACCAACAGCCTCTACTGCTTGTTTCCCATTATTACAGGTTGGGTATCCCTTATCTGAAATGCTTGGGACCAGAAGTCTTTTAGACTTTGGTTTTTTTGTGTGTTTTGGAATATCTGTATTATATTTACTAGTCAAGTATCCCAAATCTGAAAATCCAAAACCTGAAAAGCTCTAATGAGCATTTTCCTCCAATGTCATGTCAGTGCTTGATATGGTTTTGCTCTGTGTCCCCACACAAATCTCATGTCAAATTGTAATCTTCGGTGTTGGAGGAGGGGCCTGGAGGGAGGTGACTGAAACATGGGGGCAGACTTCCCCCTTGCTATTCTGTGTTAGTGAGTTCTTGGAGATCTGGTGTTTGAAAGTGTGCAGCATCTGCCCCTTTGCCCTCCTCCTCTGGCTCTAGCCACGCAGGACATACCTGCTTCCGCTTCACCTTCTGCCACGATTGTAAGCTTCCCAGGGCCTCCACAGCCATGCTTCCTGTACCACCTGTAGAACTGTGAGTCAATTAAACCTCTTTTCTTTACTTATAAATTACCCAGTTTCAGGTAGTTCTTTATAGCAGTGCAAGAACAGATAAATACAGTGCTCAAACAGTTTTAGATTTTCGGATTTGGGATGCTCTCAACCTGCACCATTAGATTATACTCTCTTGGTATAAATTATTTAAAAACAAATCCCAAACTAATACATAAACAAGCCGAACAAACCTATCAGCATAAACTTATAAACACAAACACAGGCAATACACAGACACCAGGTAAAACAGGGATGGTATTTCTGGATGGTTTAATCATGAATGGCGGTAGGCAGTGTAAGAAAAAAGTTCCTAGAGCATGATAAACCTTGGTTTCTGGCACAGGATAAACCTTTCATTTCATGGTGTACATTTCACAATATTAAAAAAACCCCAGCCTGGTTTTCATGATTAACGCCGTGGGGAAAGGACAATGTTTCCAGGGAGCAACGACTCGCAAGCACACCCCTGGGGCTGTGCGGTGGCCGTCGGCGGGGCCAGCTTCAAAGTCCAACCCACAAGGCACAGGTTTTCAAATCTTTACCTCTGTGTACAAGAACGTACATGAACTTTAAAAACGTGTGTTTCCTCGTCTGTGTTTAACACCCTAACGATGATCAGTTTGGGGGAGACGTACCCCTCCCTAATCACAGGTAGGACCACTTCCCAAATCAATGAAACGACCGTCCTCTTTTGTGTCTTGACTTCAGGTGTCCGGCCGAACGACGGAGTCTTTTCCTTTCTTGTCGATGCAGTTTCTCAGCCTCCTGTTGCTTCTTCTGCTGTTCAGACTAAAAGAGAAAATGAAATGAGTAGAGGGAAAGAGAGAAAATTCTATACCTCTTTTCTGGTAACCGTCAGGCTGCCAACAGTACCACCACCAATCTCAGAACTGCTGCCAGGAGAAATGCTGCCCACAGGCTCCAGGGGACATGGTGGGGCTGCCTGGACTCTGCTCTGACAAATGCTACCCTGGCAGAAACAGCAGGACCAAGGCCAACTTTTACCATCAATGCAAAAGCAGAAATTCTGAACCCCAGGCAAGAGAAGGGCCCTGACAGACCAGCCTCCTACAAAGTAGGAGACTGGTTTTTCAACCAACACACTCACACAACCACTGGGATGTTTTAAAAGAGCCTACACAAGAGCCACCTTAAGAAGATGATATCACTTAGAGTGTCCACTTCCTTTTAGAGATCTTTGTTTACAAACTAGAGCCATTAGTTTATTCCCACTGTTTTTAAAAACAAAAAATACTTAAATGTACTAAAAGTACGTTATTAAAGCATTCATTCACTAGAACTTGCTCCAAAGAATTTTTAGCTGTTTCCCAAAACTCCACTTCTCCTTAAAAGCAGCAAACTGCTCTCATTAATCACTGATAAAAGCCAGGCAGACGATGCACACGTTCACAGCTGCAATAACCATGTGGACTCTCGGGCTGACTGCTGGAAAGGTGCTCACATTTGTCCTCAATGCTCATTGGCTCACATGGGAGCTGGAACTCCTCCCTACCCCATCCCTGGCGCCAAATGGTTTAACTACTTTCAGCAGAAATTCTTAGAAGAGCATCAGTGCAGAATCCACAACAAAGGTTAAGAGTTACACGGTTTTAAAAACACATTTGATGGTTTTGAAAATACAAACTCCTGAAGGTAAAGCTCAAAAAAAAAAAAATTTCTTAGCGGTGGAACTGCACACATGGTAAACTGAGAAAGCACTGTCAGGGGCCTCAGTTGATAAAGCGGAAAAGCACCGTCTTATGGACACCCAGGGAACCTGCTTCTCTGGGATCTGTATTTTCTTTTTTTTTGAGATGGAGTCTTGCTCTGTTGCCAGGCTGGAGTGCAATGGTACAATCTCGACTCACTGCAACCTCTGCCTCCCGGATTCAAGCGATTCCCCTGCCTCAGCCTCCAGAGTAGCTGGGACTACAGGCACCCGCCACCACGCCCGGCTAATTTTTGTATTTTTAGTAGAGATGGGGTTTCACCATGTTGTCCAGGATGGTCTCGATCTCTTGACTTTGTGATCCACCCACCTTGGCCTCCTAAAGTGCTGGGATTACAGGCGTGCGCCACCGTGCCCAGCCAGGATCTGTATTTTCTACACACCTAACAAAACACATGCATCTGTGTGTTACCCTTGAGGAGAAAGTGTCCAGTGGATTCACCTCTTGTGGATATTACCCACTCTTCTAAAATTGAAGAGTTGCAAGTGAGAGAATAGCGGGGAAGGAAAGCAATTTGTAATGTCAAAAAAAAAAAAAAAAAGGATGCATTTCTCCCATTCTAATAAGTTCTTAAACCGGGTTTCTGCATAATTCTTAAGTCCCTTCTCTGACTATTACTATTCTTCAACTGTCTTTTCAAAGTAAATCCTGTCCTGTGTATTCTTCTGAAGTGCGTCCCAAACTCCTCCACTGTGCTCCGTCTCAAAGGGTCCCACCCAAGCCCAGGCTGCTGCCGCTCCTAAGCATGGCCACCACGGAGCTGCCTTCCTCGTGCTCTGCTTCCTTTCAAATATCCCTTGAGGCAACTCTCCATGCAGCAACCGGAAGGATTTAAAAAAAATAGAAATACTATGTCAGTTCAGTCCTGTGCTTACTGAAACTGTGCAAAGTTTGGTCCCTTACCAAACACTCTCACAGCCCTCTGCTCTCCTTTGAAGCACTTGCCGCAGTTCTAATGATATAATTAGAGGTGTATAATTTTTACCCGCTGTCTCTCTCTCCCAGTAGACTGAGAACTGTGGTGGCAAGAGCCATGTCTGTCCCTAGCATGCAGCACAGGGCAGGCATCAATACACATGCGTTAATGGAAAACTCAGAACTCCTTCTAACACTCCCTAGCTGAGCAAGTGATGACACCACCAGGAGCCCTGTAAAGTGAACCAACACCAGTTACTCAATATTTCGATTCTTCATGTTAATCAGGGTTTAGGTTTATTTAAAAAGGGTTTCTTCAGGCCAGATGTGGTGGCTTACACCTGTAATCCCAGCACTTTGGGAGGCTGAGATGGGCAGATCATGAGGTCAGGAGATCAAGATCATCCTGGCTAACACGGTGAAACCGTGTCTCTACTAAAAATACAAAAAATTAGCTGGGCATGGTGGCAGCTGCCTGTAGTCCCAGCTACTCGGGAGGCTGAGGCAGGAGAATGGCGTGAACCCGGGAGGTGGAGCGTGCATTGAGCAGAGATGGTGCCACTGCACTCCAGCCTGGGCAATAGAGCGAGACTCTGTCTCAAAAAAAAAAAAAAAAGGGTTTCTTCATATAATTTTGGAAAATCATGTGCTAAATACAGATAAACAAGGTGTGTGTGTTGGAGCTTCTAAGTTAAGGTACCTTCATAAGTCTTCAACATGGACATCAGTCCAAGGTTTTTCCCTTATCTGTCTGATGGCAAAAGTAATCTTCCAGAGTCACCATTTACATCTCCTGGAACACATTTTGGGAAGCTCTGCCAGACTTTCTCCACCAAGGTAGGAGCTTCAAGAGGAGCTTGTAAGCAGTGACTATTGTTCTGCAGACAAATTTCCATGCAGAAAAAGGACTATGACTAGCCTCTCTCCCAAGGCGGCATCTGGAAGGCCTTGCCGCCATGTGGCGGATTCAGGAGGATAGGATCTATGGGCCATTAGCGCTTCTCCTGGGTGCTTCTGCCTCCTCTTCCCGACTACTTCACCACAGCCTCCAGCACTCCTGTCACAGAGGGAGGAGGAGGACAGGTGCAAACAGGCACATTTGTATCAGCAACAGTCTCAGGCTTGATGAGGAACTGTACTAAATGGCATTTTAAAATTAGATTTGTGACTGAATCCCAGTTTTGCCACTATACAATTTTAAACGACATTAAAGCATGGATTTTCTCTCTTCAATTTTATTGAAATTTTAGGAGGTACATATGCAAACATAGGAAAAACTCAAGATTCTACCTGAGCATATCTAACCTGCAGTATAAAAAGAGACTTCTATGAACAACTGCCCGAATAAGTAAAGTTTACTGTAAACTAGAACTCAAGTAAAACTGAGATTTAATAATTAAAATGTCTGTCAAGTAAGGAAACACACACATCAAACATTAATTGACACAGTCCTCAAAACAGTTTCAAAGCCTCTGCTTGATTCAGTTATGAGGCCATTTAAAGCAATTCTTAATACTTTTTTTATAAACAAAAATATAATTTCAGAGCCATCTTATTTTCATTTTACTACAAATTTTAAACTGATCTTCAACTCAGTACCTCCCGATTTAGAAACAGTGGGAAAAGGCTTGTATTTTCATGTTACTGCAAGGTAGGTGCTCACTCAACCCAGCAGAGGGGCCTCTGCAGGAGCTGAGGTGGCTGTGCTGCAGACCTGGGATCCTTCCAGGCTGTGCTGCTCCTGCCCCATTTGACATCACTTGAGTTTCAGAGGGAATCAACGAATGTTTCCAGGTATAAAGAAAATTGATAAGAAATTAGGAACAGGCACAATGAGGTCCCTCTGAATGTGTATTTGGCTTACGTAAGTGATAAATGTAAGAGGGCAAATTTGCTCTCAGCAGACAGAATTAACTGAAAAGCTTTTTGCACTTAGAATAATGAAGTTTTTTATTACTTGGCAAGCCTCCTGGATGCACGTTGGGAAAATTTTAGAGAAATCAGAGATGAATGGGTACAGGATGTGATGAGGTAGTTCTCCAGAGATGACACACAAATGACCAATAAGCACATGATAAAATGCTCAACTCATTAGTCATTAGGGACCTGCAAATCAAACAACACACCACTCACACCCACTAGCATGGCTATAATAAAGATGACCGACAGAGACAGGTTTGGTGTGGATGTGGAAAACCTGCAACCCTCATACGCTGCTTGGTGGGAATGTAAAATGGTGCAGCCACTGTCAGAAAACAGTCTGACAGGTTTCTCAAAAAGTTAAATAGCTACACTAGCAATTCTGCTCCTAGGTATAGACCCAAGATAAATAAAAACACATGTTCATGCAAAAATTTATACATTCATTTTCACAGCCAATTATTAATCGCTTACCCCAAAAGAACACAACCCGTGTCCCTTAAAAAACGAATGAATAGCAAAATGTGTTATATACGTACAATGGTATATTATTGAGCCATAAAAAGAAATGCAATTCCAATGCAAGCTACACCACTGAATGAATAAACCTTGAAAACATTATGCTCAGTGAAAGAAGCCAGCTATGAAAGACTTCACATTGAATGATTCCATTTGTATGAAATGCCCGGAACAGGCAAAGCTATGGAGACAGGAAGTAGATTAGTGGTTGCCAGGGGCTGGCGGATGAAAAGATGGGGGTAAATGCTAAAGGGTATAGGGCTTCTTTCTGGGGTGATGAAAATGTTCTGGAATTACACAGTGTGATGGTTGCCCAACTCAGTGAATACACTAAGAACCACTGAATTGTACACTTTAAAAGGATGCATATGGTCTGTGAATTATATCTCAATTTTAAAAAAGAATAATCTCCCTACTACTGCTTAAGGAAAAAAAAAGGGATGAAATCTTTGTCATTCTGTTCTATTTGGTGACTATATTGAAGAGGACTGACTTTGAATGAGAAAAAAATTTTTTGAGAAATAAAACTGTATCCAGTTAACAGTAAATATTTAAGCAGCTTACTCCTCCTACAATGTGACAGGTATTATTACCACTGGCTAAAAAAAATGGATCTTATAAATCAATTTAGAATAGAATGACCACGGGCAGAGTAGTCTGTCTTCTAAAATGATAGTATCTGGGCAAGCTGGGTGTGACTGTCACAAGTTATCAGAACTCGCCAATTCCCGGTCTTCTTCAAAGTCCATATACATGCGAGGTAGCCCTACATCCTCAGAGGGTCAGGATGTAGTAGCCCTACATCTTTAGAGGGTCAGGATGGGACTTTTGCTTTATAAGCCGCACCTGAGGCTACAGAGCAATCCAGAAACCAAGACGGCTGGTTCATCTCCAACAGAGCTAACTCCAGGGCCACTAACTCCCTGTCTCCCTTGGAACACCAGTGACATTCCTGGCTCTGCTGCAGTCACACACTGTGCTCTTGGCCCACCAGGGGCTCTGGTTGCAAGGAAAATGTTAGAACAGGGAACACAGCTTCCTCAATAGGGGAAAAGCATTGAGAAGGCTGCTCTGAGGACACACACACAAACACTATTGAAAGGCTATTTTTCTTTTGTGAATTAAAAAATAACAATAAAAGACAACTCACCCTCTTTAACGTGAATGTCAATTGTTTGCTGCCAACGGTGGTGTCGGATACACTCAATGTCCCATTTTTTGCTTCAATTTTCAAACGATCTTCAAGGGTTTTGCTATGGGAAATTCAAAAGAATGCCACATTAATCAAAATTATGTTTTAATTTACCATTTGAAACAAGTTTTGATTAGAATTGATAGCGAAGAAAAATGTTTACACATGTAAACAGAAAATATCATTCATTTAACACAATAAATGGAAAGAATTAGGTGCATTCAAATAGTCATTATTCATATTCCAGAGATAGACTGTAAAACAATGGCTGGCAAAAACACCCACTAATTTAATATCTTAAGTGGCAGGACCAAACACTTCAATGCCTGCTACTTTTCTTACTAAAATCAATCATATTTCTGAAGACCAAATGCAAAGAGCAATCTACTCCTGAAGCCTGTAATTGATCATAATGGTCAATGGCATTTATGATATAATGATATATTTAAACAATACACAAATTAGGTATGTGAGTAATTTGGCCACTCGTCCACCTTTTACAAAGGAATGAGCACAAATTAAGTCCTCCAGGTCAAGCCACAGAGAAGAGCTATGATAATTCTCGTTTTTCCTTCACTCAGTCTTAACTCCGTAGACTGCAAGCCATCATCCCACAGCATGAACAGCTTGAAACATGAATCTGTCTGATGACGCTGAGAGAAAACAAAAGCAATTACACTTTGGGTAACTGTACCTGATTCAGCTCTAGCCACTGCTATCTCTCCAGGTACCTTTCCTTTTAGTTTCTTACTTGACTTACTCTTTCTGACATACTTTATTCCAAATTTAAATCTCATTTCATTTCTTGATCACATTTTCCAAATTTTTCTAGGCTCTCTTTATATAATCTGTGTCTCTGTTACAGTCTGCTGTGCCCTGCATTTCACTGTCATCTGTGTAATTAACACAATCCCCCTCTGCTTTCCAATAAAGAGGTTAAGTTTGAATTTTGTACCCATTATAAAATGAAACTTCACTGCAAGTTATAATGTTTTATTATAAACTAGAACACTGGCCCTTTTTGTTAACTTGGTTTAGAGGGAAATAAACTGAATTAAGCCTAATGATATATATTTTCAGTAAGTTTAAACAGTTACTCTAACTTTTCTAGAAATGGCTAAAGCAATAGATTCCTATCCCCCTGATAAGATTGAGAGAGATGCGAGGGAAGACAAAGAATATGGTTCTCTTCTATTCTGTTCCCTCCTCAAAAATAGTATACTGTCTCCTGTCCTCCCTGCCCCAGATCAAATTCAATGCAGCCCTTTAAAGTGATGGCTAAGAAACCTGACTGAAGAAAGAAAAAGGCTGAACTGTGTGAAAGAGTCTTTTTTTCCCTGAAATATGATCTTTGTAACTAATTACTGAGAGCACAGCTCCTAAATGATCCTTAAGACAAAGTGATGCTTCTTTGAAATTCTGAAGCTAATGTTTGATGCTCACACCATGTGAAATTTATCTCTAGTTTACAACTCGTAGTAATGTACTAAACATACCTTCTTTATATAATTTGAGACATAAAGTGGTTAGCATAAAAGTGGCACTCTTTTCTAAGCAATAATGTTATTAAGAAGCACTTTTAAAGTACTTTTCATCTTCAAAGTTATTTATAGACTAACTAATTAATCCTTTCAACATCCCTGAGACAGAAGTATTTATCCTTTATAGATGGCAAAAAAGGGAGGTAAGATGTGAAATGACTTGCTGCAGGCCACGTAAGGATTCAGTTCTAAGCAGGATTCCAATTTCAGAATTGCTGGTTTCCAGGCAAGTGTCAGGCCATACTTGATTTACACAGTTTTGTTCAGGAAACTTGTCCATTAAGTATTCTCAATGACAAGCTTCCACATGACAAACGGAATGAAATGAAGATTTCGGTTAGCTTTTTTTTTTTTTTTCCGAACAATTCAAAAGTGAAGTGTAAACGGACTCTGGCATGCATGTGAATTATGTGAGCCTCAGCAAATCCCTCAACCTGTTCATGTCATTCTTCTTCTTTCTTTTCATAGCTATAAACTCTGAGGTTTCAAAGTTAACAGGGCTGCTGTGCCTATGGAGTAGCCATTCTTTTATTCCTTTACTTTCTTAATAAACTTGCTTTCACTTAAAAAAAAAAGTTAACAGGAATTCTGAATAACTATGGAACCACTGAGAGAAGATGGTATACAGAAAACACTAATTTAGGAAGAAAAAGACTTTGCCAGTAAATTGTGAGCAATTATTACTCTGTTAAGAATGACCTTACTTCCTCCATGATAGGGCATACACATTCTGGGGTTTCTCTCAATGTACTTTCAATGTGCACTTGTAAAAACTTGTTCTGTCTAGGCTATTTGGAAAGACAAGCTGAGTTTTGGAACAAACCATGGCAGAAGATCAGACACAGACAGAGACCGTGTGTGGAGGTTTCTACATTAAAGAAGTTCCACTTCCCTCCCTTTGAAAGTCAGTTTACTGAAAGCGTTTGCTAACCCAGCAGTTCCACAGCCTGCTTCTTGAGTGTGACTTCGGTCAGAGATGACCTAAGTAGACACTGCTGTAGGAACACCTGAAAATTCCTTATTGAACAGAAAAACAAAAGGCAGAACACCACACTGCATGCGCTTCTCAGCATGTTTCTTCCAGGACACTGGCAGGTGGCAGAGGAGGATGGCAGAATTGGCCTTTCCCTCCCCCTCCTCTCCCCTCCCCCGCTCCCTGCCCCGCCCCTGCTTCTTTTCCCTGCCTAGGCTTTACTTTAGGTCTGACAGCCATGGGGGACTTTTTCACTGGTGTATAGTAAAGGATTCTAGGGGAAAATCTAATTGGAACAAGCAGATAAAAACAATCCCCAAACTTGTGATTGCTAAGAAAATAGATACAGGCTTTACAATGTTGAAAGTGGGTAGAATTACTCAGTGTAGAATGCAGAAGGCTCCCAGGGGAAGAACCTAAATTATTAGTAAATTTATCTTAAAATAAAAAGGAAAGTGGGCAGAAACTACTAGGAAGAAAATCAAATTAAATATTTAGATGCACCAGGGAGGCTAATTTACTTTGGGGTTTTAAAATACGAACACACGCGCACACACACATATTTAATTAAAACTCAATGCTCCTCAGATGAGAGGTTTTGAATCCCGCTGCATGGAAGGGGCGGTGTGGGGGTGGAGGTCATATTCATAAAGGCATGTGCTTCAGGACAAAATTGAGAAGAGTTAATTAACTCTAATTAAAGGAGCCCTCACTCCATAGTCTACACCGGAGGGAATAAACTAGAAAATGGAGAAAGAGAATCCACAGATAAAGGATTAAGTATTTTTTAAATTTAATTTTAAGTACTTTGCTTTAAATAACTACCTTTGACAAATATTTACATATGCCATAAGGTTTAGTAAAAACTTTATTTGAATGCTTTCCGTTTCCATGTGTTGCTTCAAAGGCCCTATTTCAAGAGACTTAAACTCAGGCAACCACGAAATCTGATGCCTCATCTATAGGCATAACGAAGATGTAAAAGATTCTTAATATCCGGCGTTGCTGGAGTGTGGGGAAACAGGCGCTCTGGCCAGAGTGCAAAGTGCTCAAGCCTTTTTGGAGGGTGATCTGGCAGTCTCTTATCGCATACCCCCGCTGATCCAGCAAACTCCTACTAGGAATACGCTTTAAAGAAATACTTGTCCGTGTGCATACACACATTTGCGACTGTGAAAGGGGAAAGAGAAAAAGCAGCAACCTCAACACCCATCGTCAGAGAACAACATACATCCCAGCACACCCACCTTATGAAGTATTTATGCAGCCAGAAGGTAAGCCTACTGTACGTACAAAGAAACGTTTCCAAGACTTGCTGCTAAACAAAAAGAGCAAGTTAAAACAGTATAATTAGGCTGGGCACAGTGGCTCATGCCTGCAATTCCAGCATTTTGGGAGGCTGAGGCAGGAGGATGTTGTGAGGCCAGAAGTTCAACACCAGTCTGGGCAACAAAATGAGACCCCATCTGGACAAAAAATTTAACAATTAGCCGCATGTGGTGGCCTGTAGTCGCAGCTACTCAGGAGGGTGAGGTGGGAGGATCATTTGAGCCCAGCAGGTCGAGGCTGCAGTGAACCATGATTGCGCCTCTGCACTCCAGCCTGGGCGACAGTGTGAGACCCATCTCAAAAAATAACATGAGGAGTATGAACCATTCATGTTAAAGAAAAAAAGCTACAGGTATAGATGTGTGAGTGTGAACACATACGGGAATGAATGCATTTTTTAAAAGAGAGAAGTGTGGTGCACACACAGCCATGACCTCAGGGAGGGAGGTGGGGGACAGGAGAGGCTTTAACCTTCAGCCCACACTCTTAAGTGTTACAATGATAACATGCCTACATAGTACTGAGGACGTATTCCTTGAGTAATACAAGATTCTCTTTTTAAAAATGTAAGCCTGGAATTTAATTACTTTCCAGATTAGATTTTTAAATGCTTATATTAAAACAAAGCTGCATTACCTCAGCTCTTATCCACTATCAGAGGAATGTGAGCTGAAGAGTAAAAACATGCCATATTAATTCACAAAGTGGATAATGTTGCAGACACGATAAAAAGCTCACCCAAAGCTACCAAGCTACCCGGTGAAGAAGATGAGCTCCCCAAAGGCAGGGACTGTCTTAAACATCTTTGAATTTCTAGGACCTACCACAGGGCAGGTACTTCAAAGAATGCTTTCATAAATGGAACTGAAAGGCTGCCTGGCAGCTAATATTGACTACCCAAGGAGAGAAGTTATCCCCATCTACTGAAACGTGGAGAGTTTTCATTCTAAGGACTCTCTTTCTCCACTGTTCACCAACACACACAGCTCCACTCCTATACCTTGCAGGTCATGGCTGCTCCAGATACCAGAAAAGGCTGATGTGCCCAGATTCCTGAGGCCAACAAGCATGGCCTTCCCAATCTTTCTACCTCTAACCAGAATGATGTCCCCTATGTTCACGCATCTGGACTTCTTTCCTCCATGTCTCTGAGGATGCATACCTTGTCTTTTCTGAGGCTCTCCTTACCTGGTACTCGGGCCCACTGCCACCCAGTTCCTTACCAGATGCCACTTTATCAACTGACTCAATTCTCTCCATTCCTTACTACCCACTTTCTGTGGCTGAGTCTTCTCTGCCTACTAACAAATCACATCTCTCAAGTCTATAAACCGCTTTCCATCAAGTTATTGGCTTTCATCCCTTTCTTTCACTACCAAACTTCTTGAAAGACTCACCGACACTAACTGTTTACTGTGTTTTCTATCTCCCAGTCACTTGTGTCTCTATTGCAGTTGGCCACTTGGCAGGACTGAGAAACGAGTGCCAGTGAGGCCATCCGCATACTGGCCTTTTCCCAGCCTTCATTCCTGGGCCTCTCTACTCCGATGGGTGTCAGGACCACTCCCTTCCCTGAGACACGCTCCAGGTTTGGCCCTTTCCAGTTTTCCTCTCAGCTTGTTGACAACTCCAGTATCTTTACTGTCCATCTTCTCCTCTGTCTGCTTTCTAACAGAATTTTTAGTTCTAGGCAATCAGTACATCTGTGAATTCTCTAAAATTCTATGTAAATACATCACAGGCATTTGTATTTTTCTCTAGAGAGGTGTATGGTATGGATTTTATCACAGATTCAAGTAAAATATTTGTTTTTCCCCAAGCTTCCATTCTTAGCCCTAATCTTACTTTATACAATGACGCTAAATCTCTTTTCATTCGTGATCTTGACCACACAATAAACGCTGGTATCTCTCAAACTGACATCTCCAGCCTCCTCTTCCTGGGCCCGATGGACACTGCCATTGGTTTACTGAATGTGACACAGAAGACGCATGGGCTCCTTTATTTAATGTGCACAAAACCCAGCTCATTACTTTTAGCCTTAAACCTATTTTGCATTCTGTATTTTTTACCTCAATGGCAACATTACTAGACATCTCTACGTCATCCCTGACTATTCCCTTCTCCTTTGATATTATTAGGAACTGATGGTGGAGTTTGTGCTCCTTTTTCTTTCTCACTCTTAGTCTTCTGGTCTGTCTGCTCCTCTCCACCCCATCGTTCAGGCCTGTGGCCCTTCTAACTGGGATGATTCTAATGGTTTGAGAGCTGGTCTCTGGGTGTCCAGGTTCTCCGCACATTGTCTTTCTAAAATGGAGATATTCTGCTAATGGGTTTCTGGGAATAGGGACTTTTTATGCCTATGTTTTTATTTGCTACAACAAACATGCACTGCTTTTATTACAAAAGTATTTACAACACTAGGGGAGGGGTTGGAATAGATTGGATCCCATTCATCTAAGCTGTAAGATCGTGGCTTTCCAGTGCTTGCTCGGCTACCCCTTCAGGCACCCCATGCTCTGGCTGTAGGAAGGCACCCCCAACCCTTCGCATGGCCTGCCTGTGGCTGCACCGTGCCTCTGCCAGGAATGCTATCTTTCCCACCAGCCCTGAATGCTCCACTCTGCATCTTTCCACAACCAGTTTCCATATGATTTCAAGGCTCCCCAAATTCAGCTCCTTCCTTCTTATGCTCCTTTCCCATGAGCGCTTCAGGTACGCAGGCCATGTCGTTCTTCCCATCCCCTGGGTCTAGAATGCTGGTATGCTCGCACTGAGCAGTTGATAAATGCTTGATGAATGAATGGGTGGTGGAGAGGCTGATAAGTGGATGAACAGACTCACAAACAAAGTTAGCCCACTGTAAGGCATAAAAATATGTGTCAACAGACACACGTGTTTATCTAAAGCCATATGACCACACCAAGCAACGCAGACAGCTCACTCAAGTCTCCAGCTACCATTCACGATCCACCTTTCCCTTTATAGAAACATTTTAAAGCTAGGCAAGTCCAAGTGAACATTTAAATATAACACATTCAATCTGATGTTGTCTCTTGTTGACTGGCTTGCGGTAACTTGCAGAATAAACATACAGAGTCACTTTAGTTCTCTGAAGGATCGTGGTTTAATGCTTCACCAAATACTCATGTAAATATTATCACTTATATAGTTCTCAAAAAGGATGTTTAACTTAGTGATATTTAACTTAGTAAGAATGTTTAACTTGGTGATATTTAACTTAGTAAGAATGTTTAACTTGGTTATATTTAACTTAGTAAGAATGTTTAACTTGGTGATATTTAACTTAGAATGTTTAACTGCAGTTTATTCACCTCGCTATGGGTTATTCTTAGATACAAATTTTTATCCTCTTTGTTTTATACCTCCATATCCTACTACAGCCCCCAGGCAAAAGGAAGAATGTTAGAGAGATTAGTCAGACCGCCTACCCCCAAATCACAGCCTCCTGTTGCTGTGGTTACACTCAAAACAACTGCTCCCAGATTTTCCTGGTCAATGGCTATGGGGAAAAGGAGTCCTTTCTCAGCAGATCTTGAAGGAGTAACTTCTGAGTTGCCTGATGTGTTGTCATGGCAAAAAAGATTCACAGTTTCAGCAAGTATTTCTCAAGTGCCCACTCTATTCTAAGTACTTATTCAAGAGCCAGAGATAAAGCAGTAAATAGAGCAAGACAAAAACAGCATATACTCAACAAATAAACTTACTCCACAGAACCAGAACAGCACAAACCAAGCAGGACTCCCAGTAAAACACCTACACATAACAGCTGTATAAAAAGTGAGGCTGCACACGCTGCTGGAGAATGTAAAATGGCACAGCCTGTGGACAAGTTTGCCGGTTTCTGAAAAGGCTAAACATAGAGTTACTATATGACCAGCAATTTCTTCCAATTCTTGCACATAGATGAAAACATATGCAAAACACATGTAAAACTGTATAAACCAATGTTCATAGCAGCATTATTCATAATAGCCAAAAAGTGGAAACTACCCAGATGTCCATTAACTGACGAAGGGATATAAACTGGTCTATACATACACTGGAATATTACTTGGTAATAAAAACAAATGGAGTGGAGTTGTCCCTTGGTATCCGCTGGGGAATTGGTTCCAGGACCTCCCTTGGATACTAAAATCCATGGATGCTCAAGTTGTATAAAATGGTGTGGTTATTTCCATATAACCTGTGCACACCCTCTCCTATATGTTAAATTATCTGTAGATTACTTATAATACCTAATACAATGTAAATGCTACATGCATAGTTGTTATACTATTGTTTAGGGAATAAAGTCAAGAAAAAAGTCTGTACACGTTCAGTACAGTTACAAATTTTTTCTGAATATTTTCAGCCCATATTGGTTGAATTTATGGATAAGGAACCCTTGGATACAGAGGGCTGACTACACCGATAGATGCTACAACACGGATGAACATTAAAGACACTGTGCTAAGGGAAAGAGGCCAGCCACAAAGGGCCACACATTATACAGTTCCCTTTACATGAGATGTCAGAATAGGCAAATCGATAGAGACAGAAAAGTAAACTAGTGGCTGCCTCAGGATGGGAGATGGGGTAGGGTAAATGTGGGGTGACTGCCCATAAGGCGTGGGGTTTCTTTTTGGGGTGATGACAATGTTCTAAAATTAAGGTGATAGTTCCAGAACTCTGTGAATATACTAAACACCAGTGAACTGCATGCTTTAAGCAGATGAATTGTATGTTACATTACTAACAACCAGTGAACTGCATGCTTTAAGCAGATGAATTGTATGCTACATTACTAACAACCAGTGAACTGCATGCTTTAAGCAGATGAATTGTATGTTACATTACTAACAACCAGTGAACTGCATGCTTTAAGCAGATGAATTGTATGTTACATAAATTATATCTCAAGAAAGTGGTTATTTTAAAAAGTGAGGTTGGTCAGTAAAGAAAACACCTTCAAAAGATACCAAGAACATTATAGTTGGCCCTTGAATGACATGGGTTTGAACTGCACTGCTCCACTTACACGCAGTTTTTCCAATAAAAGTTAACACCATTACTCGCCTCCCCTGCCTCCCTTCCACTTCCTCCTCTTCTGACTCTGCCTTCCGAGACAGGAAGACCAATCCCTCCTCTTCTTCCTCTTCAGACCACTCAACATGAAGACAACAAGGATGAAGACCTTTACAATGATCCTCTCCTACCTAATGAATAAATATATTTTCCTTTCCTTATGATTTTCTTAATAACATTTGCTTTTCTCCAGCTTATCTTATTGTATGAGTACAGTATACAATACATAGAACATACAAAATATGTGGTAATTGACCCCTGACTGTTAAAAATTCTGGTTACCAGTAGGCTATTAGTAGTAAAGTTTTTGGGGATATTCTAGGTTCTCAGTCACCAAGAAGGTTTAAAAAAAAAATGAAGTTTTCAGGAAATCAAAAGTTGTATGTGTTAGGTCTAGACTTTCTAGTGAAAATAAATAACACAAAAAGTTAAATGTATATATATATACATATATATATACATATATATACATATATATACATATATATACACATATATATACATATATATACATATATATACATATATACACATATATATACATATATACACATATATACACATATATATACACATATATATACACATATATATACACATATATATATACATATATATACATATATATATACATACATATATATATATACACATATATATATATATATTTTTTTTTTTTTTGAGATGGAGTCTAGTTCTGTTGCCAGACTGGAGTGCAGTGGCGTGATCTCAGCTCACTGCAACCTCTGCCTCCCGGGTCCAAGCAATTCTCCTGCCTCAGCCTCCTGAGTAGCTGGGACTACAGGCACGTGCCGCCACACCCAGCTAAGTTTTATATTTTTAGTAGAGACGGGGTTTCACCATGTTGGCCAGGATGGTCTCCATCTCCTGACCTCATGATCTGCCCCCCCCTTGGCCTCCCAAAGTGCTAGGATTACAGGCGTGAGCCACCGTGCCCGGCCTAAATGCACATTTTTTACTTTGCAGGGGGTTGGCACTCCTAGCCCTCGAGTTGTTCAAGGGTCAACTCTACTAGCTTCTTTATTCATGGACATATCTTTAGTTAGTTCATCAGAACCAGAATTTTGAGGTGCTTCTGAATTCTAAATTCAAGGATTCACTACATCTGGTGTTGCAGATATTTGCTAGAAGCTGGTGAAATAAAGATGAATAAAACATATCTCAACCCCAGAAACAATTCCACCTGTTCACTGATGTCCTCCCCACCCTTTTCCTCCTCCCACTTCGGAGAAAACACCTTCTCCTGCACGGAGAGCTGGGAGCTGGAGAAGTACAAGGTACAGAAATGTACTGACCCCAGCCTAACACCTTGTCTATTCTGCCCACTCCTCTTGCTCCACCTCAAGACTGCTCCCTTGGCTCCCCAGACATTCCACTATTCTTTTAAGACATCTCCTGTGACCGTCTATCATATTCCAATCTTGTGCATCAATACTTTGCCTAGGAATTCTCAAAGCAGAGACTTGCATAATTTAGAGTTTACATACAACTTGGGCTTGACACCTAGCTTGTTCCTGACTCAGACTCCTGACAACTGAAAATTATTCAAATAAAACTACCTTTTTTGGGGAAGGTTAATTTTTTTGGAAGGGTGGTAAATATTTATAACATAAAACTTACCATTTTAACCATTTTTAAGTAGACAGTTCAGCAGCATTAAGTACATTCACACTGTTGTACAACCACCACTACCAACTATTTCCAGAACATTTTCATAATCCAACCTGAAACTCTGTACCCATGAAACACTCGGCAACCACCATTCTACTTTCTGCCTCTTTCTACATATTTGCCTATTCTAGAATACTACTCTTTTCGATCTCTCAATTTTCCTGAAAAAGACTTAAAATTTCTGGCAAATTTTCCAAGTAACCTTTTCAATAACCAGGTAAAGTGAGATGGGGTAAACATAACCGAGGTTCTAATTTTTTAAAATAACTTTGTGAAGAAGCAGAAAAGTTGTCATCTCCTAGCAACCACTGTCCAAAAGGCTTCAAACCACTGATCTGTAGGGCACAGAGTAAGTATTTGTAGGTGAGGGAACCCCATGGGGAAAAAACAAGGACAAGGAAAGTGTGTGGCTTCTGCAGCTTAAAAGTGTTCCACTGATACTCATAAGGCTCTCTCTACCCTGTATTTTACTGCATGTAAACTATACCTCAAAAAGTTGTGACAAATAAGTAAATCCCCTAGAGACCAATGTACTTCAATAGCGACGCTCCCCTCAGGCCTCCTGGGTGCTTCCCTCACATCACCTCCTGCACGGCCTTACCTCCCCTGCTTCCCTCGTCCCCTCCACCCTCTGCACCTCCATCATCCAAAGACAGAAATGTCATCTTTAGGGCAATGTGCCAGAGAGGAAAAGCAAGGGCTTGGTTACATGTCAACTGTGCGCTCAGGCAGTGCTACTCACTTCATCAGTTTCTGCTTTGTGGCAGAATCTTTGAAGCTTCTAAATTCTTCTCCTGCTTTGATCTCATAAAACTGGGGCTTTAGGACTGTCTGCTGGTCCTCCTTGAGTCGTTCCTGCCGCTTCACTTTTTCCTCCTGCTGGAGGAGTCTGCGTTGCTTCCTGACCTCTTCAACCCAGGCTTTTTCATCATCTGAACTCTCCGAACTTTCTGCATCACTTGGTTTTCCTTCCGGCTCTTCCTCCTCTTCCTGAGAATAAAAATAGTAAGCAGCAACTCCTTTCCCCCAGTCAAACACAGACCCCTTGGTTTCTCTGAAGCAGCACTGGCCCATTAATGAGTGCCTAACAGCTGCTCTACTGCATGCATCAGGAGAAATGCCTTTAAATAAATAAGATAATACTCCTAAGCCCAATGTCAAACACTTAATATGGAATTAATTACATCTCAAGTATAATCAAAGACTCTTCTAACTTACAAAGAAAACATTACATTAAAGAAACAGTAGCAAATTCTAACTGATAAGGAGTACATTACTTTTTCACGAAGTTCTTGTTGCTCTAAGAGTCTTAGTTTCTTCTTCCTTTTTTCACTAATTTTTGAAACAAGTGGATTCAGAAGCCTAAATTCTTCACTCTCTTCATCTACTTGGAAGTCAGGGTTCTCAAACATAACTTTAAATCGATCATCGGTGAGAATATTAGGAAGACTCTACAAGGAGGAAAAAGTACGTAAAAATTTAAGTTAATATCTGACTAAAATTTGACCAGAAACATGGTTTTAAAACACTGATTCTATTATAAGTTAATAAGCGGCATGAGGCATACATTATTAACTCATTATGAAATTTCTTCCAGGACTTTCAACGTGCCCCTAGGTTTTAGCTGCCACCACCAAAACAACCTCTATTAATCTACTTTGCAGATGCTCTACACCACTTGGCCATTACACACAATGAGCCAAGAATGACCCTTTTGGCTAACTTTATGCTTAACAGATTAGAAAGAATTTCTTCAATTAACATTTTAATGCAAAAAAACACCTTTCAAGAAGATACTAGGTTTTTAAAAAGTGGCTTTTATTATTTTTTAGAGATACGGTCTCACTCCAGGCTGGAGTGCAGTGGCACAATCACAGCTCACTGCAGCCCCAACCTCCTGGGCTCAAGTGATCCTCCCACCTCAGTCAGGCTCCCAAGTAGCTGGGACCACAGGTGCACCACCGCACCCGGCTAATTTTTTATTTTTTGTAGAGATGGGTCTCACTATGTTGCCCAGGATGGTCTTGAATTCTTGGGCTCAAGCAATTTCTCGTGCCTTGGCCTCCCATAGTACTGGGATTACAGGCATGAGCCACTGAAAACAGGGCTTTTAAATAAAGCTTAGTTACTACACTGACTTAAAATAAGCAATTCTTTCAACTTCAGATTCCAAAACTGGGAGAGGAGGTATACAAAGTCAGTAACTCACATGGTGGGATGCAGGAAGCTGGTGATGTCAGTTTACCGATTCCAGCTGAGTTACTGGGAAACAGAAGGGACGTTTCCATCCCCTACAGGGTTGTTTCATCAATATTCCCCCTCAGGTCAACTAATTGTTGTCAAAGGATATTGTGTATCCTTCAGATACAAAAACTTTGGCTACTGAGACCCATTTAGATAGCTCAGGACTGATACTAAATTCCTTTTTATTTGTACCATTTTCAATGGAAAGTTTTCTAAACTGTACTGTAAACTTACCTGTTCACTTAAGTAGATGACAGAGAATCTTACACATTTAGGACTGTCTTATTGTTCCTTCTCTGCTACAGGCTTGGAAGCCAGATGAAACGGCTTACTCAGAATTGTTTGTCAATCAGAGTAAACAGCCCTGAACACTGCTGGAAAAAGCTGACCTGTTTGTGATGGACTCTGACTCTGCTGAACAGACTACTTTACTATTTCTCCACTGTTGAGAGTAAACAAGATTGCAGGCAGTTGAGTTCTGAATATTATTTGTGTGACAGACCTATACAAAAGTTTAGTAAATCATAAGATATTAAGGAACTTGGCCTGTTTATTATTTGTATGTACCTAAAAACAGATAAACCCTTACCTAAAATTCTAAGATATTAAATGCAGCAAGTTTCCCTGATTAAACATCATTTCCAAGAAAGACTTACAACGAAGGGAAAAAGAAAGGTAAGATCGAGTTCCTGATCCTAAACTAGTAAGGAAGAAAAAACACTGCAAACACGTGCTACTAGGCCTCTTCTGAGGGCTGCTCGGTAGTGCTGAAAGTGCCACAGGAGAGGACAGAAAAAGGAATCCCAACAAAAGACACCCCAGGAGGGGCCCTGGGGGGTGCAGCATCAGGGAGGGGGCTTGAAAGATGAGTAGGTTTCAACAAGTAGAAATCTGAAGAAACAGCATTTCCAGCCGATGGGAGTGGTGAATAGTCTGGCGACATAAGAATGATGCAATTTCAAAACAATTTTTTGATTGGGTCATACTGTAAAGGATTTTAAATACCATGACTGTTATTTTGAAGATATAAGGGGAAACCACTAGCGAAGAGGAGGAGGGGGAGGAAGAAGAGGAAGAGAAAAAGGAAGAGAAACGAAGGAGGGAGACAGGGAAGGAGGGAGGAAGGAGAAGATGGATGATCAACAGAAGTGTGCTTCAAGACTCCCAGATGACAGAACTGGCCAGGTGGTGGTTCATGCCTGCAATCTCAGCACTTTGGGAGGCTGAGGTGGGAGGACTGCTTGAGGCCAGAAGTTCAAGACCAGCCTGGGCAACATGGTGAGACGCTGTCTATACAAAATATAAAAAATTAGTCAGGCGTGGTGGTGCATGCCTGTAGTCCCAGCTACTTGGAAGGCTGAGGTAGGAGGATCGCTTGAGCCTGGGAAGTCAGGGCTGCAGTGAGTTGAGATCACACCATGTACTCCAGCCTGCGTAACAGAGAGACCTTGTCACAAACAAACAAACAAACAAACAAACAAACCAACCCAAAATTGTGCTTCAAAAGTCTGCAGCAGCCTGATGTCTGACGGACTGCTGAGTAAGAAGTTAGCATCATGAGAAGACTAAGAAGCCATTTTAAGAAACTGGCAAGAGAGACAGGGCCTGAATTAGGGCAATGGGAACAGACAGTTTTTAAGAAAGAATAATTACGAGATACAGTTCTAAATTAGAATTGACAGATCCAGCTATGGAGATGGGAGGGTTAAGAATTAAAAACAGGGTTAGAAACTTCTCTCAAACATGTAGCTTAAGCAACCAGAAAGCTGGCGACACTGAGTTAGAATCCATCACTGGAGAGCATTAGGAAAAAACGCAGGGGTGGAGTAAAGGGGAAGAAATCACGCTCCATTTAGGGCTGCCTATGCCTGTGGCACAGGGAGAAGAGCACCAGGATTCAGACGGACACCACTAGGTGTCTGGGAACGATGCGCCATGTCTCAGGAGAAGGGAGGGGGCTATGATGTAAATTTTGGAGTTATCTGTAGATATCGGATAGATGATAGTGTGAAAGATAATTTCAAATGAATAACTATGTGCCTATTACACATTTTCAGGTTAAAAAAACCCAAGGGCAAATATTTACTTTTCATCTTACTATATTTATTAAAGTAATAATCATATTTAATAAATAGAGAAAATGTTACAAAGACTACATATGTTGCTGGTATTAAGATTTTTTTCTTAATTTAAAACAAATCAATTGCATTGCCTAAAGACAAGTATGCTTTGGATGAACAACTATAAAATAAAACCTCTTCTGACCCAGCTTGTAAAAATATTTCCCTCAGGGTTTTTTCCTAGTCTGTTTGTTTTCACAGCTGTCTTAAGGAAAAAAGTAGGATAAGGTATAGCTATTAATGTTCTATAGGAGCTTACAAGTGTCTGGCTAGTGATCCGTCCTATAAATACCCGTCTACACATGCTCAACTTTACCATTAAAATATAGAAAACATTAAAGTACTATTCATACCACAGTCCTACCTGGAAGAATGGTATCTGTCTACCTGAGTGGGACGCCTATTATTATTTTGTTCCAACATAGTAACATATATGAAGAATGATTGCCATTTGAAACAAATTAGTTTTTTTTTTTTTCTTTTTTTTCTTTTGAGATGGGGTCTTGCTCTGTCACGCAGGCTGGAGTGCAGTGGTGTGATCTCGGCTCACTGCAACCTCTGCCTCCCGGGTTCAAGCGATTCTCCTGCCTCAGCCTCCTGGAGTAGCTGGGATTACAGGCACGCGCCACCACGGCCGGCTAATTTTTGTGTTTTTAGTAGAGACGGGGTTTCACCAGTTGGTCAGGCTGGTCTCAAACTTCTGACCTGGTGATTCGCCTGCCTCGGCCTTCCAAAGTGCTGGGATTACAGGCGTGAGCCACTGCACCCCGGCCAATCAAATTAGTTCTTTCAATGCTATGATACCTATGAAGTTAGGCTGGTACAGACTTCTGAGTAAAGATGGTGGCTTGAACACTAGTATCTTCTAATCTCTCCTAAAACTTCACTAGAACAACAGAAAAGGAGCTTTATAAAAAGGGCATAAACCCTTAAGAAAAAAAGGAAAGGAAATAGGGGTAATAAAAATTTGGAAGCCAGAAAGAAAGCCTATTTAAAAATCACACCCCAGCTCTGGAAAGCCTGGCCCCAGCCCTTTCCCACGGAGAAGTTGCTTGGCTGAGGCTGGCACTGCAAGAGCAAGAGAGGTGTGCTGGCCACAAGGAGGGGAGGGCAAGGCTGGCACATGGGGGTGAGGTGCCCTCTGGACCCCTCCAACCTCTTGTGACCTACAGTGGTCAGTTCTAGGAATGCTGGTAGCCAGGCCTTTACCCCCCCAAGCAGGAGGACCTGACCAGCCAAGAGAAAGACCTAAGAGACAATGACATGTGCAGTGTCCTTCCCCAAACAGTGTGGCCAAGTCACTGCACACTGACTGAGGGACCCTGTCCCCACCTAGAGTTTTCATTCAGTTTTTTAACTCTCTTATTCCTCACTGCCAAAAAATAACTATGGATCATGGCAGGAAAAACTAATTGAAATTTTCTTTCAAGAAAATTCCCCAGCACTGAAGACCGAACTTCTAGACTGAGATGGGCTTGCAGCACAGTACAGTCGCTTCGTGTCAGGTTTCCCAGGACGCTTCCTCTTCCTGGGCTTACACTGTTATTTTAGAGAAACAACTCCCCTAGCAACTTCCCGAGGAAAAGCAGCATTTAAGGGGAATTGGTTGTTGTTGAGAACTTGCATGTCTGAAAATATCTACCATACCCTCACATTGACTGACTGCTTGCCTAGGTTGGAAACTATATTCCTTCAGGAAACTGAAGGTTCTTGTAATTCTCTGTCCAACATGGGCTGAGGTGAAGTGAATCCCCAGGATAATGGTAAAGGGAGGTCCCGGGATTAGAAGGTGACCAGGCTAGAATGGAATGGGGCAGAAAATTCTAGAAGCAACTTCTTCAGGAAGGTAAATAAGCATAAGTCTAACCTATCTAAACACCTCAAAATAAGACTTAGAGAACTGACATAGAATTGGGTGTTGATTAGTGATAACTACATAGAAAACGAGCAAGAGAGACAATTATTAACTTCAAAGTACACAAAGATTGAACAAGAAATGCAGTCACAGATTACTACTGACTCGGCTGGAAATAGCACTTACGTAGGCCAGGCATGGTGGCTCGTGCCTGTAATCCCAACACTTTGGGAGGCTGAGGTGGGAGGATCTCTTGAGCTCAGGAGTTGGAGACCAGCCCGGACAACACAGTGAGACCTCAGCTCTACTAAAATATATACATACATATATATTAGCTGGGTGTGGTGTGCACCTGTAATCCCAGCTACTTGAGAGGCTGAGGTGAGAGGATCACTTAAGCCCGAGAGACTGAGGCTGCAGTAAGCTATGATTCTGCCACTGTACTCCAGCCTGGGTAACAGGCTCTATCTCAAAAAACAAAAGTACAACAATGTAATGCTGAATACCAACTTAATCAAAATCACAATATAGCTTCCTTGGAAAGGAAAGTTATCAAAAGATAATGCCTAACACTAAAAAGTTAAGAGGTAGGACTACAGGCAAGAGGGAGGGAGGGGGAGGGGGCAGAGAGAGAGAGAGAGAGAGAGAGAGAGAGAGAGATTTATACCAAAATAATCAGCAAAAAAGGCAAAAGTGGTTGTCTGAGAAGAGGTGAAAATGGAGGAAGGCAGAGGGAGGAAAAGGGGCAGACAATGGGATGGCCTACATTCCTAACAAACCTTGGAGAAATGTTTAGGTTTTTTTTGTTTTTGTTTTTGACAGAGTCTCACTCTGTTACTGGGCTGGAGTGCAGTGGCACAACCATGGCTAACTGCGGCCTTGCAGGGAGATCCTCCCACCTCAGCCTCCTGAGTAGCTGGGACCACAGGCATGCACCACTACACCCAGCTAATGTTTTGTAGAGATGCGGTTTCACCATGTTGCCCAGGCTGGTCTTGAACTCCTGGGCTCAAGTGATCCTCCCTGCCTTGGCCTCCCAAAATGATGGGATTACAGAAATGTTTTTTTGTTTTGTTTTGTTTTTGTTTGTTTGTTTGTTTTTTGAGATGGAGTCTTGCTCTGTTGCCCAGGCTAGAGTGCAATGGCGTGATCTTGGCTCACTGCAACCTCTGCCTCCCAGGTTCAAGCAATTCTCCTGCCTCAGCCTCCCAAGTAGCTGGGATTACAGGTACGCACCACCACACCCAACTAGTTTTTCTATTTTTAGTAGAAATGGGGTTTCACTGTGTTGGCCAGAGTGGTCTCAAACTCCTGGCCTCAAGTGATCTGCCTGCCTTGGCCTCCCGAAGTGCTGGGATTACAGGTGTGAGCCCATAATGTTTGTGTTAGGCACTGTGCCCAGACTGAAATGTTTAGTTTTTAAAACTATGCATGTATAACTGTAATTTAAAAAAAACAAAAATTTTAATTGATACTAAAAAAGCTTTAAAAATAATATTTTGGATGTTAAAACTGACCTGATCCAACCCAAAGTATCTGTACCTAATTGTATTCCCTAGAGAGATGAGGTATTACTTTAATATAAGTTCTCAGTGGTATTTAGTAATTCCTGAAACTGCTAAAATATCTCTTCCATGGGTTCCTAACCACAGAATACACATAGCCTAGAACAGTGATCCTCAACCTTTTTGGCACCAGGGACTAGTTTCGGAAGACAAGTTTTCCACAGATGGTGGTGGGGGGCGGGGGGCGGGCGCGAGGGAGTTTTGGGATGATTCAAGCGCATTACATTTATTGTGCACTTTATTTCTATTATTATTACACTGTAATAACAATGAAATAATTATACAACTCGCCATAATATAAAATCAGCGGGAGCCTTGAGCTTGTTTTCCTGCAACTAGAAAGTCCCATCGGGGGCTAATGAGAGACAGTGACAGATCATCAGGCATTAGATTCTCATAAGGAGCTCGCAACCTAGATCCCTCGCATGCGCAGTTCACAATAGGGTTCATGCTCCTATGAGAATCTAATGTGGCCACTGACCTGACAGGAGGTGGGGCTCAGGCAGTAATGTGAGCAATGGGGAGTGGCTGTAAATACAGATGAAGCTTGAGGTTCACCTCCTGGTGTGCGGCCTGATTCCTAAAAGGCCCCAGACCAGTACCATGGCCTAGGGGTTGGAGACCCCTGGCCTAGAGATCTCATGCACAGTCCTGCCTGAGCTGCTGCAGAATGAAAGAAAAGTACATTCATCAGAGACTTTAAGGCCACAGCAAGAAACTGACAAAAAAGACTAACATACAAAAAATGATACCTATAGGAAAAATAGCTCTAACCAAAACTCAAACCCTCACAAATCAAACAGATCACAGATGCCCATGCCTCTCAAAGCTGTTTGTGCATACTGGAAATTCAATACATATTTGTTGAAAGAATAAATACATTCATTCATTTTTTTTTTTAAAGAGATGCTGTCTTGCCCTGTAGCCCAGGCTGCAGTACAGTGGTGTGATCATGGCTCACTGCAGACTCCAACTCCTGGGCTCAAGTAATCTTCCTGCCTCAGCCACCCAAAGTATTGGGAATACAGGCGTGAGCCACTGCACTCGGCCTTAATTGTTAACTAGAATTAATGCAACCAAAATTTCTGAGTTTGGATAATGTCCATATAATACTGATTGACATTATGTGGTGGGCCACTTCCCATTTTAGGTTCAATATCAACCATACAGTAAACATCTTATTCGATTTTTGTGTTCTCAGT
Organism: Homo sapiens; assembly: GCF_000001405.40. Lineage (NCBI taxonomy): Eukaryota > Metazoa > Chordata > Mammalia > Primates > Hominidae > Homo > Homo sapiens. Next base: position 10,597,287 of record NC_000002.12, read on the forward strand.
GGCAGCAATATTTAGGAACACATTTCACTGTCTCCAATAAATTTCAGCTGCAGACAAGGCAAAACATACCTTTCAAATTGGTATTGCAAGATACCTACTTTCAAATCAGGAGGTATCACAGCTAGTAAAGTTCTCAAGCTTTTGAGGAGCTGAGTTCAAAGGCGAGACTAATGATCTGCTGATGAGACTTAGCAATTCTTTCAAGTAGTCTTTTAAATTATAATGAAGGATTCTTTCCTTAATTCATGAGTGATTTCTACGATCTTCACTTTACATAAGATGAAACTGTTCAACAACAAATTATACAAACTTTTTCCAAGCACAGCCTCAGATTTTCAAAAGACCATATATAAATATTTCTGGAATGAAACTGAGCTCTGATAATAGGTCTGATTTGGGCTAGGAAGTCACCAACAAGAAGATTAGGGGCACATTTTACAAATAGTACTCTTTGGAAGAATTCTGTTATCACGTGATATGGCTACAAAGATCACATTTCCAGCTATGAAGAGCTGAAGAGAAACTGCTGTTTGATGGAAGAAGATAGGAATTTCTAAGGTTCTTCCTCCTTTTCACTGGAAGTAAAATGGTACACAGCTTGGTAATTCTTTACAGGGTGACCCACCAATAGGTTTTAAAATAATCAAATGCCATCCTGATAGTTAATTAGAGAATATGTAGCAACAAAATGAGTGAACATCAACGGAACGTAGATGTGACTGGAGATAACAGAAAGGCAAGTTCTTGATTCGCACGGTGCCAAAAGGAAGGAGTAGCTAAGGAATGCAGTTAAAGAATACCAGGTGCCCCAACAAGACGGTTCAAATTTCAGTTATCTCTGTTCATCAACTGAGTATGTTCATAAAGTATAACTCCACAGCGAGCTCTTTAGTCCACAAATCCCTACGTAAATAATGGGTTGCTTTTCTCAAAGCCTGTCAGTGACCGGACACTGCATCAGGCGGTGTGATGCACCGTGAATTTCCTGTTCAGTTCCTGCAGACAGGACGCGTGTGTAACTGTTGCATTGCTTCTTCAGATACCGAAGACAAACTCGTGTGACATTTACAAAAAAGAATAATTTACAGAGAACTAATCAACAAGATAAAACTGCAACAACAAAAATGTGAATCAAATTTAAAGGGAGTTATAGAAGAAAGAGCTGGCTGTGGGAATACAGGGAATGTGGCTACTGTCACTGGCTGGCACTCTAAGTCTGTAGTGAGGGGACCACGTAATGGTGAACCTCTGAAAACAAATGAGGAAAACAGCTGTGACAAGAAGAAGAAAAGTGTCCCAGTGGAAGTGACACTGGCAAAAAACTTTACATGAAAGGAACTCTCAGAGACAATTCATAACGTCAAAAGAGCAAAGGATGAAACATCGGAAGCTTATCCAAACTTAGAAAGTGAGTATGACAATTTGCTGAGGCAAAGAAAAATGCTGGCTCCGTATCAAAAGTTTAGGAGGAGAAAAAAGTAAGCACTGTTCCAAGTACTATTGACAAAAGAAATAAAAGAAAGAAAATAAAATACTCAATTAGGCTTTATTCCTAATGTTTTAAATTACAATATAATGAAAAGATCCTAGTTTTCCAATTTATAATGGACAGTAAGAGAGTTTTTAATGTTTTGTCAAAAATGTTTAAAGGCATGGAACAATGCTAATTTTCCCACCTGACCATGAGGATTGCTCTGCATGTGTTCAACTTGTGAGGTCATTTCCACCATCCTGCACTATGGGGTATTCTAAATCTTCTCTGGCTGCCCTCAACCTCAGCAAAGGTCTACAAAGAAATGGGGGGAAGGGAAGGGCACTTCTGCATCTAGATAATCACAGGGCCTTATAAACAGGCTCTGGTATAGCATGCTGCACAAAGTAGCAAAATTAAATTGTAACTTAAGTATTCTTGCCTCTATCAGATGATAAAGACTCTGGCATAAAACACAGATAGGAATGCAAACATCTACAGTCTAAGTTAGCTCTACTCTCTATCTACTGAAGCCTTAGGGCATGGCATGTACATCCAAAGATCACTTCCATTTAGCTTTTACTGTAAAATGACATTACAAAGCAGAAAAGTTACCTCCCTAATCATGCTTAGGCTTAGCTAACAAGAAGATCAGTGTGAATACTCTGAGGAGAGAGTCAACACAGCAGCAAAGACTTGTATTCTAAACACTTAAAGATATATATATTCATTTATACACATTGGTGTAACTTAGGAAGGTGCAGAGCCATTACACACAGACATAAATTCAAATATTAATAAGTTTGAGGAATTATTTCAACATTGGCATACTATTCATGTCATGAAAATGGAAACCTAAAAGTCCTCTATTTACTTGAGAGGCTTCCAGAAATTAAAATTTAAACAATATACTAAAAGAATGTAATAAACGAGGATGAGGGGATGCAGGGAAAGACTAAGGAAGCAGAAGACAGCAAGGGGGAGTCTTGAGTCTGAATCCATTTGGAAAGCACAGCTCTAAGAATGCCCATATCCGGTCCTTGCATGTTACAGATGAAAAAACTGTGACCCCATGAAGACGAGCAATCGCCCAAGATTACATAAGCAGTGTGCCAAGAGCTAGGAACAAGACCCTTCAGTTGCAGTCCCTGGGTATTGAAAAGCATGAACAGAAATGAAGACAAAAGGAGCTCACCCATCTTAGATGCACGTACCTGGTTAAAAACCAGAGGACAGAGAAAGAATAAGCTTAAAAAAAAAAAGAACCTCCTGAGGGCACCACACAGCTGGCCCAAAACTACAAGGTCAGCTCCTTACTCATTAGGTTCTGCAGGCTGTCGCAGAGATCAGTTCTTTCCAACTCATTCCAGCACATAACCAAGCTTGGCTATCTGCCTGCCTCATCTAAGCAGAGAAAACAAGATTGGCAAGGACCCAGGTACCTTCATACATCTGAAAACACTAGAAAAATCTCACCTCTGGACAATACCAACTAAACAAAGTGCTAACTTTTATTTATCTTATGACTGATCTTTGTCTATTTTCACATTAATAAAGGAAAGCAGGTGGAAGTTACACTTCAGCCTGCATACTCGTAAGAACACCAAGTCCAAATAAAAATCAGTTACTTCTGGAGTTATGAACAAAGAAAAACAATAATCTAAACGTTTAACAATAGAAGGATTGAGTAAATTATAATCACTTCATAAAACAGAATATGTAGCCATTAAAAATATTTACAAAGAATTTTTAACAAAATGGGAAACCACCTGTGTTATTTTAAAGAATCAGGATAAACATTTTACACATACAAGACTCTTGCTATTGTAGTTTCTAATTTTGAAACAAATAAGACAGGAAGAAAATTCACTGAAATATTAATGATGCCTTTCTCTGGTATAAGAATCGTAAGGATAGCTTTCTTCTTGATATTCTTTTCTATTTTCCAGACTTCCCATCTTAAGCATATACTAATCTTATACGCAGGAAAGAAAAAGTCCTACATGTATTTTTAAAGTAAAAAGAAACAATAAAAAAGATGTAAGTTACTATCAACAAAACGCAGAAACAATTTGCCGATACTTTTTCACCTTACCTTAACTTTCTTTTTCCATGTAGATTTCTGCTTCTCCTCTTCTTCCTCAATTAATTTAAGTGCCAGCTCTTTGTTAACTTTTGGCAATTTCTAGAGAGAAAATAAAAGCTGGTATTTTATTTTATTTTAAAAGCTAACATATTTACATATTAGCTTAAAGGTAAACAGTTGTGTAAGTATAATTTCATAAATAGGAGATAACTAATTCTTATTTTATTATTTTTTTTTTGAGATGGAGTCTCGCTCTGTCACCCAGGATGGAGTGCAGGGGCGCAATCTCAGCTCACTGCAACCTCCGCCTCCCGGGTTCATGCCATTCTCCTGTCTCAGCCTCCCGAGTAGCTGGGACCACAGGCACCCGCCACAACGTCTGGCTAATTTTTTGTATTTTTAGTAGAGACGGGGTTTCACTGTGTCAGCCAGGACAGTCTCGGTCTCCTGACCTCGTGATCCGCCTGCCTGGGCCTTCCCAAAGTGCTGGGATTACAGGCATGAGCCACCACGCCCAGCCAACTAATTCGTATTTTAAAAATTTCATTATCCTCATAGTAGGAAATGTAGACAGGTGATGATACCAGGTGGGCCACATGGCAAAAAAACGGCAACCCCAGCTTACTGCTAGGGAACTCGCCCTCATTTCTCTTCCCAGGGCACTGAGAGCCTCTTTCCAGTGCACTGAGAGGCAGCGCAATGGCTCATGACTGTAATCCCAGCACTTTGGGAAGCCGATGGGAGGCTCACTTTAGCCCTGAAGTTAAAGACCAGCCTGGGCAACACGGCAAAATTCTGTCTCTACTAAAACTACAAAAAATTAGTTGAGTGTGGTAGTGTGCGCCTATAGTCCCTAGCTACTTGGGAGGCTGAGGTGGGAAGATCACTTGAGCTCAGGTCGAGGCTGCAGTGAGCTCTGATCATGCCACTGTACTCCACCATGGGCAACAAAGCAAGATCCTGTCTCAAAAATACACCAGAAATCTTTTAACAGTCTGGAAAAACAAAAAAGTACTGAGGGTAAATGCAGAAAACAGTCACTAGTCTTTTATAGTGACAGAGTATGTACGTATACCAACGTTCAGTTATACACATTGGTATCATTTGGTGGTTGAAATGAACCAACAGGGGCGGCTGCAGACAGACTGCAAGGCAGGTGCAGGAGCAGGGCCTGCCCTTCTCTGTCTACACTGGCATCACACAACAGCAACTCTTTGTCCTGGAAACAACAGCTGGTTCCACAGCAGTGGTGGATTCCAGTTTGCAGTTTCCAACGCTCCCAGGAACATCCTTGCTATTATGCCTCAAGGGCCCTGGAACCGGCCTGTGGCCCCTCCTCAGAGGCCTGGGTCCAGCTCCACGGGGCCTCCTCTTCCTATTCCCCAGGCTGTTCCGCAGCTCTGAGTTGGTGGCTGCTTCCTGCAGTTTACCTCTCTCCTCCATCCTTTAGCAGTTCTGTCTTTTCAGTTCTCCAATACCAAGTTAATCATTCTTTACATTAAATTCTATGTACTCAGACAGAGAGTGCAGTTTACGACTGTCGACCATTTCCCATGATCCAAACAGAGCCTAAGATACGGCCAAAGGTCAGTAAGGAATAGGGATTAGCAAAGCCCGGATACTCCAAAAATGGAAAACCCATTTAAAAATGCTATCAGGTTTCTAGTGGAGGTGACAATATCAATCATTCTAGCATTATGTCCCACAGTACAATTACCGCAGAGGTCATAATGCGAAAATTGTAAAGAGTTTTGCACCCTCATGACAAACATGACACACTGATGACAAACAAACTATACCAAAAATATCAGTAAAAGATGCAAATTAAAGATGGAAAATCAAGAAAAGAATGGCAGATTTCTTTGGAATAATACACAAAATGGAAATTAAGTACTCTTCTCTGATAAATTCAATGGTAAGTATAATATTTACCTTTAACTGGACTCTCTGTGCACGTGTTTCTTCTATTTTCTGTCGTATTTTATCTTTCCTATATTCTTCATAAGCAAATGGATTTACCATCAGTTTCACCTTTTCAAAATGAAAAAAGTTTTTAAAATAAAAGAATGGTATTTGGTAATATCATTTTCATATACACCACGACAGTTATGCCAAAGAACAGGCAGATCCCCTACAAATCCTATGTATGATTTATGAAAGTGCGAGTAGTGAGGAAATGGCCACAGACTGCGCATTAGTTACCTGAAACATAATAACTGTAGTTTTCTGTTTACCTTGTGATAGAGTCTTATATCCATGAAAAACCCATGCATATATGCCCGGAGGAAAGGAGATCCAATGAGGTGGGTGAGCCCTGGGAAAGGTCAAACAGAAGACAGCAGGTCCTTATGCAATCTTCATTAACATTCAACAGTTTTTCTTGGGCAACAATTTGATTATAGTAAGATTTCACTTCAGACTAAAAATTTAAGGATTAGAATTACTAATCTTCTTTGATATCTATAGAGAACATTTAATCTACTTCAGCAATATCATCCTTATTTTAAATGTAATAATACTACACACAAAAATGATGAGAAAGTCCTTATGAACTAAGACAAAGAGGGTTCCCTTATACCCTCTGAGTGGTCCTCAGATTTTTTATTTCCACAAACAAGTTCAATTTAGAAAATAATACTGGGGATCAACAGTAAGTTGCCAAATTGAAATGAGGAGAAGGGAGAGAGGAGAAACATTGTCATCGACCATTTGCAAAGACAAAGGACACTCACAAAAACAACGTAGAAAGAACCGTCTTCCAAGAAAGAACAGCTGACAAATTCCTACCACCATATATAAACATACATACATGCATATTAATACTCATATCACATATGCACTCCTCATCAGGGACTAATGAAAAGTCCACTGCCAGTCAGCATTTGAGAACCCTGCCTCAAACAATACTTTCACAGAGTTTCCCAGTTTTAATAGGTTACACTTAGAATTTGTGGTGCTGGTGGTCACATAAGAATGCTCTATGTCACAGGAATTATTTATTAATTCCAAATATTGACACAGAAAAAGACTGAGATCTTCAAAATAAGTCCACATGTGATGTACTCACATGCAGAACATTTACGATATATGTCAGTGGTCCCCAACCTTTTTGGCACCAGGGACTGGTTTTGTAGAAGACAATTTTTCCACGGATGCAGGGAGGGACAGTTTCAGGACGAAACTATTCCACCTCAGATCATCAGGCATTAGATTCTCACAAGGAGCCCACAACCTAGATCCCTCGCATGTGCAGTTCACACTAGTTTCACGCTCCTATAAGAATCAAATGCCACGGCTGGCAGGAGGCGGAGCTCAGGCAGTCATGCTCACTTACCACTCGCCTCCTGCTGTGTGGCCCGGTTCCTCATAGGCCACCCACCAACTGGTATGGGTCCATGGCCCAGGGGTTGGGGACCCCTGGTATAAGTGACTGTCTTTCTAAGGAAAGCATTACTCTAATTTCCAAATTTTAGAAATATACATCCATCTAGACCTGAAAATCAAGTACTGAGCAAAATCATACAGTAGTATAAAATAGTATATGTTATAGAACAATATAAAAAAGAAAATTAAATTTAGGATATTCTCATAACGGAATTCTAAAACTTGATTAGGAAAATACTGTCATAGAATTCATTAGGTTAATAAAAATATGGGGTTTGCACTTTCACAATGGAGTCCTAACAAAAGAGGGCTGAGCCTTAATGAAACGTGAATGTATACAACTGCACGTGTATATTCTCTAAATCTTCCTCAGGATAAGGGTCTGATTAACCACTACATTATAAAATACATATACCAGTGATTGCAAAAGTAATTTTTTGTTTCCTTTATTAATGTCACAGAATTAATCCAAGTCAGGTCATAAATAAAAACCAAGTGAAGCGCTTTTCATAGCGAAACAGTCCTAACCCGAGAATCGGATGCAGCAGCATTTCCTACAGTTAACTCCATGGATCACTAGTCCCAAGAGATCTTCTGAGAAAAAAGGGCTCCATGGTCAAGTAAGTTTGGGAAATGTTTCATACTTTCCTTCCGTTTGGAGATTTACAATGTATGATGGTATTAAAGGCTCTAAGAAGTATGCGAGGTAAAGAAATTGATTTAACTGTGCTTAACCTAGCATTTCCCAAACTTATTTGCCACAAATCTCCTAAAATAAAAGGGTGCTGAATATTTTCCAAGCATTTTCTGATTCATTCTCCAGGCAACCCTATAGGTTGGGACCAATATTATTCCCATTTTACATATGAGGAAACCAAGGCTTAAAGAGGCGAAGTGAATTGGCCAAGTTGTGCAGATATTAAGTGAGAAAGGTGGGATGTAAACCCATGTCAGTCTACCTGTAGTGCCCACAATATCAGCCACTATGCTATCCACCCAGTCCTTTTTACAGACGTAATTTTCCAAAGAACGCACTGTGGGAAATACCAAGCTATAAGATCTGCTGTTGGCCATATCCAGAAGAGTCAGAACTTGCAAATCTTCAATATACTAATGCTGCACTAAAAATAATCTTAGGAAGTAAGGGAAGTTCATTACTTACTTCTACTCTTAAGATATTCTATTTAGAAGGTTTTATATATTATGGGGAAATGATAAAAGCTCATTTGACATCAAAAGATATTAGTAATATACATAAAATGCTTTCTAGTATAACTGTCATTTTGTTGAATATCTATTTCTATAGTTTTAAAAATGAGCAGTACAATTACTTTTTAACAAAATATACCTAAACTTATATAACTCCTTTTTTCACCCAAAATAAACCCAGTAAAGAAACTGAAAAAGAACCCAAAATGTACTAAACATAGTAGTTTTTAAAAAATCCATAAAAGAACAATGACCTTTTTTCATTCGATTTAAGAATGTAGGTGAGTGTGACAGCATATTATGAAAATTACGTTGGAGACACTTAAGAAGGCACTGCAGTAAGAAGGTCCTATTTCATTCAAGTCATTTTTTAAAAGGCTAAATTCAGCTCTTTTTTGGTAGTAACTGACAGAAAGTAATTCCGCCTGGATTAACTGTGCTATGAGATATGGGTTAAAAAGGAAGTTTAATTAATCTAATGGTAACATGATTCTGTTTTAATACTCAACTGTTGTTGCACATCTATTTGTTCCAAAGACAACTAAGTTGCCTTGCCTTGTATAAAATGGATCCTCTAAGTTTTCCCACTCTCAGTAACTTCTGCTGTAGCCCTCTGACAGCAGCAGAACAAGATGAGCACCATCTACTCTAACCTAGAGGAGGGCTAGGCAAGCAGGCGCAACATGTCCTGCAGGGGCTGGGATGGCTGGGGAAAGGGCACGGACTCTTGGATTTAAAGCTCAACTCTCAAGTTTACTACCACTGAAACTTCTGGCAATGTACATTTATCTTTTTTTTTTTTTTGCCTCAGTTTCCTTATCTAATGGAATCATAATAGTACCCAATCCATAGGGATGTGAAGATTAAATGAGTTACATGTAGAACGCTTAGAATACTGCCTGCACAGACTGGGCGTGGTGGCTCGCACCTGTAATCCCAGTACTTTGAGAGGCTGAGGTGGGTGGATCACCTGAGGCCAGGAGTTCAAGACCAGCCCGGCCAACATGGTGAAACCCCGTCTTACCATGCTGCATGGCAGTGCACATCTGTAATCCCAGCTACTCGGGAGGTTGAGGTAGGAGAATGACTTTAGCCTAGGAAGCGGAGGTTGCAATCAGACAAGATTGGGCCACTGCACTGCAGCCTGAGTGACACAGCAAGACTCTGTCTCAAAAAAAAAAAAAAAAAAAAATACTATCTGCACATAGTAAGCCCTATCTCATAAGTATTTGCTGTTCTTTTAAGACACTTCTTGGCTTGTGACCTTCAAACATAAAGTAACTATTAAGGTTCTTCTACATCTGAAGTTTCAATGTATCACTTCTAAGTTTTGGATTGGGTCTTTTATAATCAAACCTAAAAGGGAGGCAGGAATCATTTACTTGCCGTCTCTGAGACATTTTCAAAACCTTATTATACTTCAGATAATACTGGTGAAAAAAAAATCACTCCTTTCGTGACAATTTTTTTCCTCTATAATAGCTAGTATGCTAAAAGAAATTATTTGCTAAAATAAATTCTCATTTAAAATACAAAAAAGCTTCAGCATGTTAAATTTACTTGAACTTTTCTCTAAGGAGAAAGGTTACAAATCTGACAATTTATAATATGTTTAATATCTGATTTGGCAGAAAGGGAAGATTTAGGAGATGAGGTAAACATGGCTCAGCCAATTCTCATGTTCAAAACTCAAAAAAAAAGTAGAAATAAAGTAATTACATAATATTTCATCACAATTTTTTTTTTACCTAAATTTTCAAGGTCTTTCTTGGTGACAAATTTATAATCATCATAGACTGTGCTTTCTGGATTCTCTTCTAATTCTTCGGTCAAGTTGTCTAAGAAGGAACACCACCGAGGAGCAGGACCCAAAACCTGTTGGTGTTTATGAGAAGGTCAGCAAAGGCACAGTTTACCACGCCATCCAAGTCTCAGTTATTTATAACCAGATTTTGTTAAACATGATTTCTAAATCCTTTTTTCTATCAGAAGTATTGACAAATGGATGCAGTATGTATAATGAACAAGTATATAACAGAAGAGAATAAACAAAGTGGTAAATGTTTAGGCTTGTAAGAGAAAACAACCTCACTTAGTCTAAGGTACAAAAGTATGAATGAATGTTCTTATATTAGCACTATCAAAGTACAGATAAATAATTCAGATACTTATAATAACATCCATCCATTCATGTATCACCTCCTTCCTTCAAAATACTACTAGAATTCTACAAAAGCATTATTTGGTACACTAGATTTTTTAAGTTTGCCAAACAAAAGTCTAAAAGAAAAATTACCTTTTTAAAAAACAATATTTATTATTATTATTATTATTATTATTTTGTAGAGATAGGGTTTTGCCATGTTGCCCAGGTTGGTCTTGAACTCCTGAGTTCAAGCAATCTGCCAGGCTCAGCCACCACACTCGGCCCAAAATTACTTTCTTTTAAGATTTTTCAACTAATTACTTGACAATTACATTCCATTCTGCATGGTCCACTTCATTTAATTCATTTAACTCATTAAAAACTACAATTCTAGACTATAGTTAATGGCAATATATTGTATTCTTGAAAATCGCTAAGAGAGTAGATTTTAAATGATCTCATTACAAAAAATGGTAAGTACTACGTGAGGTGATGCAAATGTTAATTAGCTCAATTTAGCCATTCCACAACATATACATGTTTCAAAATATCATGCGGTACACAACAAATACATGTAATTTTTACTTGCCATTTAAAAATAATTAGTTGATTTTTTAAATTTCTGTATAAATAAGTCTTCAAAACTAAATGGGTGACCAGGCTCCACGAGTTATCCCAATGAAAGGCTGAGGAACAAAAGGCTGAACAGAATTATAACCAACTAATAAAATATGAATCATTAAGTTTGTAATCCAACTATGAAAAAATATAATCCACCTACTTTCATAAAATACTATGATCACTTTGTACATTTTTGCTATTGATACAAATCTTTCCCAACAAAATGCCACACCCGCTGAGGTCAATGTATGCCAAAGGAAACCTTGGCTCAGTCAACAGAGAAGATATGCTAGCGAAATCCTCCCTTAAGCTAGAGGTAATGAGAGAACACTGGACTCGGGCAAAATGGAACTTCCAGTGACGACTTAACCTGTTTATTTCAGTAGCAATCAAGCATACTGGAAAAAAACCCAGAAATCATAATGGAAATTATTAAATCTAGCTTAAACTTTCTGAAGAAGGAAAGGCAGAAGGAAGAGAATTATAACAAAGAAAAACAGCCCCTGTTAACACCCTCTTCAAATAAAAAGAAAAGTAAATGTTAGATATGGCCATAATAATTTAGTGACATTATTTTGCCGGATTAGAAAGAGTGATTCTCTTCACCTCAACACAGCTATGGTACTCATAAACATGAAAAAAACTCGAGCATATATAGTCTTCCACAGAAACTTCATATTAGTGCAATCTACAATTTTTAAAAATAGAAGTAAAGGTTTTTATATACTAAGTGGTTTGACTCCAACCATAAAAGACAAACCTTCAAGAAATGCAAGGCATTTTTAAAAAATTCCATATAGAACACTTTTTAAAAGAACTGCTATGGTTTTAAGCAATTTTAGGACAGTAGCTTGAAGTCAACAACTAAATGCTACCACATACAAAGCACTGTGCTAAATTAAAGACACTGACCACAATCTCCCTGAAGAAGTTTAAAATCCAGCTGAAGCACATGTGTGCACTTGCATGTCCACACACACGCACATACACACACAATGTGTGTGCAATGAACTCAGACTGCACTGAGTCGAAGGGGAAGATGGCTTAAAAAAAACTAGGGAAGGCTGGGACACCGAATTAAGTCTATTTGAAAGGACTTCATGGCCGGGCGCGGTGGCTCACGCCTGTAATCCCAGCACTTTGGGAGGCCGAGGCGGGAGGATCACGAGGTCAGGAGATTGAGACCATCCTGGCTAACAAGGTGAAACCCTGTCTGTACTAAAAATACAAAAAAAAAAAAAAAAAAAAAAATCAGGCGCGGTGGCGGATGCCTGTAGTCCCAGTTACTCGGGAGGCTGAGGCAGGAGAATGGCATGAATCCTGGAGGCAGAGCTTGCAGTGAGCCAAGATCACGCCACTGCACTCCAGCCTGGGCGACAGAGCGAGACTCTGACTCAAAAAAAAAGAAAGGACTTCATGTCGGAAGGAGCACATGAGCAAGCTAGGAAAATCACAGGCATCTTCTGAAGCCGAGAGAGTTGAGGCCCTTGTAACTACAGGGGTATCTGCTTCCAGTGAGTCATAAACCTGCAAATGCAAAGCTCTATCAGATAATGGTGTACTCCCTAAAACAGCAATCTTTTCTTTTCTAGACGAGATCAAAGTATGCTATTATTGCTTTTTTAGAATATAATATCCAAGATATTGTCCTCTGAGGAGAGACATCTGTTTTGTTAACTGCTGAATTTTTAGTACCTAGAACAGTGCCTGCCAAATAGTAGGTGCTCAATAACTATGTGATAAATAAATCTATTCATGTACAAAACACATATGAATTTCATATGCATCAAGTACTAAAACTGAAAGGGTCCTCTCCGGCAAAAGTATTTCTAAATTGGTCTAATATTCCTTATTCAGACAAAAACACTCAAATACCTCACCATAAAGCTACTGGGTATATGAATACTTCTGGTGAAAGTTAGATCTATCTTGATTCCTATACAAGGGTACACTGTTACCCAAAGAACCTCAAAATAAATTGTTCCACCTTTTTAAATCAATCATAAACATGGGCTTCAAAGACAATAAAAAGATTATACTGTGTGCACTGACTTTCAAAGGTGAAGGCAGGAATACTAAAACAGTCTAGATGTGAATTGACTTTCACATAGCCCTCTTTTATAATGTTCCACAACATTCTTTCTGATTATCTAGATTTTAATGGAAGTGGTTTAAATTGCCTGTCAGGGGACAGGTCTAGTTATGGTAAATAATCTCTGCAATCAGATTCATGGCCATTAAATTTTCTAGGAAAAAATATTTCCATCAAAAACAAAATTAAATCTAGCAGTTGACCTTATTAATCACATTTCCTGAGTTCCTTTTCAGAGAAAAAACATCAAAACCACCATAACAAAGTTGAAATTATTGATTTACACTGGTATAAAATGCAGGTTTTATCCACATTAGACCTTTCGTCAGAGGCCTACCATTAAGTTTCAAAAACAGTGGCCAGCTTAGCCAATAAGGAGGGCTCAACCACAGGCACGTCACACTCTCTGATGTAGCTACATCACAGCGTCAATGTGTAAAATGTCTTTATTGCCTTCATAGCCATAAAATATGTTAAACCTCAACTAATCCTTTGAAATATATTAATTTACTTTCTAAATTCCACATTTTACAACTTGAGGAAAACATCCTTTTTAGCCATATATGGACTATCACTACTACCTCAAACTTTCCAGGTTTTCTGTCCTGCTGTTACATTGCTGTATTCTATGCTTCAGTCATACCATGTTGCCCATGCTGTGGTCAATTTATAAGACTTTCTTTTTTTCTTTTTATTTTTTTAGAGACAGGTTCTTGCTGTGTTGCCTAGGCTGGTCTTGAAACTCTTGAGAGCCTCCAGAATAGACAGAATTACAGGCAGTGGTACTGCGCCCAGCAAATATTTCTTCAACTCACAGGTCAGTATTAATAAAAGTAGAAAATTGAAAACTGATTCATCAGATTGCTAGAAAGGGATAATGTGGCTCCCTTAGCAACTTTAATGATAATCATATCAACCAATCTAAATGGAAATACTTGATTCTATAAAATATGAATCTTTATGTACCAACATGCTACAAGAAGGCCACAACTCAAATGCAGCAAAGTATCTGCTTGTGCCAATCTACTTGAGCGGAAGAACCAATTTTAAAGGACATGAAAATACATGCCATGTGCCCAAGATGATCACTGCTTCTATGATTACAATTTGTCTTTAAGATGTTAATTATAAAACTCAAAATTATCATGTATTCCTGTAAAGCACTACAAGTGGGGAGGAAAAAGGGTGAACACTAAAAATCTTAGGGGCCAGGTGCAATGGCTCACGCCTAATCTCAGCACTTTGGAAGGCCAAGGCAAGAGGACTTCCTGAGCCCAGGAGTTCAAGGTAGCCTGGGCAACACAGTGAGATCCTGTCTCTACAAAAATACATATTGTTGGCCAGGCACAGTGGCTCACACCTGTAATCCCAGCACTTTGGGAGGCTGAGGTGGGCGGATCGCCTGAGGTCAGGAGTTCGAGACCAGCCTGGCCAACACAGTGGAACCCCATCTCTACTATAAATACAAAAATTAGCCAGGCGTGGTGGCGCATGCCTGTATCCCAGCTACTCAGGAGGCTGAGGCATGAGAATCGCTTGAACCCGGGAGGTGGAGGTTGCAGTGAGCCAAGACTGTGTCACTGTACTCCAGCCTGGGTGACAGAATTAGACCCTGCTTCCCTGCTTAAAAAAACAAAACAAAACAAAAACAAAAACAAAAACAGACTGTTAAAATTAGCTGGGCATGATGGCATGTACCTGTAGTCCCAAATATTATCCCAGGAGGGTGAGATAGGAGGATCCCTTAAGCCCAGGATTTGGAGGCTGCAGTGAGCTATGATGGTGCCACTGCCCTCCAGCCTGGGCAACAGAGTGAGACCCTGTCTCTAAGAACAATAAAAATAAAAATAAAATAAATACTCTTAGGGAGCTGAAAGAAGATACTCCTTCCCTCACTCTACTTTAGAAAAATCACTGTGCTACATCCCAAAGCTGTGCTGAGACAGAAAAAAAGATTGAAGATTACCAGATAAATGGTTTTAACAGATCAAGGGTGATTAAAACAACAACAAAGTACTATTAATATTATAGACAAAGAACCAAAGTCTACTAAACCAATACAAATGCCATCATTTTTTTCTGCTTATTTATAATGCTACTGAGTATGACAAAGCCTTTCATTATCTAACGTACTATTAATGGAACAAATAAGAAAATAATTGATAACATAGAACAGCCATTAAATTTGAAATTATCTTTTTTTAGAAATATTATTTTTTTTCTTTGAGACACAGTCTCCATCCGTATCCCAGGCTGGAGTACAGTGGCGTGATTTAGGCTCACTGCAACCTCTGCCTCCCAGGTTCAAGCGATTCTCATACCTCAGCCTCCTGAGTAGCTGGGATTACAGGCACTCACCACCACAACCAGCTAAATTTTTGTATTTTTAGTAGAGACGGGGTTTCACCATGTTGGCCAGGCTGGTCTTGAACTCCTGACCTCAGGTGATCTGCCCATCTTGGCCTCCCAAAGTGCTGGAATTTCAAGAGCGCCCAGCCTAGAAATATTCTTTTACAAGCCTGGGCAATGTAGTGAGGCCTTGTCTCTACACATTTTTTATATATTTTTTAAAAATATTAAAAAATTAACCAGGTATGGTGGCATGTGCCTGTGGTCCCAGCTATTCCTGAGGCTGAGATGGGAGGATCACCTGAGCCATGATCACGCCACTGCATTCCAGCCTGGGCAACAGAATAAGACCCTGTTAAAAAAAAAAAAGAGAGAAAGAAGACCAGAGAAGACAAGAAGAGAAAGAAAAAGAATCACATGGAAAAAGGACCTAAGTAAATTATTTTAATTTCAGGAATAAAACTGAAACCATGAAATGTAATGAAATAGATTTTAATTCAATTTTTATTCATCACATATTTATTAAATTCCATATTTATTATGTTCCAAGTACAGTATACCCTATAAAAATAGTAGAATGAAACCCAAAAGGAACAGAGTTGTTTCAAATACAGCAATACTTATGTGGAAGGACTAAATTATTCTTAATTTCTTCAACTTCATTCATTCATTCAAAAAGTTAACTGAGCATTTGGTAAAAGTTAAGTGCTAAAGTCAAACATAAGTAAGTGGAAAACAATCAAGTACAATACAATGGGATTAGTGCCAAAACAGAAATTTTTAAAAGGTTCTAGGAAGCCCTTTATCTGCTGAGGCCGATCAAGATAGCTTTGCAAGGGGCACTTGAGCAAGGCCCTGAACAACTGAGAGGCTATGGTTTCATAACCAGGAAAGCTTAACTGCCACACTAAATAGTAAGAATGTAGTGCTACATAAAATTAATATATTTCACTGATTACACAGAAGATGTTTAGTTAAAAGAATTGTCATTTTTACCTTTCAGTGATCTTATACTATTACAATCCTAGAAATTGAATTTAAACTTTTATGTTATAATGACACTATTAAATCAAACAGGTAAGAACTACATTTACTAACAGCAACAGGGAGTTTGAATATAAAAGTTTTTTTTACCACCTAACAACCATATCAAGTATCTAGTTATTTTATTATAGAACTGTTTTCAGGACACTCTAAAAATAGATATAAATATCAGTTCTGGAACTGGAACAATAATAAAAACAATAACAACAATAAAAATAATAATAGCACTAGCAACCCACACTCTAAGAGGTAGAGGGTTTTTATCCCCCATTAGAATTTTTTTTTTTTTTAGAAGGAGTCTCACTCTGTCACCCAGGCTGAAGTGCAGTGCCACGATCTCAGCTCACTGCAACCTCCGCCTCCCGGGTTCAAGTGATTCTCCTGCCTCAGACTCCCTAGTAGCTGGGACTACAGGCATGCACTACCACACCCAGCTAATTTTTGTATTTTTAGTAGAGACAGTGTTTCACCACGTTGGCCAGGCTGGTATTGAACTCCTGACCTCGGGTGATCCGCTCACCTCGGCCTCCTAAAGTGCTGGGATTATAGACATGAGCCAGAGTGCCCAGCCCGCTATTAGAATTTAAATCCAGGTCTAACCAGAAATCTGTTACCCTTACTGTGAGGCCATGATTCTTTTTGGGAAACAGGATCTTGCTGTTGCCCAGGCTGGAGTGCAGTGGTATGACCATAGCTCACTGCAGTGAGGCCCTGGTTCTTTAACAGAAACAACTGGAACCAGAGTTTGAAACAAATAACTTTTTGCATTTTAAAAAAGTAATACAGTATGTATGCTGTATATAACAAAAAAACTTCAGTAAGGTCTGGGTCAGTAGCCCATGATCAAATCATATTAACATCTCTGCAGCAAAACCTACACAAATTCATACCAGTGATTTGGGATAAACACAGACCTACAAAGAAATTCATTATTTCACATAGGTTGAAGTCCTAATAAATCAGGTCCAGTCAGGGTTTACCACAGGGTTATAAACAAACTTTCAAGGCTTTTTAAATTTCAGAATTGCAGATAAGAGATGATGGAGTTGTACTATAATGTATATACACACTATACATAGCTACATATGGTAAATATATACTAAATATAGATATACTATAAATATCACTGACCACTATTATGATTAATGATAATTTTTCTAATTACCTAGCCTGCATCTCCTGTGGGAAAATGGGATTTTGCCAATTAAGAAAACCAACTCTGCATATAAACTCAAAAGAAAATTTTCTTTTCCAGCTTTTCTTCCATTATTGTTGGAAAGGCCTCACTAGGAGCAGCAGCATGTATTTTCAAATTCTGACAGCTGAGGCTTAATAAATGATCATAAACCCAAGAGAACACTGGGTGAGCCAGAGGGAGTGGCCATGACCTTAAGCATGTAATTGCATTTGCAGCATAATGAGCTGCCTAATTGCATATCCAAGTTTACATGCATTTGTGTGAGTAATTATGAGTCATTTAAATGTACTCTACTTGTAGTGTTTTGTTCTTAAAAATCAGATTAGCAAAGAAGCAATTTAATTTCAACATTTTAAAAGATTTATTTTTAAAAAAGAAAAACTATTACCTGCCATGACTTAATATTTGAAAAGATAATTTAGGGACTGAAATGAAATAACAAGAAAAATAAGGCCAAGTTAAAAAAAAATTGTTAAGATTCCTTAAGCCACTATCTCACTAATAGCCCATCAAGCAATAGTCAATTTTTGTGACACTATGAGTAGAGATACACATGACAGAGTGCCTTCAGTCAAGGGCTAGCAGAGACAGGACGCCCCAAGCAAACATTTAAACACCAAATTAAAACTGATGTTAAGAAACACAGAGAGCTTTTGGTTAATAGTGGTACCCCCATCGCTGTCAAGCCTTTTTAAAATGACAGTAAATAACTTTTAAAAGGTATTAACCTTTAAGGACAAAAAGAACTGAAGAAGAAGATGCAGTAATTTAAGAAACTTAACCGGGTAAACATGAGAGCTTACAGAGGTGAACAGCAAAGAGAAAAGATTCCTCTCTCAGAATCCTTGGGACAAGAACTTCAAGGCTCTAAGCATGGGGGACGACAGGATGAGGCACAGGCCCGAATAAAGGGGGAACAATGGAGCTGATGAACACCCAAATCCCCACCATGCCTAAAGAGACCAGAAGATAATTCTCTGGAGGAGGGGAACCAAAGCTGCCCTATGTGCGGGGTGGGTGGGGAGTATGCCACCAGGCACAGGTGACTTGAGCTGTGGGGCTAAAGTCAGGACAATTAATGGCAGTCTAGACATCAAACTGTGGGACCCTCGCCTCCTTTTCCCAGCCCCTGGAATGCCAAAGTCAAGCCTATGCTGCTGTGCGTCCACTCTACCAGCCCAAACCCCTAACACCTCAGAACAAAACTGGGGGATTCTTCTCTGGAGTAAATGAAAGGTCCCAGAAGACAGACTTTAAGATATTGATATCTGGGTAGAGTCATTAGCTGAAGGGTCCACATGAAAACTACCAGTGGACAACACCACCCTGCATTTTTTTTTTTTTTTTTTTTTTTTTTTTTGAGGCAGAGTCTTGCTCTGTCACCCAGGTTGGAGTGCAGTGGTGCGATCTCGGCTCACTGCAACCTCTGCCTCCTGGATTCTTGTGCCTCAGCCTGCCAAGTAGCTGGGATTACAGGCGTGTGCCACTACGCCTGGCTAATTTTTGTATTTTTAGTAGAGACGGGGTTTCACCATGTTGGCCAGGCTATTCTCAAATTCCTGGCCTCAGGTGATCCGCCCGCCTTGGCCTCCCAAAGTGCTGGGAGTACAGGCATGAGCCACCGTGTCTGGCCCCAGTTGGCATTTTAGCACCTCATTCTTCATTTTTTTTTGTTTTTTTGAAACAGGGTCTCACTTTATCACCCAGACTAGAGTGCAGTGGTGCGATCTCAGCTCACCGCCACCTCAACCTCCCAGGTTCAAGCAATCCTCCCACCTCAGCCCTTCAAGTAGCTGGGACTACAGGTGTGTGCCACCATGCCCAGCTAATTTTTGTATCTTTTGTAGAGATGTAGTTTCGCCATGTTGCCCAGGCTGGTCTTGAACTCCTGAGCTATAGTGATCCACTGGCCTCGGCCTCCCAAAGTGCTGGGATTACAGGAGTGAGACACCACGTCTGGCCCTCATTCTTAAATAAGAACAGGTTGCCTAAGCTCCCTCCCCATTCACTTATTCAACAAAGAGTTACCTCCCCATTCACTTATTCAACAAAGAGTTACCTCCCCATTCACTTATTCAACAAAGAGGCAGGCACTTTCCCTTCTCTCTAGATACTCAGTGACAAAACACAGAACAATCCCCACCCTCAAGGAGCTTACCTTCCAGAAAGGGGAAACTACAAACAAGGGAGAGGCAGTGGAGAGTATGACAGACAGAGACTGGTGCTGTGGAAACTGAAGGAGAGAAGGCAATGAAGAATAGAGGGGAAGGGGAGATGATGGACAGGGACCCAAGGGGCAGGAGGGAGTGACCCTCAAGACTACCTGACAACTACAAAGGCCTAGAGGTTGGAATTGCTTGGCATGTTTGTGGATCAGTAAAAAGACCAGCCCAGTGTGGCTTGAATAGAGAGAGCAATGGTGAGCAGGGGCATTCATGAGGATCACTCTGGCAGAGGCTGGGCGACTGACTGGTTCCGGGCATTGAAGGAAATCTCTGTTTATTCATTAGCTGACAGTTCGGCAACGAGCAGAGACTTCAGTGGTCACACGTTAGAAAGAAATCAGATTTTATAGAATTAGTCCAGGACAGTCACTAAACAAACAACCACAAACCCTGGGGACCTGGGGGAGGGACTGAGTTCCATAATTCCTAAATTATGTTACTTAAAGCATCCAGCTTCCAACAAAAAAATTACAGGACACACAAAGAAACAAGAAAAGCAGGGTCCATATGAAGGGAGGGGGAAAGTTGCCAGAGAACTCATCTTTAAGAGACTAGCTACTTCACTAAGTCCAAACACTGGACTTAGTAAAAACTGGATAATGACATTCATCCACTGATGAATGGGTGAACAAATGTGATAATATCCACACAATGGAATGTCACTCAGCAATCAAAAGGAATAAAGTACTGAGACATGGTACAACATGGACGGGCCGGGAAACATGCTGAAGAAAAAACAGACCACGTACTGTACACGAATGTCCAGAAAAGGCAAATGCATAGACAGAAAGTAGGTGAGTGGTTGCAGGGGCTGGGAGAGGGAGGAGAAGGAAGAAAAACTGGCATGGGGTTTCTGGTTAGTGTGACACAACGTCATGGAATTAGTGGCAACCACTGCACAACTCTGGACTGTACACTTCATGTTTTTTTTTTTTTTTCTTTTTTATTTGAGATGGGGTCTCACTATGTTACCCAGGCTGGTCACAAACTCCTGGGCTCAAGCGATCCTCTCACCTCAGCCTCCCGAATAGCTGGGATTATGGGTGGGTACCACAGAGCCTGGCTTAGGACTATACACTTTAAAAGGATAAACTTCATGGTATGTGTATTATGTCTTTAAAAAGCTGTTTTTTTAAAAAAAAATGAATTAAGGAGGTTATTATGTCTCCTTAGTTTCCTTTAATGTAGGAGCCCCCACCTTCACTGACTTTCAGGATGTGGACATCTGCTCAAGGCTCAGGCCAGAGCTCTTAGAAAGAGCCCTGATTTGCAGGGGTTCCCCACAGTCCTCTGCTGATCACTGCTCATAATCAGATCCAGTTAAACCTTTCTGGCGAGAATCACACAGGCAATGCTGTGCCAAAAGAATACTTCAGACTATTTCTATACCATAAGCGATTGGCTCTGTATGATTAATATTTGCAAAGTCGTGTGTTTGCAGCACTTTATCTTCATGTGTTTTCCTATTTTTGTATTTTTATTTTTTTGTATTTTGGGTATAAAATGAGGTTCCAGGAAGGCGGCCCAGTTAAGGTTTGTCTGGGGACTATTTGCCAGGAGCTACCCTGGCTTAGGAAGGGAGGCCAGAAAAATCTAAGAAACATTTATTCCCACCTACTACCCCAATAAACAAATAAATTGGAAAGATGGTAGGTTTGAGGATGGGGCACACCTCAGTTCTTTTCAAAGGGAGGTGACAGGAAACTACTTTTTAGCAAACTTATCTGAAAAGACTATGCCTACACTCTGCTATTTCACCAAACAAAAATATATACAAAATCAATTCACTCCTTTTCCTTGTTAAACTTTTAACATTTACTTGAGGAGCTGGAATGTGAAGGAAGCTTCTGGGAAACCAAAGGAATAATTTGCTGAAAACTAAATTCACGTACCTAACGGAGGTTTATAAACTTTGAACTTAAGCAGGATTCAGAACATGCAAGCTTGGTGAAAACCAGATATTCCTAAAACATTTAGGAACAGGACATACAGAATTACTTTCAAATGAACCACTGTAGTATGTATGTAGGTATGTATGTATTTATGTATTTATGAGACAGAGTCTTGTTCTGTCACCCAGGCTGGAGTACAGTGGCATGATCATAGCTCACTGCAGCCTTGATCACGGGCTTAAGCTATCCTCCTGCCTCAGCCTCCTGAGTAGCTGGGACTACAGACATGTACCCATGCCTAGCTAATTTATTTTTTAATTTATTTTATTTTGTAGAGACGGGGTCTCACTATGTTGCCCAGGCTGGTCTTGAACTCCTGGGCTCAAATGATCCTCCCACCTTGGCCTACCAAAGCAATGGGAGTACAGTTGTGGCCACCGTACCTGGCCAAACCACTGTAGTTTAAGTGTGTGAAAATTTTATTCAAAATCATGAAACTCACTCATAAAACATATCTGTTAAAGTTCTCTTTTAAATTCAAAACTGGATCTAACTTATTATTCTAATTTGAAGTGGAATAAAAAGCTTTACATATCTGTCTGCTTTTCATGAAACACTACAAATGACATGTTAAATAGCATAAAAAAATCCTCAGCTGACATTTTTCTTCAATTCTCAAGGAAGAAAAAGAAAATCTGAACATGGCCCCAATCTTCTTCAAAGTCCACTGTTAGCTGAATAAAAAAACAGATGTTTATTTTAAGGTCTCCTATTCATTCTTTCCTGAAGAGCCTGGCCTTGCACCTCGGCTACAAACAGTCATTTGATGTTTATCATCATATTACACTTGAATTCCAGTGCAGTTTCCTAGAGTTCACTTCCAGACTTTGCAATAACAATGACTCTAAGCAATGTTAAAGTCCTCTACTTCTACCCTTTTCCTCTCCCAATTTCCTAACTACACCAAATGCTAAACTTGCCCACATGCACACGCACACATGCCCCAAGGATGCTAAAGGCACTACGCCAATTTTTTTACATGAGAATGTATTTATCTTTTTGATCATGCACCTGGTAATGAGCATCTCCCAAGATCTTGTTTTGTCATTTTATTCCTGCCAAGAGTTAGTAACACAGATGGTTTGGTGTGTTATCCTTAGCACATCAGTAGTTTCCTGGTTCTACTCGACTTCCTTGCAGGCAAAAGTGTTTATTAATAACTTTTCTGCATATTCTTATTGCTTTCTAATTCTTAATTTTGAAATCTATGTAAAAACTAAGGGTACCGATATATGTAAAAATACCCAGGGGGGGAAACTCGGCAGAAAAAAAGGAAGAGCAAAACTTTAAAAAAATTATATGTACACTTTTATTCAAGGTTCTATACCTTAACAGTGCTATTCTAGGAAGGTGAAAAAATATATTAACACCATTTAGCAGTTACCGATTATCTTGGGGAGGCGGTCATGCACGGAACTAGGAAATCCTGAAGAACGTATTTTAAATTCATACAAAATAAGATTTCCCATATGTTCCCCCAAATAAAGCTGAAGGAAAGAAAGCATGATACTGACACAGCAAAGGACATAAAGGAACTCAATCTGAACTCAGTGGAATAAAATGTGGTCAACCACAACAGTACTTAAGTAGAGTCTTAAGTATGCATAGTTTCCTCTGAGGTAATAAACAGGATTCCCACAAACATGTGATAATATTTAGAATCTCACTAAGATGTATATGTGGGTGTGCATGACTGTGGGAGGGAAGCAGTGTGTATATACTGTTGATTTTTGTTGTTGTTGTTGTTTTTGAGATAGAGTTTTGCTCTATTACCCAGGCCGGAGTGCAGTGGCATGATCTCACTTCACTGCCACTTCCACCTCCTGGGCTCAAGCGATGCTCCTGCCTCAGCCTCCTGAGTAGCTGGGACCAAAGGTATGCACAATAATGCCAGGCGAATTTTCTGTATTTTAATAGAGACGGTTTTGCCATGTTGGCCAGGCTGGTCTCGAACTCCTGAGCTCAAAAGATCCACCTGCCTCGGCCTCCCAAAGTGCTGGGATTACAGGCGTGCGTCACTGTGCCTGGCCGCTGCTAATCATTTTTTAGTGAAGTTTTAGGATAGATCCAAAAGACTTCATGTAAAATCTAAGCACCTGCAAAAAGAATATGAAGAGCTTTATTTAAAAAAAACCATACACATAACGAAATCTTTAAACTCATAAGGAAAAGAAAGTGATGAAGTTTGATAGGGGTGGTGGTGAGAGGCAAAAAAAACCAACTGCTATAATTCAATCAAAAATTTAACTTTGGGATGTGGTGGCTCAGGCCTGTAATCCCAGCACTTTGGGATGGCAAAGCAGGAGTATCGTTTGAGCCCAGGAATTCAAGACCAGCCTGGACAACATGGTGAGACTCCATCTCTATAAAACATACGAAAATTATCTGGGTGTGGTGGCACATTCCTGTAGTCCTGGGTACTTGGGAGACTGAGGTTGGGGAATCACTTGAACCCCGGAATTCAAGGCTGCAGTGAGCTGTGATCAGGACACTGCACTCCAGCCTGGGCAACAGAATAAGACCCTGTCTCAAAAATAATAAAAATAAAAATTAACTTTGGGCTTCTAGGCAACCAAGACAAAAGGAGATGCACAGTAAGGTCGACAGATACCCTTTACTTGCTAGAGGGAAGTACACTGATAGATCTGGAAGAAGAAATTCTCTGTTGGAACAAAACTCAAGCAGCAAAATATAGACCTTTAAAGGAGTCTGGCAACAAAATATATTTCTTTGAGAGGCTTACAGAAGTTCAACATCAAAGAAAATCATTAAACTATAATTGATGAAGACCAAAGCATGTGGTCTAAGGAAGTAGCCTAATGATCTCACTTGACTCTGGAATAGTTTAGAGCTATGCTGCCCAATAAGGCAGCCACTAAGCCACCTGTGGCGATTTAAGTTAAAATTAATTAAATGAAATTAAAAATTCAGTCCCTTAGATGCAGTACTCACATTTCAAGTGCTCAACAGCTACATGTGACTAATGGCTACCACACAGGACACAGCAGATATAGAACGTGTCCGTCATCACAGAAACGCTGGTGGCAGACTTTGGTTTAGAGAACTGGACAGCACTGGTTTAGAGAACTGGAAAATGTAGATGGTAAACAGTTAACACAGGAAACTATGTAAATAAAGTATGATATATCTACACAACAAAACACTATGCAACTATTAAAAAGAGAGCTTGATTTACGTGCTGACCAAAATGATATTGTGATCAAAAAAACCTTTGAGAATAGTATAAGGAGACCCTGATTCTGCTCAAGCCCCATGCCACGCTGTGTGTGTCATACGTGACTTGACTGCACAGCATGTGCACCAACTTGTTAGTAACTTGTTAATAATGGTAATGAAGGACTTTTATCTTCTTGGTTATGTATTGTTACAAGGTTAAATTTTTTTTTTTAGTTAGAGCGTTTTTCAAAAAAAAAGAGAGAAGAAAAAATAAACACCCCCAAAAGAATACAGGCACAGATGCAGATACCAAGTGGTGAACAAGTCCCTTACACTATCAAACTGAAACCTCAATTATTTCAAGTACTCTGTAAAGGAGCGGAGACCCAGCCCCTAATTCAACATTGAGGCTATTAGTGAGCACTCAAGTCAGTACTAGTGCTGCTGGCTGAGAACAGATATTCAAAGTGTAGATAATAAAGATGATTTTTTTTTCTCCAGAAAATTCAAGAACCTAACTCATAACCTTTGACCTTTTCCATGGAGATGAACCAGAAAAACAAAAGCTCAAAACTCCCTCCCAGGAAGCAGTTTAACTCATATATATGAAGAGTCAGAATTAAGACAATTCAAGATGGCCAAAACTGAATTTAGTATCTATTCCACCTTACCTCTGTGAATGGTACCACTGCTCATTCAGTTCCCCTCTCTCCCCATCATCCATCACTCCCCCACGAATCACCGCACTCTATGAGCACACTCCTTACTGTCTCTCACACCCAACTCTTCCCTCACCATGCCTACTGCCTTAAATGGGGCCCTCATTATTTTTTCTAATCAATTACAGTGTGTCCTATCCCTGGCTTCCAAAGACAACCCCCATTAAACAGGCAGAATAATCTAACACACCTATCTGATTTCAGTCCCTTGAATAAAACCCTTCAAAGGCATGCCACTCTAGTTAAAGCAAAAGTAAAATTTTAACATGGTACAAAAGGTTTGGCTTTAAGTCCTGATACTTCTCCAGTCTTACCGGAGAAGTATCAGTATCTCCCATTCCTTAAGAGCCGCTGAAAAACCCAAGCTCTTCCCAAACAGACTGAACGGACCGGGGCTCGTGGGTCTTACTTCAGCTCCCTCTGTACAGGATGATCTCCCTGATTCTGCCACCCTTCTATCCACCATCACTGCCTAATTCCTGAACGTCCTTCGAAATTTGAATGAAACATTACTTATGGGAAAGTGACTTTCTTACCTCTTGTAAGATCCTG